>NC_000001.11:176820950-177123980 GCF_000001405.40 Homo sapiens | reverse complement strand
AATCAAACCTTTTACACAATGGACCAGTCCTCCTCCTGGGCAAGATGGAAATAGACTTGCCATTCTGGGGCTTAGTTCTTTTACTTCTCCTTTCTTTGCTAATCGGCCACTGAATTCGGCTTCCTGCCTGGGGTTAGCTCACAAATCGATCCTGAGGCCTCCCAAAGGTTTGGCTATGCCAATTTCTTGCTGCACCACTGGCCAAAATGTAATCAGCTCATAGAGCCAGGGTGGGAAAGAGGCAGTTTGCAGTAAGTAACTGCTGTCTGTAGAGAAAGTCTGCTATCGAGAACCCTGAACTCCTAGCATAAAGAAGTAGCCCAGGGGCCACCCAGTAGCCCACTGGGTTGAGGTTAGGGTAGCCAGATAGGAATGTGAGGTTCCACCTTCCATGATCTGTGGTCACCATCTTTGGGGTGTTGAGTCAGGGTTATTATATATTTGGTAGACTCTGTTGCCTGCCTCATCTGTAACAAGGGAAAAATAGTACCTACTGTGCCTCCTTCATGGCATTTTGCTGAGGAACAGATGCTCTAAGGTATTATATTTTTGAGAACTCAATAAACCACAAAATGTGCTAGGCAGTTGTTGGGTATTAATTGTCATTAGTGTGGGCAAAAAGTTTGATAATTACTGTTACTTGATGAGTTTTTCCTTTTGTTTCTTAATGAATGCCTTAACATTTTTTGTGCAAATTTGTGTTGACCTTCCATATTTCCCATTGATTGATTGTTGGAATGAAGCCATCACCTGTACTGAGAGGGTTTGCGTGGGACCACTAATAATGAATCCATTCTACTCAGCATGCACTGGTTCCCCTGACTCTCTTGCTGAAGCCTTGCAGAAGAATGTGTTTCTGCACCCCTGACTAGCACCTGACCCTGTGGTCAAGTGCCGCTGCATATGGCTTATGTGTGGTATTAAAATAAACGAGGCAGAACCAGCTGCACTGCACACTCCCTGGAGTGTTGAGAGGAGCCTTGGCCTTGGAGCTAGGGGCTGATGCCTCAGGAAGCGCTTCAGTTATGATAATCCCTAGAGAGAAGAAGGTAGAGGCCTCCAAAAGGGGCAATGCACTTTGTTGTTCTGATCCTAGCTTACTATCTCAAGGGCTCTTCTCTGTCAGCCTTTCCATAATTTATTGCAAGTCACTGAGAAGACCTTTTAGATCCTGGGTGTTTCTGCCTCCAGTTCTTTGAAATAAGGAGGATAATTCCTGTCACCTCTCTTGCAGGAAGGCCGTGTGTCTGATGAGTTAGGTAATGTCTGGACAGAGCGCTGACCACTGTGAAGTGAGAAGCAGTGTGGAGTGGCCAGATGCGAAAACCGCGGGTGGTGACAAGAGCAGCCAGGTTGCCAGGACGGGACTGTCGCCCTAGTCTTGTGAGCAGGAGTCTGAGCTGAGTGTAGTATCCTGGAGTGGTGAGGCGCAGCAGGATAGGGAAGAGAGAAAAGGGAGGGTCCCCATTTGGCTTCTTAAAAATCTTCCCTCTAGCATCCTTGACCTTGGAAGTTGAGGCTCTTCTCTACTGCCACATTCCAGCAGCAATCAAGTACGTTTGAGCCATCACTGCTCAGCTCCAGTGTCCTCAGATATTACAACTCATCAGGTTGACAGGAAGTAAAGACAGTTCTACTCTCTGGGTTTTGTTTTGGGTGGCATCGTGCTCTGCCTCTTGAAGAACAGGCAAGACATGGCTCCTGTCACTTCTGACCCATGTCTTTTCCTGCTCTGAGTCTCCCGCCTTCCACATTAACTCATTGGGCTTTCTCTCAGTCCCTCTGCAACACAAAGTTTACCCTCGCTACTTCCTTATTGCAACTCATTTTAAAACCACTTTGGCATGAGGAGAATGGGATTTGGCAGGTAACAGTAGGGTCCCCATCGATCTCTTTTTTAACCCAATAACCCCAAAGTGCTCCAGGGTAGTGGCAGCACTTCCTTCTCTCAGCATTTATTCCTTCTGCTCGAGCCAAGAAATGAAACTGCCAGTTTTGTGCTAAGTGGGTCAAGAGGGCCTCTCATTTTCTTGCATCTGCTTCAATCCTGTTGACAACATCCCTGAGCTGTTCTGCACTGCCAGCAGGGCCACCATTTCAGTTCTTCCATTAGTACTTCCTCAGCCTCACTCTGGACACATGTTACCCACCTCCCTGATCACATCTAGGTTCTCATCACAAAACCTAGACTCTTGGCAGGGACCTGGGGAATATACTCCATAGGTGGGTCTTTTAACTAACTTTAGGGGCCCTCAGGTCAGCAAATCATGGAATTGTGAAATGTGAGAGCTCACAGAGCCTTAAAGAAGTTGGAGGAAGGGAAGAAGGAGGTGGAGGAAATGCTAACTTTTACAAATCACTTTTTGTGTGCTAATGGTAGTAAAATGCTCTATACCTTATTTTACCCCAAGCTCCAGAAAGAGTAGACGTAAGTATTATTAGACATTTTAGACATCCTATAGATGAGAAACCTATAGGATTCTCATCTATAGAAAGAGGACAGTAACTTGCCCGCCATCATATAGCCCTCAAGGAGCAGAACTGATAGTGAAAACCCAGGTCTGTCTGATGTCAAGGGCCACATTTCTCCCATGAAATGCCCTTTTCCTGCCTTACAGTTCCCCAGGGCCCCTCGTTCCATTTTGCTGCTGAGCAAACAGAAAATGGATCATTTGTGTATCACTTGTTCAAGGTCACAGAGCTTTTTTAGGGGCATAGATCTTTCCATCTTTTACCCAGTGTTCATCTTATAAAGCACTCGGCACTCCCTTTCATCCTGTGTAGGATTATGATGATATTTGGTGTCCTATCTCTTAGTCTATTGAAACCCAAAACCTTTTGTTCCTTCTTCTAGAACTCACATGGACTTTACATAGTGCATGTATATATATATATATGTATCACCAGCAGCAATAGCAACAACAGACAAAATGCAAACAAAAGCTTGCCTATGGTGCTTTTAATTCGCAGATCTGATTTCCCTAGGATGAAAATACTCCATGCTTCTAAGCATCTTCCATTTCCAAACCTCAGCTCACAATAATCTAACATACAAGCAATAGGATGATCAGAGGCAATATCCGTATTAGATCTCTAAGTCCAGTTCAGAAGAGAGAGTTAGGCTGCTGCTAGGGATCCAGTGCAGCTTCAGCACATCGTCCAGTTAGGTGAATGCCCCCTTTCTGGTGCCTGGACTCAGTGCCTAGATATCTTCCTCAGAATCCCAGCAGCTCAGAGGATAGCCAAGGCGAATACCAATGTAGGCAGAAAAACCGGGAGACAGCCTGTTTGAGTGAGATAGGAAGGGCAAAAATTCATTATAGAAGAAAGTGCTGTCTTTTTGCAATGGAGGGCCCTCCTTGTGTCTGGGAGTCATGAATATTGCATCAAAAGAATCGGCTTGTTTAAGAGAAGGGAAAAGAAACCCAGAAGCTGGGAGAATTAAGTAACTCCTGGGAACTAGCCTTAGGAAGGGCTTTTCAATTTGATTGTGGAAGTAAGTTTCTGTCAGGGCTTTGCCTTGGATTTTTAGCTTTGTGTGAATCTAGATGAAGAAAACCCCTTTGGGATGCGTGAGGTGAGGAGAAAGCCTTTCTGTGACCAGAGGGCAAGCAGGTGTCCTTGTAATCAGTGGGGCTCACAGTGCCCATCAGGCTCAAGGCTTGATTTCTGTAGTGTTTTTACATAAAACTTCCCAATGATTCAAACCCACTGGGGTAGTTGAGGATGTTTTAAGGTGAGTGTGATTGTTGCAGCTCAGCGTTTGAATACTTTGATTAAATATCAAACAATCAAACAAACTTATTTCTAGGGGCCTTCTGAGCTTGAGACCAGCTATAGGAGCTCCACTGCTCCTCCATTTTCTGGCTCTGATGCCACATTGTGGTTTCATTTTGTGTAGAGTGGAACAAATAAACATGAGCCAAACATTACTGCTAAGATTGAGGAGGAAGCTGTTTCCTGGATTCTTTATCAAGTTCCTGAGCCTGACACTCTAGTGGACCATGCAACAAGGCACCTGGCTTCTATATGGGAAGCTTCTCCCCCAGTCTGCCCCATTTCTTCCTCTGCTATTTCAGGACTGAGGGGGCAGCCTCTGCTGGTTGATAGCCATCTGGAAGAGGGGGATGTTAAGGGACATCCTTGGGGCAGTTCTGTGGGCATATGGGAATGAGGCAAAGAGGAAAGAGAAGTAATAACAAAAGCAACAAAAGGCAGAAGGAGGAGAGGAAAATGAAGTACAGAGACATTAAACACATTCACACTAGTCCGTAGTGGTCAAGGCCACTCCAGGAGTATACGGAGTCCTAGGAAAAATCTCTCCCAGAATTTAGTTCATTTTGGCCCTCAAGTTGCTTGAAGGATGAGAGGTTTGAGAGGAAAGAAGGAGAGAAGGAAGGGAAACCAAAATACACTTTGCATTTCTGCAGCTTCTTTTGAGTTGAGAAGGGCTCTTTAGCCAGAGCCTCCTCCATCCAGAACCTTGTTACCATGGCAACCCACTTGCAGCCTGCAGGGCTGTGACAGCCCACTCCGGAGCTAGTGCTACCGAACCAGAGAATATTATAGGGGAAGTTTTGTTTCCTGGATTATTAACATTAAGTATATACACATGGAGGTATGTAACAATCTGTGAATTCAGTAGCAAATGCTGTTTTTCTTCCTTGACATTAAAAAGCTGTGAATTCTGCACATTTATTTAGCACCTACTAGGCACCAGCACTGTACAGGTAATGAAGATAAAGGGATGAATGAGGCACAGTCGTTGACATTGATGAGGGCACTGTCTGTGATAAGGTGTGGGGGAATACACACAGCCAAAGAAACAAAAAGTTACCATGCCATGAGATGAGTGGATTTAGGTGCTGGGTGTTTCACGAGCACAGAGGTGGGTGCAGCTTAATTTGGCAGGGAATTGGGAAGGCTTCCCAGTGAAGATGACATTCAAGAACTCACAAAAAGGAGTGAGTAGGAGTTTTCCAGGTGGAAAATGTAAGAAGAAGGGAATTCCTGCGGCAATAACATCATTAAGCATAAAAGAAATCAAATTATGATTTTTGTTTCTTGACGTGTTCCCAAGGCCTCCCACCCAGTAAGTCTGCCCTCTTTGCAGCCACAGTCCCCCAACTAGAAGGTGGTGGCTACAGCATTACCACTTTTGGTTGATGTAGTGGACCAACAGCATTTCCCAAGCCTTCCTGGGGCATTTACCTATATACCTGCATTTCTAACATTATATACACATGTAATATTGGCAAACCAAATGCCATGGAGCCTGAGAGGGTGGACAGGCCTGATTTTTAAAGACAGCCTGAAATTAAACGTTTGGAAAGACTTTTGTTTGGGGATTAGAAAACTTTCTCCCTAAGAAATCCCACCATTAGTTTGGCTGGCTGTGTTAATGGCTTATTTGAAGAGGGGCCTACCTGTTCAGAACTACCTTAGTGGTCTTTACTCTTGCTAACTGCTTTCTTTATGCTTCTAGGGATATACTAATTTGCATACTGACACCAAGAATATGAAGATAAATTACTTCTTTTAGAGCACGGGAGAGTGAGGCCCACCTCAGTCATATTCCACAGCCCCCCTAGGATCAATGCCAGTCATCCCATGAACACTCTGTGCATGTTAATTCGTGATAATTGAAAAATAACACCTGTCATTTTTAAAGAAGAAAATTGTCTCAAGTGATTGTACACTTTTATTCAAAGACCATTGTTATTACCTAGATTCACTAAATAATCAGATTGTCATCACAACCAATATTATTACTAATATATATTTACTCTTTTATTCATTCATCCAACAACTATGTTGAAGGTACTGTGGTGGGAATATAAATATCAAAAAGAACAAGTCCTATTTCCAGGAATCTTGCAATTTACTGTGTTTGTGGAAGGGAGGGTACAGATGTATAAATAAATATGATACAAAGCAGAATGAAGCAATTGCTATACATACAAATATATATACATATAATCTAGCACTATGCCTTTTACATAACACATTTTGTAAGTGTAAAATGATTGATAGGATAAATAAACATGTCATAAACAGGCAAAGAAGAAATGATTCATTTTGATGGGCATCCAGGGCTTGCAGGACAGAAAAGTTTTATAGAGGAAGTAACATTTACATAGAATTTCAAAGGGTGATTGATATTTTAGTAGGTATAGAGGTGAAGGGCAGTACAGCCTGAAGAAACAGCCCAGGCAAAGTCTGGGAGTTGGGATATTACAGGTTGTTATCTGGGAAATGGTGAGTGGTCCAGGGAGTAGTATGGTGTGGGAAACCTGGAAATTGGGCATTTAATTTTGGGACATATTGAATGCCATGCTAACCAATTTGAACTTTATTAGGGGGTGGGTGGGAAGTGAGCAATCACTGATGATGCTTGAAGAAGGAGCTGCTGCAATTATGTTTATCGTTCACTGTTTACTCCCAGCAGAACTTAAGTTCCGCTAGGTCAGGCTTTTTGTCTGCTTTGTTAACTTATATACCCCAAGAGCTCAACCCAGTGCCTGGCACGCAGTAGATTCTCGGTAAATATCTGTTGGGTGGGATTCTACCAGGGCTTTGGGAACTTATTTCTGGAGATAATGTGAGAGTTAGGGAACTGGAAGGGTTTCATGCAGGAGATTCTAGCAAATGATTCCAGTAGCTGTAAAGAATACCTGTGGGAGTGAAGCCGGGAGTGACTCTGAGAATGGAACAGAACTATAAATGGGAGGACTGAGGAAAGCTGGAGGACTTGGTCACTGAGTGAATGTTCCTTGTGTGTCTAGAAATAAATAACTGGCTAGACTGTCATTAACAAGATGCAGAACTCCAAAGAGGAGGTGCCACTCGGTGGGGGTGGGGAGGGGCGGAGGAGAGAGAGATAATGGCTTTGCTTCTAGACTGGCTGAATCTTAGGTGCCTTGAAAAATGCACGTAGACACCTACTTTAAGAGAAAATTGGCAGGTAGAGCTCAGTGTGAGACATGCAACTAGAGTTATGAAGGTGGGAGTCATTAGGATAGAGGTAATAATTGCAGTGTAAGGGAGTGGAAGCCCGGGTCCCCTGGGGAGGAGTGGAAAGCAAGGTTCACAAAGGTAGAAGACAGAATCTGGGGAAAGCTTGCATTTAATGGGTGGGAAATACAAAAGCTTGAAAAATGGTAGAAAAGTCAGGATTAAAATTAGGAGAGCAAGGGTCAAATGAGTCAAAGGAACAGAGTGTTCTGACTGAGGATGTGACCAGCAGTAACAGTATAGTTGAGGTGAAGGCTGGTGAGAGCCCACTGGGTTAGGTAGTCAAAAGGCACTAGTATTATTTCAGTAGAATGGTGGAGGCAGAAGGCATTACAGGAAATTGCACATGCTGGATGTGAAAATAGAGCACAAATGTAGAATGCTTCTTTAAGAAGTTTGGCAATGAAGGAAAAGAGAGGGAGGAGGTACCTTCAGGGGAAATCAGAGTTGATGAAAGACATTTTATTTTTTATGAATGGGTGTATGTTTACGAGCTAATGGGAAGGAAACTGTTACCTAAAGATTTAGTGATAAACTATTTGTTGTCCATAGTATAGAAAAAGTATTTCGATTCTGAGAAAAGAGGTATTATGAAACATGTGTTGTCATCTACACATAAAATAATACATCTGTGCACAATTTTAATATAATAGTGTAAAATACAGCCCATAAAGATAATATTCAGTCTTGCTAATAATTATCTCTTTGGCAGTCTCAGTTTCTGGCCATAGAAACAGAGCTTCTTTCTGTAAATGCTGTGTGGTCAAAGGAGTGGTAATATAGCAGTCTGTGCCTGTCTCACCATTTGCCTCGGTGTTGGCTATGGAGTCCCAAGCAAGAGAAAATCAGGTCAGATGGGATGAGAACTTGATTTTTCTAGAATTTGGGTTTCATGACAATGTTAGGAATCCTAGATGCTGAGATACATTAGAAGGTTTTGGACCTTTTACCTCACCCTCCAGATTTTCATGAAGATTCATCATGTAAAGATATTAACCGTATTCTAAAACATGGAGGAAATCCAATAAAGTGTTCAATGGAAAATCCAGATTACAAATCTCTATGGAGTATGATACAATTTTTATAAAATTAAATGTTGCGTGTGTAGATACATCGGCATAGAGGAAGACCTGAAGGAATATTATTCCCCAGAAATATTAGCAGTAGTTATCTATGGGAATGGGTTTATGAGAGATTATTATTTTCTTCTTTATATTTTTATATACTTGCCAAGTTTTAAACAATGAGCATACATTATTTTCATGACATTTATTTATTTATTTATTTATTTATTTATTTATTTATTTATTTTGACACAGTCTCTCTCTGTTGCCCAGGCTGGAGTGCAGTGGCATGATCTTCGCTCCCTGCAACCTCCACCTCCTGGGTTCAAGCAATTCTCATGCCTCAGTCCCCCGAGTAGCTATGATTATAGGCGTGCACTAGCACACCTGGCTAATTTTTGTATTTTTAGTAGAGGTAGGGGTTCACCATGTTGAACTCCTGACCTCAGGTGATCCACCTGCCTTGGCCTCCCAAAGTGCTGGGATTATAGGTGTGAGCCATCGCACCAGACATTCATGATTATAAAATTATTTAAAACCACAACTTAAATATCACAAAAGTATAATTGCACATGTATCTTCTCATATCCATCTTTTCATTTAATTTTCACTCTGAATAGGGTCTGAGTTTGGAGGGGGCTAATTTTATAACCCCTGGGCCCTGTGATTACAACCACACCTCAGTATTGAATCAGAACAGGCTCCATTTAGACTATGGACTAGAGCAAATCACAACTGTTTATCTGATATGTATCCTTGTGGGTGAAATGGGTGGTGGTGCTCCTCCTGGTCTGTTGAACAGAGTAGGGCTGTCGTGACTGTTGCCCCTTCTTCTTTTCTTGGTCCCCTACCCCCTTCTTTTCCCTTCCTCTTCCTTCTACCTCTCATTTCTCCTCCTCTTCCTCCTGCTTCTGCTCTCTGCGCTCTTCCTCTTCTGGCTAACAGTGCTTCTCCTAATGGTCTCATGCTCTCTTGCTTTTGAACCATATGCACTGGAGGATGAAGAGCTGGGTCAGGAAAAGTTCATGGTCATCATTGATGAAATGCAACAGGAACCAGAGGAAAGGCAAAAGGAGAGTTTTGACTGTGGCCACCAAAATTAGGACATTTAAAACATTGATTTTAAAAAGGTATATGTTTGTGGCAATGGAACTGTTGTGTATCTTAACTGTGATGGTGTATACACAAGCCTACACATGTGATAAAATTGCATAGCACTAAACACACACACACACACAGCACCACATACACAGAAACAAATAAGTGTAAGAAAAACTGAGGAATTCTGGATAAGGTGGGTGGACTGTATCAGTGTCTATCACCTGGTTGTAATATTGTGCTGTTGTTTTGCCATGTTTCCATTGGGAAAAATGGGGTAAAGGATACATGGTATAATTCTACATTACTTTTTATAACTGCATATAAATCTATAATTATCTTAAAATTGTAACAATTTAATTAAAAAACTATATATATATATATGTGCACCATTCATGTCATGTGAAATCCATTGCCCATGTGGCTTAGGATTCTGCTCTAATAGGAAAAACAAATGGTTTTAAAACAAATCTATTAAGAAATTATTACATGTTAGGCACTATGATAACTAGGCACATTACATATATTATTCTCTTTTAATCAGTTCATCAACCTTATAATGGGTATTTTTATTATCCTCCTTTGATGCATAAGGAAATGGAGGTTTAATAAACTTAAGTAGCTTACTGGTGCCCACCCAGTTAGTAATTTCAAAGTGAGGAAGCAACCCAGGCAGCTGACTCCAAAGCCTGTGCATCTAGTCAATATGCTGTACTCCCTTTGAGCTCTGCCAGGCAACATGTTTGCCTTGAATGATATTTAAGTCAGACAGGTAGCAGTGTCTTGACTTCTCCCAGTCATCATTTCTTTCATCCTTTGAAGCTCAGTCCCCTATGAGTTTATCTAACTACTACACTTATTATGAGCCAGTTTTACTATTGCTAGTATATCAAGTTTACTCCCTGCTATGTAGAGACATATGTCTTTTAAAATTGAACTCTTTCTCTTAGGTTTCTGTGGGAGACTCCTCACTCTCTCCATACCCACTAATTAACTATCAAGATTAGGTAGAGCTTCTCTCCATAAGCTGTTTGTGCAGGGCATGTAACTGACTATTGATGAATCCTGTGGCGAGACTTGGGAGACTGCAGCAAGGTTCGGAGGGCCCCAAAACTGGCAATCTGGGCACAGCCCAGCTTCTGGAACTGGGGCAATATTTTGGTAAGTCCACTGTAGGTGAGAGCAAAAAGGAGGGTGTGCCAATTAGGTGCACTGGCAGGGGGAAGATAGAACAAGTAAAGACAAAAATGAGCCCAGCTCAGGCACTGACACATCTAAAGGAAACAAGGTGGTAGTGGAAGAAGGCAAGGAGGATAACAAATCCAAGGTCAAGGGGATGACAGTATTGAGGACACCTTCTCCACAGCTCATATTCTCATACAGATTGAACATCCCTAATCCAAAAATACACAATTTGAAACATTTCTGGTTCCAAGCAGTTCAGGTAAGGAAGGGCTGCTCAACCTGGATATGCTTCCCATGAGAAGCCACCAGCTGTTCTGGGGGTTGGGGGGACAGTGGGCTCTTTCCTGCTGTATGGAAGCTGGAAACAACCTTAGGTGTCTGTGCCTGGTTTGGAGCAAGTGTGGTGGTTATGAGTTATTGTTTCCTGTGGTGAATTGACTGCCCCCGTGCCTCCCTGAGCCTGAACTCCATGTGAGTTCATGAGAGGCAGTTTTCAGGGGATTGCTGGGAAGATGCCGAGTGTGTGCAGAGAAGGCTGGAGAGTCAGGAGGGCTGCTGACCTCATGCAGGTCGGCTCTGTGCATGCTTATGTTTCTTTTCATGGAATGCTTTGTTCAGCGTTGGGAAAGAATTGGTCTAGCTAGTTAAAGTTAGCTCTACAAAGATTGCCTTACAGTGAATATGAAAGAGAACCTTCACAACCAGTCACAGGAGAGAGAGGTCATTGCAGAGGGAGAAGCGGGAGATGATGTGGGGAAAAAATTAATGAGAAGAGCACTGGGCATAACAGACTGACTTGAAAAAAGGGAAACAGAGAAGGATTCTGGGCTACCAGGGACTGTCTAAGCTGTGTGAAAGGCACAGATAAAAGGTAACTCAGCCATCTTATTAGAAATGGGGGATGTCTGCGCTGCATGCTTTTCTCCCCTACCTTCCTTCCTAGGCTAAAATCTCAAGCCCAAAGGCATTAGGGATGTGAGATGAAGAGAAAAGAGATGCCTGTTTGGGAGGGAGCAAAATCTACTCCTTGTGGAAATATTGATGAACCACAGAAAGCTTTATTTGAAGCCATTTCTCCCATCAGACCTCATTACCCATATCTGCCTTTGAGTCAATGTCCCCGGTCTGATTGTTGCCCATGTGGCACCCACCCCGCCCAACACGGGTGGAATACACAGAATCCTTTAGGAACTCCTCCTCGTGGCAGGCAGAGCCTCCACCAGGTGCTCAGAGAAGGCGTGGCGGATAGGAGCGAGAGGTCCTGGAAATAACTGGCTTGTGTGCCTTCAACATATTCCCTCTTCCTTTGATGTGAAGGACTCTTTACACAAAAGCCACTGTCAGCAGCAAAAACATGGTAATAAGTATTTTTTTTCCTGCTGAAATAAAGCAATTACCACAGACTATGCAAACACCTAAGTGACCCCAACAGTAGCCAGAGCAATTTGCTATGAAGTTGGTTTCCACTGAAAAAGCAAAACATTCTATGGCAGCCAGCCTGGAACCCAGATTGCACATATAGAGGAGGGTCACTTGCCATTCAGCTCTGATAAGGATGCTCTTTGAAACCTTCCTTGGAACTTGAGAGGGAGCTGGGGGAAAAGGAGTGTGAAATGGAAAGCAGAACCCGGGAACTTGGAGAAAGGCTACAGAACAACTTTGCACCAAACACCTCTAAGCTGCCATCCTTCTCCCCAGGCCCAGTGTTGCCGACCCCTGTGGATGTGGGCCTGTTGGGTGGATTCACGGTCATTGTAAGGGCTGCTACCGACTCTTAAGATCAGAGGAGACATACCAAAAGCCCACCATACAAAAGGGGGCTGCTTTCTCCTGCTGTAGAGTCCTTCCCATGCCCAGCAGTTGTCTAGATGTTTGCAAAACTAAGGTGAGAGATTGAGGTGATACATAGATGATGCACTTAAACTCTCGTACCAGTCTTTTGTGTGTTCCAACTCTATATCTTATCAGCTCTATCAGAGATTATCATCTCATCATTTAGAGCAATAATCAAACAGAAAGCACTAAGCTTCCATGGAAGCCACCTGGCAGAAGAGTGTGTATTTAGACATACCCTGGAAGGGCTTCGTTTGTAAGTAAATAAGTGATTTCTACTCTTAAGAGTGGTCTTTGAACAACAGCATCAGCATCACCTGGGAGCTTGTTAGAAATGCAGAATCTAAGGGTCCACCCCAGACCTGGTGAATCAGACATTCATTTTAACAAGATCCCAAGTGATTCACATGCACATTAAAGACTGAGAAGCACTGCTTTAGGTGACATCGGTATTGCCTCTCTCAATTGGCAGCATTTTGGAAAAAAAAACAGTCTTTGGAATTAGTCCTAGAATTAGCTCCATTACTTAATGATGTAAAAAAAAATTCTAACTTCTCTTAGACTCAGTTTCTCCATTGTAAAATCGAAACACCAGGATGGTTGTGAGAATTCAGTGAGCTCAGATATCAAGTGCTTGGCAAAGAAGAGGGGCTTAACAAATGTTAGTGTCCCAACTACCAGGTCTTCTTGTTAAAGGACTTTTGAATTAAATATCCTGCCACTGTCCCCAAGAGGCTAGCTTTTACAGAAACCAGTGTTTTGAAGAGCTGTAGGAGGGTTACATAGAATTTCACTTTGCTTGTTTGATTTCACCTCTGTTAAACTCAGCCAGGCTTTCACAGCAATCTTTTTCTAAATCAAGCCCACTTCATAATTAAAGGTAAGATACTGGTTTATTTCCTGGTCCATTGATCCTATATTAGAGGTAACCTGAAATTGGAGGACTTTTCACATTTCTTTTTTCTACAGTGGACCTTGGTGTAACAGCGCAGGGTATGGGCTTAAACAATCTTGAGTCCCGACTGTGGCTCTGCCATTTACTAATGTGTGACCTGGAGGCATTGTCTAATCTCTTTGGGATTATACCTTATCTAGAAAATGCAGCTGATAAATCCCTATCTCCTGGGTCATTGTGAATGAAGATTGAGTGAAAAGTTACATTCAGCTGAAACGGCCCATGTACCTTGCACATAGTAGGTACTCCATGCATGTTTATTTCCTCCCCCTTTGTATCTAGAAATAATTCTAACCATTTCTGGGGATAATCTAATCTTTATTCTAGAGCATCGCTGGAAAAGACAGGTTTGTGTGTCAGGGACACAGGCATTATTTTTGATACTCTTACTCACTGGCCGCTTCAGATTCAGAGCTAATGTTATGTTAGACACTCCAGCCAAAACGGTACAATGATGTATTGGTCTTATGACTCGTTTCAATAAATTAACTTTGAAATGTTACTTATTTTTACACTTAGGAACTCATTCTAACTTAGTCCTTGTTTGATCTTTATAACTTATTTTAAAGGTCTTTTTGCATGTAATCTTTCCTCTTTATGTCTTATGATGGCCTTTGGCCAAAAGCAATAAAATTCTGACCTAGTAAAATCCCAATTAATATTTTTTCACACATCATGTATAGTTTATGTTTACCCACCAACTTTGAGCTCTCAAAATTTCACACTTCCGTGAGAAAGAATCAAATATTAATGTGTTTTATTGGTAGATAAATAAGGTAGGGAAAGGATGGAGAAAGGGGGACAAATAAGGAGTGAATAATATTAAGTAGCATAAGAGGAAAATATTCAGAAGTATAATTAAAGATGAAAGATGCCTTCAGCTGAACTTTTCAAGGAATAGAAAAATCAGTGAGTCTGAGAAACTTGGCTGAACTATCTATTTTAGAAGATTGGAAATTGGAAAGATGAAAGCTCTTCCACCCAAAGCAGTAAAACAGTGGAGAGAATTGTGATTCTCTATTATGAAAGGAAGGACCCATGAGAGATCTTCAAGTCTGTCTTCTTTATCTTGAGGCATGCTCATACTTGGACAGTTCCAGACAGATGAGAACCCATTTTTGCTTTTAAACAATGTGAAAGGAGGATATTCCATGGTCTCTTGATTCCAATCAGCATTTCAGTTTTTAACAATTTCCAGTCACAAAGAGCTCATTCTGAAATCTAACCTAAGTCTTGTGTTTCTTGTTTAACACTTAATTTTATAGATAATATACTGCTAAGGGCCACAGTTTTAAAATGCCATCCTAGAACATCCCTATATCCAATACGGCAATGGAATGTCTGTCTCTTGAGATATTGTGGGTGAGTCTCTCTCCCTCTCTCTCTCTCTCTGTATGTGTGTGTGTGTGTAAGTGTGATTTCTCTCCCTTAAAACACTTTTGAAGTTTCATCAGGTGCATCTCAAACATCTTCTAACAATTTATCACAAATGTAACATCAATGATTTTATAGACACTTTCTTAGTAGGTATTTATAGTCTTCTATTCTTTGAACAAATGGGTTTCTTAGGTTTACTACATATTTCCTGCAAAGCTTCAAGCAGATTCTTTTAATTTTGGTATACCGTATGAACAAAAAATCCAGTATTCATAATTTAATACATTTAAATTATATATATTCTCAGTCTTAGTTTTACCAAACTGATGAGGACTGACATCCTTGTATATATGAAAATCTCTCTATCCCTTTATCTATTCTAAGTGTTCTTCGGACTCAGATAACTCTGCACTCTGTTGATTATTTTCTTTCTTTCTTTTTCTTTTTCTTTTTTTGCGTGCTTTTCCAGCTTATCCTTCTCTACCTAGCTACAAAATCAGAGTTCTTCAGGATGCATCCCAAGGCTCTCTGCCTTTTCTTCCTAGATGATCTCATCCATTCTTTTGGTTTCCATTGCCACCTAAATGCCTACAACTATATAACTTCAGTCCAGATGTTTTTCTGAGCTTGGGAGCCTTATATGTGTATATTTGTGTCCTGAATATGAATATTTATCTATCTCACAGTCACTAAAATTTAACATGCCCCAAGCTGGATTCTTCATTTCTCCCTTTGCCTTTCAAACTTCTTCTTTCAGTTTTTCTTATCTCAATAAATGACATCACCAATTATCCACAATAACCAAAAGGTGGAAGCAACCCACCTGCCCATTGTCAGATGAATGGATAAAGAAAATAAGATATGTGTGTTGGGGCAGGGAGTGGGTATACACACACAATGGAATATTATTCAGCCTCAAAGAGGAATTTCTGACACATGTTACACTATGGAGAAACCTTGAAGACATGCTAAGTGGAAAAAACCAGTCACAAAGGAGAAGTACTGTATGATTTCACTTATATGAGGTACCTAGAGTAGTCAAATACACACATCCCCTTCAGAGAATTAGAATTTCTTTTTTTCTTTTCTTTTTTTTTTTTTTTTTTTGAGACGGAGTCTTGCTCTGTCACCAGGCTAGAGTGTAGTGGTGCAATCTCAGCTCACTGCAACCTCCACCTCCCGGGTCCAAGCGATTCTCCTGCCTCAGCCTCTGGAGTAGCTGGGACTACAGGCGTGCACCACCACGCCCAGCTAATTTTTTGTATTTTTAGTAGAGATGGGGTTTCACCATGTTGGCCAGGATGGTCTCCATCTCCTGACCTTGTGATCTGCCCACCTCAGCTTCCCAAAGTGCTGAGATTACAGGTGTGAATCACCACGCCTGGCTGATAATTAGGATTTCTTAACAGATGAAGGGTGAGCATATTTTTATACATGTTCAGAATATATTTTTCATAGCATTGTGGAGCATCAACTGTTGGTTAAATTGATTGCAACTTCTTCCCTTTTGTAACATCCCTTAAAAAAAAAGTATCCTCCCAACAATAGGTTATTGCTTTCCATTCTCCTTTTTTCCTTTGAGTGAACAGTTTCATCTACATTCATCCGTCAGGGTCCCAGAAGAAAACAGATGATATACTCCAATTGAATATATTGAGTTTATTGAGGGATCATTACAGAAGTTCAGGAAGGAATAGTGCAGTATACAGAGGCTGATAACAGCAAGGTGCTCTGGCCAGACTTAGGTCTAAGAGGTGAAGAAGGAGGCAGTTACTAGAACCCGGAGCTGGTGAGGGCTGTCTGGGGGAGAGCTGTAACTCTCATTGAGAGACACAGCCAGCTCAAGGCCAGCCCACAGGGAATCTCACTATTCTTCATCCCTCTGCTCTCCTGGGAACCCAGTCAGAAGCCAAATGGCAAGAGACCCATGTAGAATTCCATACCAGTCATCCTCCCTCAGCACAGAGCAAGGAGAAAAAAAGTGGGTGGCAATCCTGGAGTAGCAAATGGACTATCCTTCCTAGGTTTATGCATAGATCTCTTGCCATGTCCACTTTGGTGCCACCACATTTATCCTGAGCACAGCTTTTTTTCTTTTCTAATTTGGGTTTTATGTTATTATATTACTTGTTTATTTGCTCAAGTTTTAAGAATGGAGTGTATTGTATTATTGTATAGCTAGATTGAACCTGCCAGTCTTAACCTGAGCTATGAACCCTCTACCAGCACCTGTCAATACTACACTCAGGGATGATGAGTTCCTAAGACTGATTCTGGTTCAGCAGGTCTGGGGAGATTCTTCATTTCTAACATGCTCCCATGTGACGCCCATGCAGCTGGTCCATGGACCGAATTTCAAGAGCAAGGCCCTGAACCACTTAAAAATGGTCTTTAGATAAACTGCCAGCTGCCCCAAATTAGCTAGGTGAGGCAGTGGGATGGTCCACCCCACTGCTGCATGGCCTGCCATCTGCTATTTCATTACTTCTTGGCTTTGCCACTGGCTCCCAGGATTCAGGTGTACCATGTGCTTCTCCAAGCCTCAACATTTCTGCCTTCTGTATATGATTTCCTGCTGCTCTTTTTCCTGGACTTGGGAGGGAATTAGGACAGCAAATTACTATGATTATCTGAGAATGGTGTCTTATAAGTCCTATCTGCCTCACTGTTGCTATCATTTGAACGCCATTCAGCTTGAGGTTTACCTGAGCCAAATAAGCTGATGATGCTTTGTTGATTGGATCTGTGAATTGCAGGAAATGAGAAGTCTATAATCTTAGAGTAAACCTCCTTTTGGCAGGGTGAGGTATCATAGACTCAAATTTTTGCGTATGTTAACATATCTTTGGCCCTATTGTTTAATGGACTTTCAGCAAAATTTATAAGCAGCACTTACAAAATAAATGACCAGTTTAGCAGAGGCTTAAGCCTCTACAAAGAGTAGAAATAGTATAGCAGAGGTGGGGAATGACTTATTCCTGAACTTTATATCAGACTGTAAGCTGCAGCAGAACTCTGAAAGCCAGGACTTAGGAAAAGTTACAAAATAGAATATCTGGGATGATTATGGATGCCCCTGGGACATTGCATTCATAGGCTAAGACAGCGATGAGGCCAGTGGAGTTAAAAATATGGGAAGGAAGAGGAGAGGAATATAAAGGATACATTTGTGTCATCATCAACTGGGAAAAGCAACAACATTTAAGAAAGTAGCTATTTTAACCTAAATAATAAAAATACTATTTACAGAGTGCTTGCAATGTGGCCATTTCTCTACACATACTCTTTCAAATCATCACACCTTCTGGGAAGAATAGCATAATGATGAAGAGTGCTGCCTCTAAATGAGATTGGCTGACTCAAATCTGGTATGCACCAGTTCCTGGAAACGTGGCCTTAAGAAGCCCATAACCTCTCTGTACTGCATGTTTTTGTTTTTGTTTTCGTTTTTGTTTTTAAGAGATGGGGTCTCGCTCTGTCTCCCAGGCTGAAATGCAGTGGTGCAGTAATAGCTCACTGCAGCCTTGAACTCCAGGGCTCAAGTGATTCTCCCACCCTGTGCCTCCTCAGTAGCTGAGGCTACAGGCACATGCCACCGCACCCAGCTAGTGCTGTGTGTTCTTTTTTACAGTGAAATGGACATGAAAATAGAAGCAACCTCCTAGAGTTGTCTTGAAGAATAAAGGTGTTCATAAGTGGAAATCACTGAGAACAAAGCGAGAATATACCAATTTCTCAATCAGTGCAGCAATAATTATTATCATTTAACCAAGTTCTATTTTCTGCATAAATGTGAGGTTTTTTTTTTTTCCATGAAGCCATATTGTCTCTTCCAGCCTAGTGAAAATGTAATTTACAGTGGGATGACCATGTTAGTTATGGTGGGAAAGAGGGGTCTTAATAGTGTTGAAATCGCCACAGAACATTTCCAAATTGTGCTCTCAGCTTCATAAGCATCTATCTGGAGAGGAATATGGGAAAAATAATTTTAGAATGTAGAGTACAGTGGGCCATGATTCTTTAGTGTTTCTAAGAAGAGAAAGAAGATGTTAAGGTGAGGGAAATCCATGATTTCATTGTCATACCAAGGTTTTCACTTTTGGGCAAAGTTCTCCATGGGGAGTGAAAAGAAACTAAAGCCTTTTAAGGAATCATTTACCCTTGAATCTGGAAGGTATTTCAGGTGAATTCTGTGAGACTCAAAAGGTAATTACTACCAAGTATCCAGTGTGACATAAGGTATTGGCTAAATCCCGTACAAGCATATTATTTAATCTTCTCTCACTCTTTTCGTGGTAGCTGAGTGTTGTCATATAATCCCCCATCAGTGAGGAAATGATGGGCCTAGAATTCCTAAGCGACTCACTGTTCAAGGGCAAATGGCAAATTGGAGAGAGAACCACCACTTGACTCCCTAGGCAGTGAGTCTCCACGCTGTCTATTAACTCTGTGAGCCAGGCTAAGTAGTCGTAGAGGAATGCCCGTCTGTGAAAAGAGGAACTCATTTCAAAATGATACTTCATGAAAGGTAGTGGTGATCAAGAAAGGATAACAGTAAGGCCCAGAGGACTGTGATTTCACAGTTGTAAAGTGTGGGAAGACCTGGGTATCATCTCATCTAAATATTTTCCTCTTACTGATAGAAGAAGGAGGAACGGTCTAGACCCCAAGGTCACTGGCAGCTGGTGTCGGAGCTGAGACAAGTCCCTTTTTTGGACTAGCATTCATTTCACTCTACTATTCTCTGCACATAGTGCAGTTGCTTTTGCTGGGAAGGAAAAGCTTGGGTCTAAGCATCTGTGGCAGTCTTTGAGCAGGAAATAGTTAAACTGCGAAAATCACACTTTTTAATTATTGAAATTATTTATTGATGCTGAGACACTGTTTGGTGAACGTATGTGGGGAATATTAATGGATATTATACACTACTCTATCTCCTCTTTATTGACTCCTGCGTCACAGCACAAACACATGTGGTCCAATAAAACATGACTTTGTTTTAATAACATTATGAATAAATTATTAAGGGACTTTTTTTTCTTTTTGCAGTAATTTTACTAGTTTGGTTTTTTAAAAAGCCAAACCCAATCATAGGATGATAATTAAAAGTAAAGGAATATGCAGCAGTTTCTTAGCCATAATCTTCAGGAGACTAATAAAGAATTGTCAAAATGCAGACTAAAGAGTATGCTCTGTTTGCTGAGGGGTCCTTGAAAGCTTTCAAGGGGGCTGTAACCTCTGTGGTTGCTTCCATGTCTTGCCAGCTGTGACTGAAGTCTGTGCTGGGGAGAACTTGCCCAGGATGGCTGCCATGCTCTGCTTGTTAGGATGTTGGTGGGCATTGCAGAGGCCAGGGCGAGGGTACTGTTTTTCTGCATCAGTCATGTCTAGCACAAGCCTAGCCAATAGCAGGCCCCACAAGTGCTTGTTGGATGCGTTACTGCACGCCAGGCCATACCCTTTAACTCCCAAGCAGCACCATGGTTTGGATTTCTTACTGAGTTGGCCTAGGGATCTGCTCAGAGCTAGTATACACTGTAAATAACTGTGAAAGAGACAAAAGGACCCAGTTTAATCAGTAGGGGCTCTTGTGTCAGCCAGACCTATATTTTAGTGATTGCCTGTTACTGTCTTAGGCAAGTTACTTTGTCACTTTAACCCTCATTTCTTTAAAAATGATAATACCCACTTTTCAGGGGCTGGTTCGAGGACTGTATGATAAACATGTAAAACAACCTAACTCAGGGTCTAGGAGGTTGTTATTATTCACTTCTGCTTGACACCAGATGGAAGCCTTAGAGAAGAGAGTCACCCAGTCATGTGCCAGCTATTAAGTTTGATTTATCTATTGTTTTGCTATATTTGCATGATTATGATTGAGTATCTGCTGTTCCTTCTCTGTAGCTCAGTGTATCCTCTCCCCTGTTCCCATGTAAAATCCAGTTTTAGGTCAAAGAGTCTCCATGGGTGCTCTCCCCTTACCAGCCTCCCCAGTGTGGCTTCAGTCAATTCGCCCAGTGCCCTATCCTGCTAATCCTGCCTGAGAGAGTTCAGAGGACAAATGTTCATCCTGTGATTTTGTATGCAAGGGCAAGGCTGACTGTAGATCTCCTCTAGCCTGGCAAATTTCACTGTAAGGTTTTTTTCTGGCTTCTAGATCTATTCAGTCCCCAAATATAACTTCACATCATCTATTTGCCTTAGCATCTCATTATGAGTCAGGAAGTTGTTTTCCAACCTTCTCTGCTGGGAGCTGTGAACATGTGAGGTCTGTATAAGACCAACACCAATTTGCATCACTCAGTGCTTTCTGCACTAATGCTCACATGGTACTTAGCACTTCCTTAGTGCTTCTTACCATCAAAACTTTCTATAGACATTAGCTAGTTTTTCTAACACACACAGTTGCAGGTAGGTGTTGTTATCATCCTTTTGCAGTATGGGAAAACTGAGGCATAAAAGATCAAATGCGTATTTCAGTTTCTAGTAGCAGCCATTATGGTTAGAGAATAGCCTGTTCCCAGTCTGAGTTCTGATAACTCAAAGCAATATATCTGGTTTGTGGTTTCTCTGAAGTCTTTTGGGTTGGCACCACTGGCATTTTCCTCTTTGGATGTTGGCCAGTTCTATGATGTTAAGAATAATTTATTCTTGGGTCTAAAAGAAATTAGACACATTGAAGGTGGATACCTAACCTTTTGAGACCTGATTTTTGGAAGGTCTCTCATAGACTACCCATTGGATACCATCATTTATAAAAGAGTATTAGTCTGAATTAAGAAAGTAGTCTGACCCAATTATGTCCATTATAATTTTACACCCTCATTATCCCAGCTGTTTAAGCCTTTTTAATTTTACTTTGTTTTATTTTATTAGGAAAGATGGTGGTTGTGTTTTTTTTCCCTGCATTTGGAATATTCCCAGATATTAGGCTAGAATTGGAGTGAAGTTTAAAGTTACCTTGATGGGGAATGCAGACATTTCTGCAAAGGGTCATTGACCTCAGTAGGAAGGTGTGTGATGGAATGGAAAGAGTCTGATGGGTCAAATGGTCCTGAATTTGAATTCTTCTTTCCTTACTAGCAGTATAACCTGCATAGGTTTTATCCTCTCTCAGAGTTTGCTTCCTTCTCTGTATAAATAGACCAATAGTACCTACCTTGAAAAGATTTTGTGAAGGTTATATAAATGTTTAACCCTGTATTGACTTATAATACTTAACAAAGTTTATTCCCCTTCCTCCCTCCCCTTATTTAACCTTGAGGATAGACCTCTGTGTACTCTCAATAGAGCTTATAGATGGAGCACAAAGGATAAATGCCTAATTAGTCCATGTCCCAAAATGATGTATGTTCCTGAATGTGTCTGATTTCTCTTTGTAATTAGTGGGACCCATTTCAGATACTGCAGACTGCCAGCAATCAATTTGAAAATGACAGGTGTGAACTCACTCATTATCCTAATAGATCCATTTTTAGTGTATGAAAACTGAGACCCAATCTTGCCTTGGGGCACAAAGAAGTGAGTGCCTTGGCTCCTGCATGAGAATGTGACATTTATACATTTGGGATTCTCATTTGCAGGCTTGTAACCAGTTTCATAATCAATGATGAGGGAAGACAAGGGCAGGGAAGGAAAGGCTGCCTATGGGTGCAATTATTCTTGGCCTTACTGATAGGACATCTACTAATTTGTCACTCTCTCCCTATCATGTTTTTAGAGAATAGTTTTTAGGGCTTCCAATTTTTTTAAATGACATATACATACATTCATGTAAAGCATATCACAAGCATATAGGTCAATGGATTTTAACAAAGATAGCAAGCCTATGTACCTGGAATCCTTTTCAAGAAAGAAAACAGCACCAGCCACCCCTGTCCTCCCTGTGCCCCTTCCAGTTGCCACCTCACCCCCAGGAAAACCAGTAACTTGAACACCATAGGTTAATTTGACTATTTTTAAATTTTATGTAAAGCTACCTTACAAAGCAAACTTTTTGTGGGCATGGTTTCTTTTACTCAACAGTATGGACTTCATGAAATTTTGTTCATGTTATTGAGAGTAGCTGTAGGTTGTTCATTGTCACTGAAAAATAGCATTTCATTGTGTGAATCACACTGTATTTATCCATCCTACTGTTGATGGTCATTTTTGTAGTTTCCAGTTTGGGTCTATTTTGAACAGGACAGCTATGAACATTCTTATGCATGTCTTTTGACTTATAGATAAATGCATTTTAGTTAGATGTATAATAATGAGTGGAATTTTGGCTTATTGTGAGTGCAAGTACTTAGGTTTTACAGTTGCTGCCAAACAGTGCTCCAAAGCTAGGTTTTCACTTTTTTAAATTTTTTTTATTTTTTTGAGAGAGTTTCACTCTTGTCACCCAGGCTGGAGTGCAATGGTGCAATCTCAGCTACTGCAAACTCCGTCTCTCAGGTTCAAGCGATTCTGCTGCCTCAGCCTCCCCAGTAGAGGGGATTACAGGCATCCGCCACTATGCCTGGCTAATTTTTGTATTTTTATTAGAGACGGAGTTTTACCATGTTGGCCAGGCTGGTCTACAATTCCTGACCTCAGGTGATCTGCCCACTTCGGCCTCCCAAAGTGCTGAGATTACAGGCACGAGCCACCATGCCCAGCCGGTCTTCACATTTTTAAAGGAACGGTTATGTTAGTGGTAATATTGTGAAAGGATCCTGAAACCAAGTTTGCATCAGTAATCAACTTATACTTAGAAATGGAGTCATCTTCCCTGCGCTGTAATTTTTGTGCCACTCACAAGTGGAATTTCAATATCTGAGTTCCATCACAATAGTTAGTTTACCCTTACCCAGTGGTAATTTTGTCTCATCCTAAACTCCTGAAGGCAAAATATTTTCCATGGAGGCACCAACCTTTCTCTCGATGTCAAATCCTCAGCTTGTTCATTTTTATGGTACAGTAAAAACCCACTTTAAAAAATTGGCTTCAGGGGACTGGGGTATCAGTGGAAGAATTCTATGTGTATGCAGTTTCTAAGCTATCTTTAACCTGCTTGTTCTGTTCTGGAAATGTATGACTAGGAGCTGTCACTTGTCTTAAATGTTTTAATGAATGATATTTAGTTGCCTAAGGCTTTTTTTTAAGGCAAAGGACATAGGCTTTTTTTAAATGCAGAGAGAGATGGAAAATAATAGACATTCTAGCTTAACATAAGCATCACCAAATACCAACTATTATAACTCACCACATTTCTGTTTTCAGTACAGTGAAATTTCATTATTGTCATCATCTGTATTAACTAATTTTTTATTATCTGCCCATAAAGCACTAGGGGGTTTATAGTAGAGTGTGGTGTGATGGAACATGTGTTAGAATTGGAATTAGGTGCCTAGGAATAAGTCCTATCTGCCATTTACTAGCTTTGTATCCTTGGGACAATCACTTAACTCTTAACACCTCAGCATTCACAATTTTGAAAGGAGGGGTTGGGTTCCCTGACGTGTAAGAGCCCATCCAGCTTTAAAAATCTTTTGCTTTGAATTTTTAGCGGTTTTGATACATCAATGAAAATGCATATAATCAAATTTTCCTTTTAATAAAATATATGATTTTTCTCCATAGCTTAGAAAGATAGATGCTCACACTTCTCTGATGTCATTGAGCTTTTTCATGGGCCTTCTTAGATAAACAAGATGAGAATGCTCCTACTAAGTAGATTAAGACCAATAGGAAGAATCCTCCAGCTTCTCAATGGCAGTTTCTGTGGGCTTGCTCTCTCTTTTTAGCAAAGAAAGTGGAGCACAGGAGGGGAATATCTGCTAGGCAACTATATTGGCAAAGTACTGAATTTTCCAGACCTCAAATATCTTCTTAGTTTTTAATTTTTAATATTAATATTTATTCATTCAGAAAAATTCATCAAGCACCAGCTATAATGCAGGCACTTATGATAAGAAATAGGTTAACAGAAGCCCTCACAGTCAATGAATGCCTGTGGTTATCTCTTATGTCCAAAATCACAACTGATCTGATATTTTATGTGCTTTCCCTTTCTAAAATTAAAAAAAAAGGAGCTAGGATATGTTCATTATAGAAAATTTCAGACCTGATTTTTTAACCGCCTGTACAGATCATAAAATATAAGCGAGGACTTTAAAAAAGATTATGTATTGATGTATTTGTTTTTGCCAGCCTGTTTTCTCTGGAATATAATTATATTAAAAAGCTGGTAAGAATGATGCTTTTGGAGGAAAAAAGAGAGTACATAAAAATCAGCTTTGGAGTTTCTTCAACATAATACTTTGTCCTTAATTTTTAATTATAGCAGTATAAGAGATTATATCCAGTGTGTTGAGAATTGATGTTGCTTAATGGGAATGTATATTCTTCCCTAGTAGTATATGTATTATTCATAGAAAAAAATGGTCTTTATGAAAGGACAGCTGGTCCTTTAAGAGACAGAGCCTCATGAATTAGAGTAGCTGCTGAGAGTAGTTTTGATTTGCTGCCTGCAGTGCACTTACAGGCTCATTTCACATTAATAGAAGATGATCTGTGTTCCTTCCTGACCTCTTAGAACCTAAATCACAGATGGGGTTATTGAAGAGATTTGGGATCAGTCGATCGTCAGTTAGCGACAAGTCACCAAGGAGCTTTCTCACCTTTATTTTTCTCATGATCTACAAGATGATATTAATTTCCTTATCCTGAGGCAGATGGAGAGAAGGAATGGGGATTAGTTTATCACAGAAGATCATAACCGATATTTTTTTCTCAAATCATTGTTTACTTTGTCCTTCTGCTTTCTACCTCATCTTTCTGTTTCCCCTTCGTTTTTTCTTCCATATGCTTAGTGTTTCTCCTTGCTTCCTTCTTTGCACCCAACATTTGTTGTGTTGACCACCACACATCCAATGCTAATTAATGAGAAGTCACTTTGTCACTGTATGGAAAGGGGCTATTAGGCAAAGCAAGGTGACTGATCTGGAGGGTTCAGAAAAGAAAATAAGAAAAAATAAAAATAGTTAACATGTCAGCTTTGCTAAGTGTCAGGCACTGTATTATTTTATCTCATCTTTATGACAGTCCTTTGATATAGGTACTCCCGCTGCTATGATGATCTGTTCCTACTCACAACACTCCTGACACCAAATGTGTGGGGTTTTTCACGCCAACAACCAATTGGCCAACTCTCTGGACACCAACTGGGTGTCCAGTGATTCAATTCAGTTCTGACTCTAACTACCTGGAGTTAGCATGAGACCCCACAGATTCCCATAATACTGCTCCCCCTTCAGACGCCAATGGCAAGTCCAGGCTACTCATACTTCTGACCAAATGCCTGTAAATTTGAGAGTGGGAAGATTTCCCACAACCCTCTCCTTCAAGTTTGATAATTTACTAAAACAGCTTATAGAACTCAGGGAAATCCTTTACTTACATTTACCAGTTTATTATTGTGGGTACAACTCAGAAATAGTCAAGAGATAGATATGGAAGGGTATGGGGTGGGGGAAGATGTGAGGTGCTTCCATGACCTCACTAGACGTGCTATCTTCTCAGCACCTGAATGTGTTTGCCAACATGGAAGCTCTCTAAACCCTGTCATTTAGGGGTTTTACGGAGGTTCCATTATATAGGCGTAATCGATTAAATTATTGACCACTGATGATTAGTGCAATCTCCAGCCCTTTTTTTCTCACTGAAGGTCTGGGGTGGGGCTGAAGGTTCCAAGGTTTCAATCACCAATTTGGTTACTCTGGCAACTAACTCCCCTACCCCATTTATCTCATTAGCATAAACTCCGGGATGGTTGAAAGGACCTTATTATGAATAGCAAAAGATGTTCCTCCTCTTACCCTTATCATTAAGGAAATTCCAAGGGTTTAGGAGCTTTATGCCAGGAACAGAGATAAAGACGAAAGATATATTTCTATAGTTTTTATTTTATCATGATATCGTAGTACTATTATTATAGCCACTTTCAGATGAGGAAATTGATACTTAACTTTATTAAATGAATTGCATAGAGACATATAGTCAATAGACGGTGGGACTGGAGTTTAAATCGGGTTCTAACCCGAGACCCAGGTTCTAACCTCAGTGTTCATGGGAGCTGGAATCATTAGGTTGAACCTATATTGAAAAATTATCATATGAAATAAAGTGAAGGCATTTGGCAGTTGGAGAAAAAAATAATAATGGGATCTTTCCCTGAAAATTTCACAGCATCTTCTTCCTAGCAGTGGTGATAATTCAATAAATGATAGTGATGAGTAAAAATGATGAAAGTGTTGTTGAGCCTGGGGAAGAAATGAGGAAACCACTTAAGATCTCTGTATGGGTTGCTCTAAACTGGGTTTTTGTCTTAGTTTATTTAGGCTGCTATAACAAAATACCGTATACTGGGTAGCTTATTAAAAAAAAAAGCAGAAATTCATTTCTCATGGCTGTGGAGGCTGAGAAGTCCAAGATCAAGGTGCCAGCAGATTCAGTGTCTAGTGAGGGCCATTTCTTAGTTCAGAGATGGTGCCTTCATGCTGTGTCTTCACATGACGGAAAAGGCAAAGCAGCTCACTGGGGCCTCTTTTATAAGGGCATTGTATTTGTCCATTTTCATACTACTATGAAGAAATACCCAAGGCTGGGTAATTTATAAGGAAAAAGAGGTCTAATGGACTTACAGTTCCACAAGGCTGGGGAGGCCTCACCATGATGGTAGAAGGTGAAGGAGGAGGAGTAAAGGCACGTCTTACATGGCAGCAGGCAAGAGGGCATGTGGCAGGGGAACTGCCCTTTACAAAACCACAGATCTCATGAGACTTTTTCACTATCAAGAGAACAACAGCAGGGGAAAAACCCACCTCCATGATAAAATTGCCTCCCACTGGATCCCTCTCATAACACATGGGGATTATGGGAGCTACAACTCAAGATGAGATTTGAGTAGGGACACAGCCAAACTATATCAAACATTAATCCATTCTTGAGTTCTCCACCCTCATGACCTAATCATCTTCCAAAGACCCCAACTCCTAATACCATCACATTAATGATTGGGTTTCAACATATGATGTTTGGGAGACACAAACATTCAGATCATAGCATTCTACCCCTAGGCCCCCAAATGTCCTTCTTGCATGAAAAATGCATTCATTTCATCCCAATAGCCCCCAAAGTATTAACTCATTCCAGCATCTACTTTAAAGTCCAAATCTCATCTAAATACTATCTAAATCAGATATAGGTGAGACTCAAGGTATTATTTAACCTGAGGCAAATTTCTCTACAGCTGTGAACCTGTGAAATCAAACAAGTTATGTGTTTCCAAAATACAAATGGTGGGATAAGTATAGGATAGACATTTTCATTCCAAAAGAAATAGATAGGGAAGAAGAATCTAGTGACAAGTCCTGAGCAAGCCAAAACCTAATAGGGGAAACAACATAAATCTTTAAGTCTAAACATTAAGTCTCCAGAATAGTCTTTTCTGACTTGATGTTCCACCTTCAGAAAACACTGGGGCTAGGCTTGGTTCTCTAAGACTCCTGGCAGCCATTCCCCCATGGCTTTGCTGGGTACAGCTGATGAGGCAGCTCTCCTGGGTTGGAGTCACTTGCCTGGGGCTGTTCCAGACTGGAATTGCAATCTAGTGTCTCTACTGGTCTGGAGTTGCAAGGGTGGCCCTGCCCCATAGCTCCACTAGGCCTTGTCTTAGTGGGGACTCTTTGAAGGGGAGTCTTTGAGGTGCCTCCATCACCACAGTGGACCTCTGCCTGGTTTGTGATGCTAAGGCTCCAGGTCTCCATCTTTCAAATCTAGGTAGAGGTAGCCATGCCTCCACAGCTCATGCACTTCATATAGGGGAGATGTCCCCACACTGATTTTGCCAAGGTTTACCACTGGTACCTTCCAGAAGGGTTACCACAGGGCCCTGAGCCTACTGCAGCCACACATAGGGCAGCTGAGGATACTGCACTACAGGGTGGGGAATGGAGCCTTGAAATTGTTCTTCCCTCCAGGCCCTTGCTCTCTGGGCTGCTATTGTGAGGGGCATACCCAATGATCTTTAAAATGCCTTTGGGGTCATTCTTCCATTATCTCAACAAATAGTAGCAGACTTTTATTGAGATGGCAGATCCATACTAATCTCCTTATGAAAAGGTTGCTTAGCTACACTCTTGTTCTCTCCTACAAAGGCTTTCTCATTTCTTCCAACATGGATAGGCTAAGAATCTTTTAAATTTTTAAATTCTGCTTTCCTTTTGATTAACAATTCCATTTTTAAGTCAGTTCTCACTTCTTATATTTTACTCTTAGCACTCAAGAGAGGCTAAGCCACACCTTCAATACTTTCCTTAGAAATAGCTTTGGCTAAATATCCAATTTCATCACTCACAAATTCTACCTTCTACAAAATACTGGGACACGAACACAATTAAGCCAAGTTCTTCGTTGCTTTATGACAAGGATTGCCTTTCTTCCAATTTCCAATAACATGTTTCTCATTTCTATTTGAGACCTCATCAGAATGGCCTTTATCATCTGTATTTATACCAATATTCTCTTCACAATCACTTAGGTATTCTCTAAGAAGATGAAGGCTTTCTGTACCACTCACCTCTTCTGAGCCCTGATCAGAATTACCCTTAACAGTCTTTTCACAGCAATCTAGGCTTTTTCTAGCATGCACCTCAAAGCTTTTCCAGCCTCTTACTCATTACCCAATTTGAAAACCACTTTCACATTTTTAGGTATTTGTTACAACAGCACCCCCACTTCTCAGTACCAATTTTCTGTCTTAGTCTGTTCGGGCTGCTATAACAAAATGCCATACAATGGGTGGCTTATAAACAACAGAAATTTGCTTCTCACAGTTCCAGAGGCTGGGAAGTCCAAGATTAAGCCACTAGCACATTTGGTGTTGGGTAAGTTGGTTCAAAGATGGTGGCTTCTCACTGTGTCTCCACATGGTGAAAGGGGTAAGGCAGCTCTTTGGAGCCTCTTTTCTTAGAACACTAATCCTAAGCCCAAAGCAGGGGACTGGAGGAAGATGAGCAATTGGATTATACATAGAAAACAATCATGTGCATAGGCAGCCTCCCTTCACTTAAAACTGCCCTGTGCATATTCATGAGGCATTATTTCTTTTTAAGAGTCAGGATGGCACAGTGATGAAGAGCATGCACTTCAGTGTTAGACAGATCTGAGTTTGAGTCCTGGCTCCTCTAATTATGAATTCACAATTTTCTTAGTGTCTGTGAGCCTTGATGTTATCATCTGTACAGTGGAGGATAATATCTATCTCATTTGAAAATATTAAATGAGATAATCTGTGGTAATTGTGTAGCAATCTGAAATGACAATGGTGATCATTTGTTAATATAAAAGCAGCACTAATACATGAGGCTGAAGTCATTATCTGAGTTGCAGGAGTTGCCTGGAAGTTCCTGAAATTTTGGCAGGGCATTTCTATAAGCCAGGAGCTCTTGGGAGCCAACATCAGTATCAGTATTTATATGTAGATCTGAACCCAAAACATAAGCCCCAAAACACAAACCCTCAATTAAATGCAGTGACCTAACAGGCCCATGTATACACACATAATTGAAGAGTCTTCTTCCACATACAATTAAGAGAACAACTGAATTTTTAAAAACAAACTCTGAATCATTAATCAATGGGAAATGATTGAAATCTAACCTTTTCTTTGTTGATATTTCTTTTGTGTTTTGATGAAATGTGCACACTGTGTCATTTTTCAACTCACCCAGGCCCTGTTCAGAAGCAGGAAAAGCCCTGGCAGAGCCAGTCTTGAGGGTGTGTGCAGGATCTTTTTTCCTGATTTTGTATTGTTGCTTTCCAGGCTTACCCTTTTTACACAAAGGGCAAAAGTGACACCTCAGAGTACTAAGTCTCTAGATAGTGGCCCTTTTGTTCCTTTTGACCGATCAAATGAAGTAAGTATGGGTGCCCTAGAATTTTGCAATTTTTTTTAGGTTGGTAAAATAATGGTTTTAGAGGAATGGGTAATAGACTATTTCCTTCTTAAATTACCAGGTGAAATCCTGCCTGTGCCAGAAATGGGCAAATTCTTTTGATGACTCTAACGTTATGGATATCACGTACAGTGTCCTGACACTGAGGCTGAAAACAAATGTCTTTTGGACTTCAGCAAGGCATTTGGCAAGGCCTTCTGCACTAGCTTTCTAGATGTGATGAAAGGAGAAGGCAGAATGCTAGTCCAACTAAGTAGATTATGTGGTTGAAATGTGAAAGGGATGCTAGTTATATTTTTCATTCAATCATTCATTCAGTCAGCCAACAAATATATATTCAGAGCTTTACCATGTACCAGACTTTTTTCTAGGTACTGGTCATGCACAGTGACCAAAGGAAATGAAGCCCCTGACTTCATGGAGCTTATATTCTAGTGTCGTGGCACAGAGCTCTCTGTTCAGTTCCGTCTTGTTCAGCATTTCTATAACTAACTTCTTTAACAGTCAAGGACATGTTTATCCTACAAAGCTACAGCAATAAAAACAGTGTGGTACTAGCATAAGCACAGATATATAGAAATGGGTTAGTATTGAATGTCTAAAATAAAAAACCCAATGAGATATCACTTTACAGCCTAGAAGTAAACCCTTATATTTACAGACAATTCATTTTTGGCAAGAGTGCCAAGACAATTCAATGAGGGAAATCATAATTTTGTCAAAAAAAGTGCTGGGACAACTGCAAACTGCCTATCACATGGAAACAATGAAGTTGGACCTTTACCCCATGCCATATACCAAAATGAACCCCAAATGGATCAAACACCTAAATGTAAGTGCCAAAAATATGAAACTATTAGAAGACAATATAGGTGTAAATTTCTGTGATCTTGGATTAAGCAATGGATCTTAAATATGACACCAAAAGCAAAAGCGACAAAAGAAAACTAGGTAAATTTGACTTCGTCAAAGTTTGTAACTTTTGTGCTTCAAAATTCACCATCAGGAAAGTAAAAATACAACCCACAGTATGGGAGAAAATATTTGTAAATCATGTATCTGATAAAGGTTTTGTAGTCAGTATGTATAAAGAACTCCTACAACTCAACAATAAAAAGACAAGTATTCTAGTTAAGCATTGGTCAAAGATTTGAACAGACATTTCTCTAAGGAAGATACAGAAATGACCAACAAGCAGATGAAAAGATGCTCAACATCCTTAGTCATTAGAAAATGCAAAACAAAACCACAATGAGATTCCAACTTCACAGCCTCTAGGGTGAGTGCAGTCAAAAATGGGAACAATAATAAATGTGGTGGAGGATGTGGAGAAATTGAAAATCTTGTACCTTGCTGGTGGGAATTTAAAGTGGTTCAGCTGATGCAGAAAACAATTGGCATTTCTTCAAAAAGTTAAACATAGAATTACCATATGACCCAGTCATTTTATTTTAGGTACATAACCAAGAAAATTGAAAATATCTGTTCACACAAAAAAAGTATACATAAAATTTTATAGTAGCATTATTCATAATATTAAAAAAAAGAGACAATCCACAAGTGTGTTATATCAACACAATGTATTATTATTTGGCCATAAAAGTGAAGTGCCGATACGTGCTACAACATGTATGAATCATAAAAACACTGTGCTAAGTGAAAGAAATCAGAAACATATTATAGAACTCCATTTATAAGAGATGTCATAATAGGCAAATACATAGAGACAGAAAGTTGATTAGTGGTTGCTAGAGGATGGAGGGCTGGGGGATGGGAACTGCTAATGGGAGTGTTTCATTTTGGGGAGATAGAACTGTTCTAGAATTAGAGAATAGTGATAGTTGCACAACTTTGTGAATATTTTAAAAATCACTGAATTGTGCATCTTAAAAGAGTAAATTTTATGGTATGCAAATTATATCTCAATTAAAAAGACATGTTTATCATAATTATAAGTTACGTGAAGCTAGCAAAGGGAGTATTTGCATTGGATAGCAAAGATGACAGTCAGCACTCAGAAGAATCTTGACAGATTGGAAAGATGGGCTGAATCTGACAAGGTAAAATTTAGTAAAAATAAACATGGAATCCTAAAACTGCATTCAAGAAAAACCACTAATAACAGCCCTATAAAAATAATTCCAGGCTTTAGTTCACAGGAAGCCTGATGTGAGTCAACAGAATGTCACGTACTAAAAGGTTAATGTAATGTTTGCAATATTTAATAGAGTATAGTTACTCCAATGAGGAATTAACATCACTTTTTTGAGAGTTGGTCAGATGACACCTAGACTTTTGAGGTCAGTTCTGGTTGCTGTGTTTCAGGAAGCATCTAATTCAGTACATGCACCTAATCCAAATACATATTTGGCTTTCAGAAGTTTATTTTTTTTCATTTGAAAGCATTTTGGTGGGGCAGGACTTCCCCTTTCACCAGCCTCATCACTCCTTTGTTATCAAGCAGGACCAGACTCACATATGCATGTTACCCTTCAGCTTCTTATAAATATTTGTGTTTAGCCCCCCAGCCCCCCACCCATCTAGAAAACAAGGTCATGTAGACAGAATGGTAAAGGAATCCCAAAGCATGTTGAAAGACAAGGAACAACGGAATGAACTAGTTTTATTTGATGAGAAAAAAATGTGGGAGCCTTGGGAGTTGACTTCAAATATTTGAAGGTTTTCTTATAGACATGGGAAAGGAAAAATGAGTAGAACAAGGAATTTACACATTGAAGCCTCAGAGAAGAGGTACTTTGACTCAATGTAGAGAGCATTTCAACTGAGCTCTCTGTAGATGTGTGGCCTTCATCCAAATGTGGAGAGTCAGCTGAGCTATGTTAGCACAAGGTTAATGACCATTTAGGTGGAATTTATTATCAAATGGGTATTGGGTCTATATGATCTTTGCAATCTTTTCTAGTTTTAAGCTTTCATTATGATGCTAATTATCTGCCAAGCAATTCTGATGGTTTATTTATCCATTAGACACTCTACCAGAGACTGGAAACATAAGGCTCTCTCATGGATCTTGTTCTTTAGGAAGCTCACAGTATAAAAGGGATAATAAGAATATCAATACCAAGGAGTTATTTTAAGGATTAAATGATATAATGTTTGTAAAGCTATAGCTATGTCTAGCATGTTGCATATGCTCAATTAATGTTAAGGATCTTTCAAATTAGGGAAGACAGACAGTAAGAAATACAGTGAATCTCTATACTAGATAAACAGGGTACTGTGTGTGGGTAACTGATTGCTGGTCTGTGAGATCCCTCATTCCAGGATATTATCATATTGTGGTGGTTGGCTCTCGTAAAAATTGAATTACAAAGATTATCAATATAATTGTATATAAATTGTACCTTTCTAAATTGCTAGGGTCTTTGTTTTATATTATTTTGTATGGTATTGATGACGGTGGCACTGATTGAGGGGGGTGTGTGTGTGTGTTGTGTGTGTGTTTTACATGTGTGTACATGTAGGTTCATGTGAGTAAGGCCAGATTAACATATTGACAACTGATGGTTTTGATGTTGGAACCGAAGAGGATGCCCTATTTTATTAATTGAAGTAAAAACTGCTAGACCTCTGACTGATCATACCTCTAGAAAAGGTGACCAATGTCAGTGACTTCTCATTTCTATTTTCGTGTCTCTATTGCCAAGCCCTTTGCTAAGAGTCCATTTTGATGGAGTTTGTAGGGTTGAGAAAGAACCCAGAGGACCCAGCATGCCTGACAGTACTTAAGGGAGGGTGACGTGCAGGTGGTGGGCAGGCTAGGGGCTGGGGCAGTGCGGGAGGAGGCCTTAGAATGGGGACAAAGACAAAACAGCCCTTCATGCATTTGTCTGGGTGTGAGCAGTGGGTGTGCGAGAGAAAGGATGGCATGAGTGTGCAAACATGTGTACCCTGGCTGGCATAAGGTTTCTAGTTTTTGGTGAACTGGACTGAGAGTTGAGAAGCAAACGTTGATCTTATTTGTCGCAAACATTTTCAGGGTATGATGTCCCAGTGCGTCTCTCTCTCTCTTTTTCTATTTCTCTCCCTCCCCCTCAAGTTATAGCTATGAGTCAGAGATTAATACATTAACCAAATAATAACAATGGCTTTAATTTCCCCTCACAGGAGCTTTTGTTATTAGAAAGTTCAAATCTGGCCTCTTTCAAAAATAATCCAGACACTCTCAAGGGGCTTGCAGGGACTACCCTCTATCGTGAGCTCCTTGCTGAGCAGAAAGACTCTTGGCATCTGATACATCACAGAGCTCAGCCTGCTCCATGCCTGCACATTGATGAGATTAGGGCGTCAGCTTCTGGGTCACCTCCTCTGCTTTTGAGGCAAATAACTGGCTGTAGCTAGTTATATAGCCAAGAAAAATCAGCGTCCTCTCTTGCTTGCTCACCACCTTTGTCTGCCATTGTCCTGCTCATAAAGGGGAGGAGTGTGCTGGGAAGAGAGAGAGGAGAAATACGAGTAGGGATATGACTTTCCCTGCCCCCGAGCCAGGTGAAGTAGTTCATATCAGATGAATATTACTGTTATTAACCTTAAGGAAAGCATTTTGGTATTTTTAATACCCTGTTTTATTGAGGAAAGAAGGAAGAAAGAAAAGGAAGGGAGGAAAGAAGAGAGCAAAGAAAACTCCATATGTGTTTGCATATATTTATATGAATTGGAAAAAGCACTGTAAAGATATGTTTCAAGCTTGAATATTAGTTTATTCTGGGAGTACGACTGGAAGGCAGAGGGGCAGAAATTTTGCTTCAAAATCCTCTGGGCTGTGTGCCTTCTTAGAATGAGCATGCCATGTTTTTAAATATATTTAATATAATTTTTAAAGTAGTATTCTATCAAAAGAGGGTAGGATTTTTCAAAAACGTTTAAGTAGCATCTCTTGGTTGTTGATAACTCACAAAAAAAGTGTGTTTTTCCCTTGTGAACATTTTGCCTTCTTTGTTGTTACTGAGGATGACGCTAGCCACATTCAGGGAAGTATCCAGTCGGGCACATGGTGAATGTCAGGGCTATTTCAACCCCTGTATGTCTTTGGATTATTGGCCTGATTTCCCAGCTTAAGTAAACTGCCTCGATTTCCCCTTTTGTGGAATGCAGAGCACCAAGAGAGCTTGGCTGGGCACCTTAGGAGTGAATATTATTCAACTCTGGCAATGGAACTTTGGTCTGGCTTCACCAAGGTAGCCGAGGCGACAGGCACGCAAGCATCCCCACGTGTAAGGTGGGAAATCTTCCATTCTCTTTAGGTGCTTAAATGGATTTCCAGTCCAATTCTGTCACATCTGAGGCATTCAGATATATTTTCAAAATCTAAGCCTTTAGGCCTACACTAAATGGAAACTCTGAGGCACATGAAGTTGGTTCCCCATCACTATCACCGGAGTTGAAGGTAGAAAAAGATTAGGTGATGATAATACCTTACAGGTACACAACTTCATTAATCCAAAGCTCTTTGCAAACAGCTCAGTAAATCCCAGGACGTAGAGCTCAACTGAGCTGGTGCTGAAATGCAGCCATCTCCTGAATGAAGCAGCCTCCGGTGTCAGCAAGCCACCCTCAGAGAGACCTTAACTCCGAACTTCACTCAGTGAGGTGAAAATGAAGACTGCATCTAACAGCAGCAGCGGGGACGCTTTTTCAAGGCAAAATGTAATTACCAGAGTAGGAGCCGGCCTCACAAGTGGGGATTAACACTCCCCAACTCCCACAAGCACCTTGGGCTCTCTGAATAGCTTCAGCAAGATTTGGGGTTTTATGCTTCCATCCAAAAGTTGGTCTGCGTGAAACACGGTTGCGGACTAGCAGACTACGGGGACATTGATTCATTGCAACCAGGGGAAAGGATTTACTAGTATTTCTTGTAAACCTAGGCAGCCTGAGGGTGGAGGTGGGGATTAGAGGAGATTCACAAAGTATGAAGGTTGTAAAGGAGGCCATGGTCACCTCTGAATAATAAATAATGTTCAGGCTCTTGCTGAACGGGCAGAATTCAGCATATGGCTTGCTGAGCACTCTGCTGAGGATGGCTATTCATGGTCAGCATCACAGGTACTGTTACTGGTTTTGGATCTCCAGAATGTCACTGAAAGACGATTTCCACATTTAGGCAAGTTTCTAATGCAACCAACTTAGGGGTTTGAAAACTAGGGTTTTCTGTTTAGGCATGGCCAGGAAACCTGCTTTCTTTACACAAGTCACGGTGCTTCTTGGTGCCTGACCCTTCATCATCTGTGTCATGGAGGTATTGTACCAGATCAGGATCTTTGCAAATTATGTTCTTCAGAGTCCAAAGGATTTCACTAACATGCTTCAGCTGCCAGGAGGAAGGGGCATGTTAGGACTCAGTGCCCATTATCCCTGCCAGGAGGAGAACAGCTCTTTATCTTTGTTGATATAGTAAGCATCTCTGTAAGGTTTCTTTAGAAAAAATTCTAAAAAAAAAGTTTGAGAATAGATGCCGTTTTCTAGTTCTCTGTAGCTATGATAGTCTGTATCCATGCAAATAACTTTCTGAGTTTGACAAACAAAACACCCAAAGTATGCATATTAGTTATCATAAAAGATACTTAACAATGTATATTCTCAAAATTAAAACTATTATTTCCTCTTCATTACAAACTATTTATTGAACATGGAACAATTAGAAAAAAGCAGAAAAATATAGAGAAGAATTTTTAAATCACCCACAAATCTATTTTCTAGAAACAAACTATAAACATTATTCTGCCAATTTTCTATGCATATATAATTTCTTTTTAAAAAACTGAGCTCATATTTTGCACATTTTAAAAAAGTTTTTTAAAAAATCATTTGACTCTATTTTGTGAGTGATTTGTCATGTCATTAAATGTTCTTTGAAACATGTGATGGTTTTTGGCATTTAGTATTACGTAGTATTCCATCATATGTGCATAACATCATTTATCCATCCCTTCTGCTGAGCATCTAAATGGATTCTAGCATCTGCTAGTTTAACCCAAAGAGGAACATTTTTAGGCTAATTATTTTCCACAATAAATATATGTTTAAACTTTAATTGTTGATGTTGTTTGGTTTATTTGTTTAGTTTGGGATTATTGCTATTTTTTTTCTTCTTCAGAAACTTGAGTTTATGTCTAACACTAGTTGACAATGAGAAGAAAGTTAAAAGGTGAAAAAAGGAGTTTTTTAAATGGATTCATGACACTACAGAGAAAGTGCCACTAGAGAGACAAGAAAGAGGAAAGAAGCTCACTAGGGAAAGGCAGCAGGTGGGGGTGGGTGGTGGGGTGGGGAGAGAGAGGGCTTCTCTGCTATTATAAAAGACCAGGACATCCAGCAATTCCAATAGCGCAGAGAAATCCTGGATCAGATCATAATTATTGAGTTTGAAGCACTTTTTCCTTTCTGAGGGCCCACAGGGAACATAAAATGGGCTCTGCAGACCCCTTTCCAGGAGCATTGTGGAGAGCTTGAATGAGAACCCCATGAAGAGTTCAACAACTTAATTTCTAATTTTGACCTTGCCACTAACCCAATGGACTTGGACATGTGTCTAAACTCTGTTATGTCATCCTATAATGAGGAGGTTGGTGTAGGTCTGTAGTTCCCACAAAAGGCACTAGCCTACCTAGGAGCCTCCAAGAAAGTACGAACCTGGCGAAGACAATGCCCACGCTCATGAAGAAAGAGAAAAGGAGAAAACCAGGGAACCACACATGTACGCATGCTTCCTCTGTGCCAACAATTGTGTGAACAAGGCCATTGATGCATTATTCTGGCCAACTGACAACAACCCTGGCAGGCAGGGGTTGTGCAGGTGCATGTTACCACCTGGGCTGCATTTTGCCAAGTGAGAGATCTGAGGTTCACTCAGATCATCAAGGAACCTGCCCAGGGTCATATGGCCAGTAAGTGGCAAAGTGGGGTTTAAACTCATGCTACCTAGCTTCAAATAGATGATCTTGTCACTGGACCATAGGGGATCCAGTTATATATGTCTTTGAATAAAAAGAGATAAAAACATGAATCCTTACCCAATAAACGCTGGGTAAACAGGAAGACAAAATATAAGGATCCTTGTCAGGTTTAAAATAAAAATGCTCTAGAAACCATGGGGCTATTTTTTTTCTAACGTCTACTCCAACATATACAACCAGATACTTTTCCTTCATCTCTTTAGTTGTCAGGAAGCACTAGAAATCCTTTAGTCCAATTACTTTGTTTTATAGGTAAGAAACTAGGGTCCAGAAAAGCTAAATGATATTTAGATGATTAGGAGCAGAGCTGAATTCGGAACAAATGTCATCTGTAATCAAGTGAGACAAGTATTTATAACACCTAACATAGTGTCTGGTATGGACTAGTACCAGCCATTTAGTAAGTCTCATTTCTTATGCTTTCCTTCTGTTATTCCATTCCTTTCCTGGGTTCATTTCTCCATTCCTTAACATTCACTTGTTGTGCTCAACCCATGTCTTCAGCAGGCTCTTGGTCCAGTTAGAAGTTCACAGTATCTTACGCCAATGCCCTTCTTTTCACACCCTACATTGTTTGAGGCAGAAACAGATGTCAGTGGGTTAAGAAGTGAATGGGAACATGAAGAGAAAAAACAAATTCACAAGCTTATGTTTTAAGGGTTGGACAATTGATGAAAAAAAAAAGAAGGCAGTAAGAAAAGCTAAAATTAAGGTCAAAAGTATTTTGTAAGGAGATGGGGTGGGAATTACTTTTATCATTATTTTAGACCAAGCCGTGAGAAAGAGTGGAAAGAGAGATTGAAGTTGAAAGAGACACAAAAATAGAGCAAAATCACGGGAGGTAGCAAGTGAGGGAGGGGGTCAAGGGCACAGGTAGAGGGGTTAACCATGGAAATAAATAGATTTCCCTCTAAGATGGAAAGAGTATGAAATGAAAAGTGAAGAAATGAAAAAATCTTGAAGTCAAAAACAAGGAAGTTAACAGAGTTCACCTTTTTTATAGATAGATCTGGATTGGGATAATAGGTTTGAGTTATGAAGGCAATAATTAGGCTCAGAATATATCCACTCTGGAGATTTTCTCTTTGTGGGGGGACACACTCGTTGGCACCTCTGTGATTGGGAAGGTACATAAACCCCTAGAGCTCACATAGCAGCCTTCTGCCTTTGGTGGGAGACATGTAGGGGCTGGGGTCATGGTAAAGCAAAACTAGATGGGTCTCTTGCCCTTGTTCAGTGTGGCCATTTGCCTTTCTTTCCTCCCAAGTCCGAACTGTGGTACCTGCAAGCACTCACTCCATGATGGAGTTTTGGAAGTATGGCTCTGAGAATTTAACTCCTACTTAGTAGGGAGCTGGAGCAGCACTGTGCCTTGGAGTCAGAGGCGGATGGCACTGCAAAGGGAGGTGGTCATGTATTTGCAGATATTATAAGGAGCCTCCAAACTTGTTATTTTCCATCTCCACAGAAGACAATGCCAGAAGGAACAGGCTTAAATGACAGCAAGGGAGAATTTACTCTGACAAAAGAAGAAAAATATCTTAGTAAGTTAGGATAAATATGCTGCAGAAAAGGATTTGGAGGAGGATGTAGAACGTCTATCCCTAGAGACCTCTGACTCTCTCTGAAAGGCAGAAGTGCTTTCTGCAGGAGTTTGGGCCAGGTGGTGTTAGGACTTCCTGGCAGTTCTATATTTAATCTATAATTTTGATCTCCTGACCCCAGGTGGTTACCACTGAGAGTAGTTGTCCACTTATGAGAGTGTGTTGACAATTCAGGATTTTGGGTACTTTGTTGAATTCCATTATCCTTACAAAAGAGGATGAAAAGATTTTTCTATTGCTTGCCTGTTGTGTAAAGGTCCTTTATAAGAGGAAAAGTATTTTATTCCAGGGGTTAGAAACCTAATGCTTAGTCACAGCTTTATAGAGGGAAAGCCCCAGTTGCTGCAATTTCTTTAATTTCTGACTTCATACTTGGAATTCTTAACTTCCAAAGCCTAAAATCAACATTTTTATTTTTAAAGATGAGATGAAGCATTTTTTTTTCTCAATGGCGCATGACCTGATTTGGCACAGAGAAAAGAATGTTGCTTTCAGAACAGCAAATTCCCTTCCAGAATTGTAATCCTGAGGACCATCATCTCCTGATGTTGGGTGGTTCCAGAAAGAGGGCGATAGATCACTAGTGTTGAATTTGTGTGTGACGAGCAGTGGGTTTTATACTCTGCCCAGACAACCAAAAACATATGGCCCTAGACTCACATAATGAGGAAAATATACTGATCCATGGCCAGTTGCTGTCACCAGGTCACTAAACCTATTTCTCCAGATATAAAATGAGACTATCTTGCCTCTCGGTACAAATGTAATAAAATCTAGTAATGCAGCCATGAAAATAAGCACTGGTCCATAACCCGAGGGCTTAAGAAGTCAAGGCTAATGAGAAACTGACAGTATACAAAAAATAAATTGAATTTTGTCTCTTTTATCTTGGGTTTAATAGGAATTTGGGTGTATTTTCTACAGAGAACATCCACATGTGCCTTATGCAGACAGGATGTAGAAAAATAGGAAATATTGTGCATTGATAAGGAAATGAGTGGGTAAAATGACAAATGGAGATATAGCCCATGAAAATTTTATGATCCTAGTAATTTTTAAATCTACTAGCAAGTAATGAGCTACCAATACCTTAGGCATAATCTATGGCGGCAGAGCTCCCTCCAGCATAGGGAAGGAGAGTATTACAGGGAAGCCAGGAGTATTTAATGCAAGGGGCCAGTGTTATTCTTCTGGTTTGTATCAAAAACATCTCCCCTGAACAACTGAGGAGTGGGAGGGAAATCCATGCTATTGTGGCTTCTTTGAAGGCATGCGAAGGGCCACATCCTGGCGCTGAGACCTGCCCTGATTCTCACTTGCCTTTTCTTCTTCTGCAAAGTCTCCATGCTGTACCCTTTGTGTGAGTGTCCTTATGACAGAAAGATCAAGGGGCTACTTCAGAAGAGCTTAAGCTTCAAACAGCTTTTTCCAAAAATAACAAAGGTGGAAGAAAGAAAAGAGAGCCATGGGAGTGAAAACTGGAGCCAAATAAAAGAGCATGGAATGAGACATTTTAGAGGTGAAAGGAGCCTAAGAAAGCATGGAGCCCATCCCTCTCATTTAATAGAGGAGGAAACTCAGGTCCAGAGAAGCCTTTCCCTTAACAGATAGTGTTGTCCCTGCTATCATCCTGGGGTCCTCATCTTTACATACTGCACACTCATAGGTAGATTCGTCCATCCCCATGACCATGGCTTCCACTTACCATCACTTGTGCATGCCTTTAGACAAGAATTTTCCTATGCACTTCTGACATGTCCATTTAAATGTCTGAAAGGTCCGTTTAAATTTTCCTATCTGACAATCCAATGTGGATGTCAAACTCAGCATATCCAGACCTCTGCTCCCTCAGCCAATCTTGCTCCTCCAGGCTGTGTTTCCTCTCTAGCATAAACCTTGACCTAGCCTTCTGGGGTTGTCCACATGTCTTCCCTTCCCCTAACCCCAACATCCAAGCAGTGACTTACTCTGCTAATTCCTCCCCTTTCACTTCTCCTCTGCGTTTTCCATTCTTCTTTCCAAGAGCAAACCCTTAAACCACTCTTAGCTTGACTCTACATTATTCAGCCATCTTTCTAAAAGCATAAATTCAGCCATGTCTTTCAGTCCCCTTCATCTGTAGAGTAAAGTTCAAACTCTTAAACAGGGAACATGATATCCTCTCTAACCTGGCCTCTGGTGAGCTCCCCATCTTCGTACAACCTACCAAGAGCCATCTTGGTGTCTTCAGAAGGCACCCTGCCATCACTGCATGACTCTGTAACTTAGCCAAGATGTGGCCAGGGTGTCTTCCCCTTGCCACCCACACCCTGCTAGTTGATATAGCTCACTTATCTTTAAACTTCATGCATATATTGCCTCTTCTTTTCAGCTCTCCTGATGCTTTCTTCTTAAGAAGATGGGCCACTCTTGTTTTATAAGAGTGTTTTACACCCTCTTGTTTTATACCCTGACTCCATCCTGTGTATTCTTGGCAACTGACCCTTTATTGCATTACTGATTTTTCCCCTGCCCATGTTGATATATAAATTTCTTATGGACAAGCTCATTCATATTTGTAATCTTTAGTAATTGGCATGAAATACAATTCATAAAAAGTAAAATACTTTTTAAAGGAATGAATGAATAACCAAATAAAAGAAAGTTCACATAGCCCACCAGTGATCAAGTCAAGCAAGAGCTCCTTGACCTTTCTTCCTCCAGGTTATGTTTTTTCTACTCTGTGTTGACCAATGAGAAGGCCTTGGCTTTTAGAGTGGTACCACCAATGCATTTTCTCTATAAAAGTTACCTTGTTTTCAGGTTGAAATGTTAGCACTCACAAGCAAATTGAAAATAAGAGAAAATGGGTCCCCAATTTCTAGAGCTTGTTATCTCTCTCGTGAGTCAATTATATTTTAATTGTCCGAGAAAAATAATACAGAGAGAAGGGTGCACACATGTATTGAGTGCCTTCAGCATGCTTCATACGTGGTCTCATTTAAGCCTCATGCACCCCTCTGAAGTGTGTGCTGTTATCTACCCTAACAAATGAAGACCCAGAGGCTTCGAGGTTATGTAACTTGCCTGGGATCATCTGACTAGCAAATGTCAGAGTTGGGAGTCTAACCACGTCTGTCTGATTCTAAAGCCCATTCTCTTTCCCCTTCACTACACTTCCTCCCTAGGGAAACAGAACAGAATTAGGGACATAAAATCTCAAGAAGTTTCACTAAAAGAAATTCCTCTGTGACTCCAATAACAAATTGGACTGAAGAGGCAGGAGCTATGAACTCTAACTCTAATCCTGTTTCATGGCGTGATTTTGAGAAAGTCAATTAACCTCATATTTTCCAATTCTTCATATTCACAAATACGGAAAACACAGACTTTCCTTATCAGTTAACAGAAAAGAGTTACTTCACAAATAAGTTTGTGTCATTTGCTATAGAAATGCATTTTATGCAATTATTTAATACTAACCATAACAGTACTCTTACTTCTACAAGAAACTAGTATTGGTCTAAAGGACATAAGGCAGCTGCTCTAATGAAAATCAAACAGTGGACAAAAGCCTGATGCTCATTTTATTTTGTTTTAAACAAAGTCTTAGTTGAGAGTGTGATACCGGTTTTTTTTTTTTTTTTTTTTTTGGCCTGGTGATATAGGAAAAAAAAAAATGGAGGAATGAAGAGACACTTAGGAAGGGAAGAGGAAGGACAGTAGGTGGGTGGCTGTTGAACATCTTACGTTCCCAATTGATTTTTTTCCCTAGTTTAATAAATCCAAGGTGAAAATTGACATTGTTGCTTAAGCATTAAACACATAACATTCACAGCATTCATTGTATCTCAACAGCTACCAGCTGTTGACAGAACTTGAATTTTAACAGTGCTTTATAATATAGAAATGTAAAAAGTCTAAAATTAAATATACTGGACAGAGTGATAGAGAAAATACTCAAAGTGGAATCAACATAGAAATACAAAGAATTACATTTTTAATTTTTTTTCTGAATTTTGAGAGGCAATAACAGAACGAGACCTGGTGTGGGATTCTTTCTCTGGATTGTTTATGAGCGAACGTTCTGTATAACCTTGTGCAAAATACTTAACTCTCTGAGCTTTTGTTATCTTTTCAGTGGGGGTGTGGAGTTCATGTTGTGAAGGAATTGGGCATCTGTAAAGTGAGGACAGTATTTTCAAGTGTCTTTGTAGTACTTGTGTTCTCAGGTTTTATATTGTTTGGGATACTAGATTTGGGCTCCAGATACTCTTTGACCACACCCAATGGCATGGCAGAAAGAAGCAGGAGAAAGGAGAGAGTTGAGGGCCCACATAACAGAGAACAATGGGAAAAGGATGGCAGTCTGTTCCTTGAAATTGTGGTACTTCTTCTTTCAAACGAGAGCCTTAAATAAATATATTTTTTAAGTTGGAAGGAAGAATTAACCTCAACTCATAGGGTCTAAGTTCTTGAGCAGGAAACTTTTAAGACATTTTGTAATAACTCTCATAATTAAGGGATGTGCAGGCTGAAAGAGACCCCGCTTGGTCCCAGCACTTGGCCTTTCTGATTCCACAAACCCCACACTGCCATTCTTTCTTCTGGGACCTGGGAAGACATCAGCTTCCTCACCAAGGCTCTAGCATTTTCTACAGTCAGAACACTCTCTCAGACATTTGATCCACTCTTTCCTTGTTTTATAAAAGTCCAGCCTTTATACACCTAATATGATTTAGTCCTGGTTTCATTTCCTGAATCTTTGTGTTGCTTTTTCTTCCTGGATCTCATGCTCAATGCTGCCAGTTTCTTTGTCCCTGCAGGTGCAGACAAATTAGCATAAAGAGTAAGTTGCAGAATTGGAGAACAGCAAATTTGATTTCAAAAGCCATTTCAGATTGAGGTCCATTTGGTGGCATTAGGAGCAAAACTAATAAACAAACCAGACTTTTTTCTACTCAAATTGATTTTTTTTTACATGACAGTATCCCTTTAGAAGTAGGATATTTTATCAAATTCTGATTTTGGCTGTCATGTACAGTGCATTTTTTGTTTCCTTCCTCATTATTGCTGACTGTTAAGTTATGTGAGTGGGCAAAAGAAAATCTTTTCTTTGATAATAAAAAAGAATGTATGTCCTTTCCAGCATCATTATCTGCTGGTGTGTTTTTATGACCTTACAGATACACCATATTGTGGTTTGACGTTGTTGGTGCTATCATGATTCCCATTTTGCAGACTGAAAAAAGGGCCGTACCTAGACTTTACAATAATGAAGAAATCTGGGAACTAGTTTACTCTCTCATTGTCTAAATAAGCATTTTTTATAACTTCTTTCCGTTGGGTGGCATATATTTACTTGTTGTTTTTTGAGGGAAAGACTTCCCTATAATATGTGACAGAGGATCAGAAGAGCCCTCTGTGGGATTCCATGATCTAGGCCATCTAGTGAGGTGCCCGAGTTCAGAATTCTCTGAGCATTCCAGATCTCCCAAAGGGTGTTCACATCTCAGTGGGTGAGCACTGTTGCTTACAGGGCACAGTGACTTGCCCAAGTTGCTCAATGGTGGGAAATGTTTGTGAGGACAGGTCAGTGAGAGGCAGTGACCCCACAGGGATGAAGGCACAGGAGCTGTGTGTCAGCCAACCCTCAAGGCAGGTGGACCTGGATCCAGGACAGCTGGGGCTCTGGGGTAGGGCTTTGGGAGATTCCTGGGCTGCATTGCAGTAATGTGCCCATCTCCTATCATACATCTTCCTCTCCTTTCCCTACCATCGTACCTGGTGTTTCTCTTTCTATGCCACATGTTTTTTCTCTACAGCAGAGCTTTTGCTTACTCACCTTTTTCCTATTTCCTTGTCTCTCCAGCTTGAAGTGGCTCTTATGGCCCAGACTCCCCATCTGTGCTTTCCCTGTGCATCTCTCTGAGCTCTGCTTCCACTTATTTATGCCTGATTTGTTCCATATTCCCAATTTCACATTCCTACGAGTGAGAATCTGATGACTCACCTTTTTGTGTCAAACCATGTTGTGGATCACTGCCCATCCCACAGACGGCTGCCCTTGGGTGAGGTGCCCACCTCTAGGGGGGCATGTGAAATGAAGGGCCTCAGGAAAGGCTGGCTGGCTTTTAAAGGAGGAGGCAGCTTACCCCAGAGAGGGCAGTTGACAGTCACCAAGATTGACACATCCGAGGCACTGGCCTACTGTCTTCTCATGAACCTTGCTAATACTGTTCCTCACCCTGAAGTTGTCTGGCAGCTTATGAGGAATGACTGGAAATTAATTTTTTAAGAGCTAAAATGTTTTCAAGGTCAGAAAAGGAGAAATCGTTAAAGTGACCATAACCAGGAGACACTGAATTTAGAGCTTTACATTTATTACTTTATTTCTTCCTCACAACAACTTTATAAAGTAAATGTTATAATCCTTATTGGGCTTAAATAACCCGTTCAAGACAAGCTAGTATGAAGTAGAAAGGCTGATAGTCAAGCCAGGTTTGTCTGACTCCAAAATTATACCGGCAAATTATACTCCTTCTATACCTGACTAGGTATCTTTAACTAACTAGCGTGCTCGTCACCAGAGTCAAATTAGGCATCCCTGAAAAATGTGACTGCAATTGGAGCAGCAGTGGGAGAGCATCCCAAGCCAGTACTGGGAAGGAGGGGAGTCACGCTGAGATTGAGGGGGAAAGTCCCTGATATCTGCATGATGGAGTTGCAGCACCTCCTCGAGGTGGTTTCACCCCCAGCAGAAGTGAACGCGGCATGCAGAAGGCTTCTGTGACTTATATTAACACAGATCCATCATTAATATGACAAATACGCACACCTGCAGACTTAATTGCTTCCATTTTCTTGAGTCACTGATAGGTTTATGGCCTGCCTCAATTCCAGGAAAACTGAAGCAATTGAGATTGGGCGAAAAAGTCTCTAACTCCAATCAATCTGCAGCAGAGCCAGTCTCCGGCCCTGATGACAGACTTTCTTTCTAGACAGGATAATTAAAGAGGCAGAGTGAGCTACTTCTCAAAGTCCCTTCATCTTAGCTTTATCATCTATAACGCAGTCTCAGAAACTCTAAGGCCAGGTGTGGTGGCTCACGCCTGTAATCCCAGCACTTTGGGAGGCCGAGACAGGCAGATCACTTGAGGTCAGAAGTTCAAGACCAGCCTGGTCAACATGGTGAAACACTCGTCTCTACTAAAAATACAAAAATTAGCTAGGCATCGTGGCTCAGGCCTGTAGTCCCAGCTACTAGGGAGACTGAAGCATGAGAATCACTGGAACCTGGGAGGCATAGGTTGCAGTGAGCCAAGATCTTGCCACTGCACTCCAGCCTGGGTGATGAAGTGAGACTCCATCTCATAAAAAAAAAAAAAGAAAAGAAAAGATAAAGAAAAGCAACTCTAGCAGAGAAACGTCTTTTCTTTTCCCATCCTTCCTCAAATGACTGGCCCTTCATTATGACCAAGGATGCACTTCCCCCTTCATTTGTTTCCCATCACAGACAAGGCAGGGTAGGTTTTCTGGCTTGCTTCTGTGAGGACGGTGCATGGTGTGAGGGATTTCTTTTTCTTTCTTTCTTTTCTTTTTCTTTTTCTTTCTTTCTTTTTTTTTTTTTTTTTGAGACATAGTCTCGCTCTGTCATCCAGGCTGGAGTGCAGTGGCACAATCTCGGCTCACTGCAACCTCCACCTCCCAGGTTCAAGTGATTCTCCTGCCTCAGCCTCCCGAGTAGCTGGGACTACAGGCTCGTGCAACCACGCCCAGCTAATTTTTTGTATTTTTAGTAGAGATGGGGTTTCACCATGTTAGCCAGGATGGTCTCGATCTTTCGACCTCATGATCCACCCGCCTCAGCCTCCCAAAGTGCTGGGATTACAGGTGTGAGCCACCATGTTCTACCAGTATGAGGGATTTCTATTGCAGTTTGAGGATCTCTCACATGAGATCAAAAGGTTTGTTCACAGATGGGAGCTCATGCCTGTAATCACGGTGCTTTGGGAGGATGAGGCAGGAGGATCACTTGAGGCCAGGAGTTTGAGACCAGTCTGGGCAACATAGCAAGACCCTGTATCTACAAAGAAATGAAAACTAGGCTCACCAGTGCACATCTGTAGTCCCAGCTACTCGGGAGGCTGAGATGGAAGGATTGCTTGAGCCCAGAAGTTGAAGGCTGCAATGAGCTATGAATGCACCACTGCACTCCAGCCTGGGCAACAGAGCGAGACCTTGTCTCAAAAAAAAAAAAAAAAAAAGAAAAGAAAAGAAAAGAAAAGAAAGAAAGAAAGAAAGAAAAAATGTTGCTCAGAAAAAGAAAAGCAATCTTCGTGCCTGAAGCTTTCTCCCTCCAAATTCAGGTTCAGCTTGTTATAAAAAACCAAAGACAACACAAAGTGGGATATCATTCTTCCTTTAAATGACTAAGGAAACCTCCAGCAAAGAAAGCAAAGCTACTTAGTATTTTTTTTTTTTTTTTTGATGAATGAAACCTTTTAAAAGTCAAGTTTTTCTTTTAAAAAAGCAAGAAATGGCTGGGCGCAGTGGCTCATGCCTGTAATCCCAGCACTTTGGGAGACCGAGGTGGGTGGATCACGAGGTCAGGAGTTTGAGACCAGCCTGACCAACATGGTGAAACCCCATCTCTACTAAAAATACAAAAATTAGCCAGACGTGGTGGCACATGCCTGTAATCCCAGCTACTCAGGAGGGTGAGGCAGGAGAATAGCTTGAACCTGGGAGGCGGAGGTTGCAGTGAGCCAAGATCACGCCATTGCACTCCAGCCTGGGTGACACAGCAAGACTCCATCTCAAAATAAAAAAAAGCAAGAAATTGGAAGAATTTAATAGATTATTAATTAACTGTATATAAAGCAATGGGTGTGAGATAGAAATTAATTTGTAACCACCCGGGTTACCAATAAGAGATCCCACAAGATATGAGAAAATGGTGCCAGTTAGAAACTACCAAATTATTTTATTACTGCAGAGGCAAAAAGTGAGAAAAATAATGATGAAATAATTATTTTCAGTTTTTATTGAAGAATTTGTGATATTTCAACAAGCATGTTACCTCTTGAAATTGAAGTACTAAAATAAGTAATAATGAATACTGAGAATACCACAAATCAGGCAACCAGATAAAAATAGTTAAATTCCTGGTGCTGCATAAAACACATACGTGCATCATGAAGAATTGCAGAGAAGTTAGGAAAGGTGATATCAAAGTATCTAATTCAACCTTATCCAGCAAAAGATTCTTGTCTGCAAGGACTCTGTCCCCTCAATGAGTCAGACCATTAAAGTTGATGACAACAGATGAGATTTGTAAATGGAACCTAGCATGAGTGTAAGGGATTACAGTTGTGAAGGGGGACATGGTAACAGTGGGAATCTGTACAGAGAAACCAAGCCTGAATGAGTGTCCTGTAGGGGTGTGCCATACATAGTGATCAAGGAGATCGACTTAGATTTTTAAAAAGCTTTTGATAGATCCTCCCTTTAAGATCTATTTTTTGAAAAAATGGTAAGTTACTATATTTGTTGGGCATGGAGACTCAGTTATTATGAAAGCAATATGATTAACAATCTTTATAAATGATATAGATGATACTGAACCTTATACTAAAAAGTCAAGTCAATGGAGACAGACTGTAAGAAGATCAGTGTTAGAGGGCAGAAAGGAGAGATGATTTTCCTGTGACCAACTTCAAGGTAATGCCCTCACAGGTAAAGACTCCAGCTATAGTTATGAAATAAAAGGATCTTTGTCATATCATTAATGATTCAGGAAATAACTTAGAGTTCATTAAAATCATTCTCTGAAAACACTGACCCTACATGAAGTCATGGCTAAAAAAGGGGAACAAGTGGCTTTATGAAGGATGTGAGGAACACAATAGTATTCTACCCTTATGTAGAGCTGTATTGACTTTTTTTTTTAACCAGGAATTAAAAAAGGTTATTCTTGTCACTAATCTTTAATGATAATATTAATATTACTAATAATGGTAACTCATATTTCTAAGCATTTCCATGTGCACTTTCACTTTAACAGCCCTTTGATAGATGTTTGTGTTATCTCCATTTTTTGAAAGATAGGGAAACTGAGGCATAAAGTTTTCAGAGGTAGTATGTGCAAGAGCCTTGCCTCAGATTTCGGTTTCCTGATATTAGAACCCTCCCTGTTTCTGCAGTGCCACATTACTCTGCTCTAGGGAATGTATTTAATGAACCCAGCGAACATGCACAGAAAAGTAAGTGTAATAATCAGTAGGAAGTAGGTGTGGTTCTATGAAGGTAGAATAAAAAGCCTGGCACATACTAGATGCAATAGCCAAATAAGGATGAAAGAAATATGAATGAGTCTCCTGATACAAGGCAGACTAAGAGAGGAATGTGATCCAGGCTTATCACATTAAAGTATATGTGACCTTGTTCACCAAATATTCAACTGCTAGGACTCAAAGTTTTTCAAACCCAAGGAAGATGAGTTTAGGGCAAATGAAAGGAAGTACTGCTTAACCCTGAAGGTATGATTTATATGAAACTTGCTTCCCAAAGTATAGTACAATCGCAAAATACAGATATAGTAAACAAAACAAAAAAATACTAAACAGTTTATGAATGAAAGAGACAGAGTCAGTTGCCAAGTAGCTAAGACTGACCTCAGCTTTAAGGTTGATGTCTGGGAGGATGAATGTCCCCTGGCACAGAATTACCTTCCAGCTCTGTGCCTTTTTGGCTCCAGAATGAGGAGTAGATGGAGAAGCTACCAATGCTGTATACCTCTCCCTAATTTCTGTCTTTGTGTCCTGATTTAAGGTGAATCATCCATTCATTCCAGTTACTGTCACTTTTGTTTACAATCTAGCTTATATGTGAAACTACAGCCATATTCCTTTGGGACGTGCTCTTACACATCAGAGGAAGAAAACCCAGCACTTTTTTTTTTCATTTTGCAAAACGCAACTAACATTGTTTTAGTTAAAATCTCAAACTAATGGGCCAGTGCTACCGTGAAGTATGAGAATATGAACACAGACATTCAAACACAAGCAGCACTACAGTGACCAGCACACGTAGGTGTGAGGAGTGGCACCACTGATGGGTGCCACATGGTGCATAGACTTCATCTATTTTCTGAAAGACGTTATTCATGTAGAATGCATGGCTCCTGTTTCTTATTACCAGCCCCTTAAAGTGTATTTTGTTTGGAGGGCTTGTAGAGGAGGGAGGGCTTTAGAATTAAGATAGAAAATACAGAAGGGGCAATAATAAAGAAACTGTTCTGTCAATGTATGTTATTCTCAGCTGAGCAACAAGATACCTTAGCAATCAAGTGACCTTGTATTTCTTTTAAATCATTCTCCCAGCAGGGATTAGATGGCTAAATCAACGTTTCCATGGAGCTATGCCTGTCAGGTCATTTAGAGGTCATCTTAACCCCTTCAGTGATGAGTACCTTACACAAATTAGCCTACAGAAATGGGCCCAAGGCAGTGTGGAGAGTCTTTAGACCAGTAACAAACCAAATACTATGCAGATGTGATTCTTCAGGAGAGTCTGTCACAATGAAATCACATCAGATTGCCATATGATTTGTACACTAGTGTGAATAGGTTAATAACTCAATTTCAGTCTTGGATCTATAAGCCCAAACTCTTCAAACTCCTGACAGTGTTTACTATTGATGTATATCTTCTGTATACCTAATTCATTAAGCTGAAATACAAGCATAGTGGCTCATGATTTCTCAGTGTAAATAAACATCGGTTTGGTAGACAGCACAGTCTGTAGCAAGAGCACTGTGCCAGGAGTCAGAAGGCTGTTATCTCCATCTTATTAGCTCTAACCCTTGAAATTGTCACTTACCCTCATTGGCCTTCTGGTTTCTAATTCTGTAAAGCCTACCACACAGAAATGATGAATGAAGAGAGGACCTTAGAAGAAAGGCCTTTGCAAGTTGTAACACAGGGATGATAATAAGGTATTCTTCACGTGCTTGAGTCTTTGTGGAATTCCCTCTACACTCCACTTTCTCAGGCTGAATGATGCCACAGAGATACCTAAGATTACTATCATGTCTCAGCCTTACTCTGAAGGAACTTGAGGTCCAGCCCCCATTATGGCAATTGCAAATCACAGAGAGACAAAAAATACCAGAAAGGTTTAGAGTGAGAAGAAGCTTTACAGGTCACTTATGCCCACTTTTCTGTAGGAGAAAATGGCTTATAAAGAAGAGCCAAGAGAAATGACTGGCCCTCCAGCTTGGGCTCCCTGGCTGTTTGTATGTGCAAGAAGGCAGTGCTCAGGGTCAGCAAGGTAAGCTTAGGCCTCTGTAGGAATGGGGTGGAAAGCCTGTTCCCTAGAATGAGGATGAGAATGGAAGGTTGTACTTGAGTGCAGTACTTCTTGGCATTTATGATGACAGGTGCTCACACAGACTAGTCTACAGAGAAGGACTCAGTTTACTACTGATAAAAGCATAACTGTTATTTTAATATTGCATCCATTTGCTCCTTCCCTCTTCCCTGACCACAATCACCACCCTGATGTCCTGGAAGGAACTGCCCATTTGAATTCATGAGTGCCTTGCTAAGTGCCTGACAACAAGCTCCCTGGGGCTGGCCTTGCATGCCAGCCTAGAATGGGCCTAGATAGCATGGCATCCCTCTGTGAAAGCCCCCATAGCCAAGTCTTAAAGCATAAATAGTGTACGTGGAGTTTTATCAGAGACATCTAAAGATTGTTCAATTTGCTAATGAGTACTTACAGAAATGTACAAATACGACTTGCCCTGGGCTTCTCAACTGGAACTGAGCTGATTCCTGGACTTATAGTTCCTGGACTTATGAAGACGTTTAAGCAGCTGAAGCTATTTAAAGGTATAATTTGCTTAATTCTGTCAAAGATTGTTGCTCAATTTTAGGATTTATGTGAGTGATAGTAATAATGACAACAAACAGTATTAATGATATTGATGATGATATTAGTGTTAAACTCCAGGTACTGCTAAGCACTTTGTTTGTATTATCCCAAGACTGAGATTTGCAAAGTGAGGGAATGAACGTTGAGATAGTGAAAAACAACAGTGGCCTTAAAACCAGGAGACCTAAGATTCCCCACTCAATTGCCACTCCCACCCCTACCATTCTAATATTTACTCACGGGGTGAACTTGGTCAAGTAGGTTGACTATTCTGGAACTCAAGTTCCTCATCTCTAAAATACAGATATACATACTCACACGAAAGGGTCATTGTGTATTAAGTTAGTTCATGAATACTGAAAGGGCTTCTTAGCAGAGCCAGTGCATACATTATTACTTGTTGAGTTGAATCTTAGATGATAAGAACAGAAATACAAGTGGATGAGAACTAATTAGAAATGGAGATGAATGAAAACAGTTTAGGACAGGCAACAGGCTATTCTTTTGTAACTCATTTACAGGTGATATTTAGTCATTTTCAATTCTTTTTTCCATTCATTTTATAAGGCAAGAGCCATAGAGAGGACCTTACTGAAATCGTTTAGGATCAGAAAATTATAGCAAATACTAATCTCTTTGTTAATGAAAGACCAGGAGTATAAGACAGAGGATTTGGAATGAACAGATCTCTCACTGGGTCTAGTATACAGTTTTCTTACAATCACCCTGTGACCAGTGTTTTGACTTTTTCCAAAATTCCGGCATCCATGTTGCTCCCAACACATCACTGCAGGAGAGTGGCCCTCAAGGACTTGCAAAGCTCAAATCAGAATTCCAGTCGTGAAACTTCAGGCTTCAAAATGACTTATTCTCATTACAATGTATGAAATGATCTGTAAATACATATTTTAACATTATGGAGTTTAAATATTATTACATACCTTACTTGATGTCAGATTCCATTAAATGCCTGCTGTTATCTCAATTTACAAAAGTCAGTCGGGTGGCAGTGGAGAATAGAAATAGATATAAGTAAAAAATCCTTTTACCAGTGTATTTGCAGCTCAGATAACCCTGCCTTTTTCAAAAAGCTTTGGGCTTTTTTTTTTTTCTTTATCCTTTCAAATGAGACTTTAATGAGTATCATGTGGATAAACTCTTTGCAGAGGTTTGAAAAGATCCAGAGAAACACTGTGGTAGGAACAAGCAAATCAGTTTGGATGAAATCACAAGTCATTCGAATGCCTCCTCATCTGTCTGGTTGTGTCAGAACCTTTTGGCTGCATTTTTCCCCCACAGGAATGTTTTCATCTCCATGGCTAGGTAAATAGAATGTTCATGTAGTTGCTCGATTGCTATTCATGCCAGTACAGAGTAGCGTAGAGTGACCTACTTCCAGCAGCATCCATAGAAAGCTTCACTGCTTTCCATCAAGACTGATTTAAAAAGCCACCCTCTGCTTCCCACAGCTCCCACCCCCAACTGCCCCCAGAGACAACAAACTATGGACTCTCCAGGGTGCTTATTTCCTTTCTCTCATCACTCCTGCTTCTTCAGTTGGTTCGTTTTAGTCCATCCTAGCCTTTCGGCAAAGGAGAAGCGGGTGGATGGGCAGCTTCAAAAGAAGTTAACATTGCAGATTTTTAGAGTCTAGTTCTACAAAGCGGGGAGCCACTGAGAGAGAGATCAGGCTACTCTTATCCACAGAAACAAAACTGATCAAAGGTTAATAATTCATTGAAAATTATTTGGAAGCATCTATATGTGGGTGATCTTTTTCTTACTGGGGACTGTTGATTGGAGTTTCAATAGGTCACTCTCATGAGTTTCAATACAGCCACTCCTTACCTTATAAATTGATAGGCTGGATTGAGCTGAAACATTCTAGCACTTTGAGAGGCTGAGGTGGGCAGATTGCTTGAGCCGGGATATTGTGACCAGCCTGGGCAACATGGTGAAACCTCGTCTCATAATAATACAAATATTAGCAGGGCATGGTGGCATGTACCTACCTGTAGTCCCAGCTGCTTGGGAAGCTGAGGTAGGAAAATCATCTGAGCCCCATAGGTAGAGGCTGAAGTGAGCTGAGATCATGCCACTGCACTCCAGCGGGGCACTGGAGTGAGATCCTATCTCAAAAAAAAAAAAAAAAGAAAAGAAAGAAGGAAAAAAAGAAAAATCCAAACTCCAAGAGAAAACGTCTGATTCTAAAAATTTCTGCAAAGACATTTATCCAGGTGCCATACAGAAAAAACAGCGTGCATCTGACTTGGGGCCTAACTAGAGCCAAGTGTCATGTTTGGTTTTGTGTCATTGAATAACATGGTTAGAGCTGGACAATTCCTAGAGAAATCTAGTCCCATGGTTTGAAGATGAGAAAGTGAGCTCCAGGGAGCTTACAACACTCCCATTCTCCAGGCTTCCTGTCCAGTGCTTTCTCTAACCTGCCATTGTTTCTCATCACTGAATCACTCATGCTATGAGGCTCTGTTGTTTTTGCCTTTAAGGGTAATGTCACCAAGCAGGGAAATAGAAATTCAATTATCCTTCTCCTAGTCACAAGTGGATATTTCTATTCCAAATCCCAGCAAGTCAAGAAGATTTTGGTTCCTTGAAAAATGAACCTCCTGTGCTTCTGTTGGATGAGAGCTTTTTGAAATTTTAAGCTATTTTGCTCTAAAGCTTTTGTTCCACATAGTTCTGTGGCCATTGCTCAAGCCTGTTTGGAGAAAGAGGAATGAGAATGAGATGAGAGGAAGCAGCTCTACGGCAATGAGTTAACTACAGGAATCACAATGAGAACTCCTTTCCCAATTGTTCTCTGAACATCTTCGCAAAAGAGTTTCCTGGCTATGCTGTTTTCCATATTGCTGTTCACTTAGCCAGGCCAATATAGGCACAAACTTCAGGCAAACCATCAATGTTTCTGACATCTGTGCTGGCTGACTTCAGGCCGAGCAGGGTGTCCTGTTTTCTGTGGCTCTCATCTGGGATGCGGGATTTTAGCACTTAAGAACTCCGTACCAGATGGTCCCTATGGCGAGAGGCATGGAGGCTCAGCCAGCTCAGTCCAAGGGCCATTGTTTCCCGGGTTAGTCTCATTTCCTCACTTTTCCTGACTTTGTTCCTCCTCTCTGCATCTTTCTCCTTTGTCTGTTTTTCATCTGTCCCTCATCTTCCTTCACAGATGGCCAGGACATTAATGTGCTCCTGTCATTATGTTTATGAAACAAGTTGGGGTCTTTAGAGGATCCCTTTCCACAGACATTAAGACTTGGGTCACGCTTGATACTAAGGTGAAGATTTGCAGGATAATTAGTGATCCCCTACTGTTATTAACCCCTGACTTAAGCAGGTTATTTTCTTACAAAGGTGTTGAAAGTTAATACCGCTGTTAATAGTTTCAGTGAGAAGACCATTCTGAAACCATGTGGGAAACTAGACCTACCATCAATATCTTTCAAACTCTGAAATTAGAAGGAAAAAAAGAACAGAAGAGGGGGGTATTTCTATCATAGGCCTATCTTTGGTTACCTTAATGATAGTAAGTATCTGATAGACAAGACCCATTTGTTATTCTTAGTGTTTGACAGTAGGTTTATCACTACTAAAGTCCGGAGCTCAATCTTTATCACATAGGGAAGCTCATAATGGCTGCTGAGATAGCAGAGGGTGGAGGTGTAGCTAGATTCTATTTTTAGAGATGCCTCTTTTCCTTTCCATTGTATTTCTTTCATAGAGGTTATAAGGCTCTCATAGGAGTGCATCTTATTTGTCCTCCTATCCTATCCCCTCATAGGAGTGCATCTTATTTGTCCTCCAACTGATCCAGTTCTTTCCTAACTCTGCTCTGTGAACCCCCCCTCAGAAACCATACTAGATTTGGTTTGGATAAGCGTTCTTAGACTAACAGCAACTTTGAAACTCCTAATTTAAGCAAAGTCTTTTAACAGTCAGTCATAGCCATCAGGGAGTGTCAACCTCAACCTTGAAAGACTGCAGGGTTAGTTCATCAGGTGCCCTCAACATGAGGCTAAAAATTGACTACTTAATGCTTCCTCCTGCCTTGACTTCAGCAATCACAGCAGCCTCATTAGTACTCAGCTGGATTCAGCTTGCACTCAGCCTTGCTAGGAGTGAGAAAGGGTCCCAGAATACCAAGACTGCTCTAAGCCACTCTAAGCCATCCAGTGAATTAAAGTTCTTTGACAATTTTCCAGGTTAAAATGCATATTTGAATTCAAACTGTCAAATTCTTTGAAAGAGGGCATCATGGAGCTGGTCCTCAATGAGGTTGTATTTTGGGAGAAATCCTGATCCTGACATGATGTGTTTTCTTAGCAGCTCAGTTCAGGGACTGCCAGCATGAAGGAATGCCCAAAGAGGGAACAGGGCACTTGGATGGTATAGGGAAGTTGTAATCCCTGGAAGAGGAATTTTTGAAGCAAAGTTTCCAGTGTCCTAATCTAACCCCACAAAAAGTGCTACAAGCTCACAATCCACAAGCTAACATTAGAACAATGACTAAGGCTAATCTAAAAGTGATTTCATCTCACTCTTCTTCCCACTGCCTTTCCCTATCCCTGATTATTCTCTGCTGTGACTTTCCCTGCCCAAGATCTCATTATTCCAATTCTGTATTGCATGCAGAAGCTCTAAATTATCTTTCTTAGAAACCATGCATCTGTACCAGCATGAATGAGAGCCCTTCTCACCAGCCTGAGGTCCAGTGGGAACATGGCCTGGCTCTGGAAGGCTCTGATCAAATCCTCCCAAGCCTGTCCACCCTATGTGCAGAGGGAAAGGAGAAGTGGAGTTTGGGTTAGACTTGGAGAAGGTTTGACATGGTTTGAGATATTAAACTTTTCTTTATAGGTGGTTATATGAGTCACACCCTTGTGGACTTAGAATCATAGAATGTCAAAGTTACAACAAAATTTTCAAGTTCATCGACACAGATCCTCCTTGTTCAGACGAGAAAACTCAAATCAAGGCAACTCATTCAAGGTTACTCGTACCATACCTAGGCCTCCTCCACCTCAACTCACTGTTTTAGTCATCATAGACTGTAGGATTAGAGTTATAGTAAGATCTTATTGAGTCTGGTTTCCTGCCATTTTCTTTCGGGGTCTTTGTAATCATTCTAAATTGTGGCCTAGTTCATTCCTCTGCTTTATAAAACCATAGGTGACTTTCCATTAGTTCTGAACTACTTAAATGGGCATTCACCACGTTCACAGTTGTCACCAATCTGCATTTTTTGCTGCTGTCCTGGGCTATTCTTCTCCACCTCATCCCCCCTGCAGCTTAACAAGACCTCCTGTGGTTCTGCAAACATGTGTTATCCTTCTGTTCCTTTGTACACATTGTTCTCTTCATCTGGAATGCCTCTCCAACATTTTCTCCCATTTGGTTCCTTCCCATCCATTTATGCCCTGCCAAGCTCCGCTCTGCATTCAGCACTGCTATTACTGCTTAGAGTACTTCTTCATGATCATGTCTTAAGTTTCCCATTAGATTGAAACCTCTTTGAGAATAGGGACCATGTAACACAATTTGCTGAATGTGGCAAATATAGTGTGCTCCAAAAATATGTATTGTATACAAGAATAACTAGCACCCTGGTTTCCATAGATTCTGGGAAGTTCCAGACATTTAGGGGGTGCTGAGGGATGTGAGGTTTGTGGAGGAGAAGAATGGACACACCAGAAATCAGGATACCTTCCCTTTCTTGATGTCTCAGTCCCACAGCGTGATGATGCCATTGGTGCTCCTGCCACCTGTGGTATCTTGAGATGACTGAGTAGGATCTCGTTGAGACTTTGCTTATTCAGTACACTGTGAAAAAGGTTCTATCTGAGCCTCCTCGACACCCTCAGCTGGCCTTGGGCAGGCGTAACTATCACCTCCCAAATTTGCTTTTGCGAGCCTCATGGCAGGCTTGCATTGGTAAAGCAATTTCTGAGCATTTCCTCTTCTTGAGATATTCTGCTGGGATCCAGACCAGTATGATTACATTGATGTTCCAAGCTCTGATCTCAGTCCTATCAGTTAAGAAACTCACAAGACACTTACTGTGCCCTGTGTGGTTTTTCATTGGTTGGCCCAGGCCAGATGTAGCATACATAAATAAATTCCTGGTTTAGCATTGTAGCACTTCTGTGCCAGATCTGCCAGGAAAAAGAAAAAAGCCAAGGAAGAAGCTATCATTAGGTAATTATCTTGAAACTGAAAAATGATGGGCACCCTTGGTAGGCATGGTGCCCTCTTCCTTCCATCCTTTGCCCTCTATGGTGAGTCTAGTCCAGGCAGAATCATGAACTCACTGTCTGTAGAGATGGGCATGGATAACCCACAGAGAGGTTCTGAGGGTTGGCCTGGAAGCCGAGGCCAGAGGCTGTGCTCTCAGCCCACCTCCCCATGGGAGTACTTTGTCAAACCTTCACTGTACCTGTTCTTCCATTGGTGCTACCATGCCTAGGACCCTGGAGCAGAAGACCTTCTTCCTCATGAAAAGCCTTGGACTGCTAATAGGTATGGAACTTCTTGAGCTGATGGAGTGTTCTGGGATTAGACTGTGGCTGCACAACTTTGTGAATATATTAAAAACCACCAAATTATATACTTGAAAAGGGTGAATTTTATGGTATGTGAATTATATCTCAATTTTCAAAGAAATCATGGGATACGAAGACCTAGTATAAAAACTTAAAAGACTGCAGCATAAAAGCTCCTAAATGACTACATGGATTTAGCTACTCAAGTGTGCTGTCTGTCTGTGCATGCTCTGAGATGATGTTGTCTGGTGCGTGTGTTGTGGGGTGGAGGGGACAAATTGTTCATCCACATCAGCCTTTGTTCTGTGTCAGACTGGGGTGACCTTGGTCTAAGAACCTTGCCTTGCTTCCACAATGGAAACAGAGGTAATAAGCCTGACCTACTTGAGGAGGATCTCCTGGGAAATAAAAATCTGGTTTGCCAAGTGCTTTAGAGGCATGAGGTGCTAGATCCTTCGGAATAGTTACAGGAAGGGCTGAGTGGCACTCAGATGTGTATGAGATAAATCCTGCCCTCGGGTGGAATGGGTGCAGGCAGGAGGCTGGAGGTGCCCTGCTGTGGGTGATTTAATTCCGTCATCAGGTGCTCTGTTACGAGCTATGACAGCTTGTGATTTTTATGTCCAGGGTTAGGAGACAGAGTTTGGTTTCCGCTGCAATAACAGGACAGGCACTCACAGGAGGAGAGTGTGTTTCTTGGGAGGAGCTTTTGGGGCTTTGATTTGAAGGCATGAGTAGTGGTTGGAAGGATAAGCGCCCAAGTGGGGAATGGAGTTTGTGATTGTCAGGCCTCCTCTGAAGAGCTGCGGGTAACTGCTGCTCCAACCATGCACCCCCACAGACATGCCCACAGGTTTCTCCCCACATGGAAATCTGGAAGCCTCCTTAGTAGAAAGAGGGACTCTTTTCCTGGAGAAGTCTGTGTCACAGCCTCGCTTAATAAATGAGGCCATGCTTATAGAAAGCCAGGACTGGGGTTCAGGGGATTGTCCGTCCTCACACCCTCTGCCCACTACAGCTTCCTGGATGCTTTGTCTGAGTTCATGGACAGCTTAGCAACCCAATGGGATGACTGAGTCCTCTAGGTGGTTAGGGAGGGGCCAAGGATGGAAGAGGGCTCTGATCCCTTTCTCTTTTAGCCCTGACCCACACTCTTAATTGTACCTTATCCCTCATCTGTGGGATGGTAGGACAAGACAGAGAATCATATCAGTGTCTTTTGAGACAGGCTAATGACCTGTGGCTCATATAAAACCTTCTAATTGCCCTACCCTTAGCGGACCAGCTGATATTCTTCCTTTTCCTCATCCTTATTCCCCTATCAAAGCCTGAACATACTTCCCCTACTTCTCTACCTATTGAAAGGAAGTCCACTTGCCCATCAAACCCATTACCAGTATCATCATCCTCAGAGGCTACTTTCCTCCCCTCTTCTACCCTCTACCCAGACAAGATTACTCTTTTCTTCTTCTGTGTTCCCACAAAGCTTTGCCACTGGTGTCACACTTGTCACATTCACTCATGGTGGGTTGCTTTGTAGAATTTGTTGAGGATCTCGTTTAGATTAGTATCTGAGTGCCTGGGACAGTGCCTGTGCATAATACATGGCCAATTCATGCCTGTTGAATAAACAAACCAATCGATAAATAAATAACATCAGTTGTGCCCTCCCACAAATAGTGAAATATATTTGTAAGCTCCATAAATACTTAAAATTGTTTTCCTTTTTATGGTTGTGGTACTTGATGAGAGAATACATTCTAAGTGTGTCTTATTAAATCTCTTTTATGTCTGTGAAATTATTATTATTTTTTGGCCAAAGTTAATAAATTTTTGGAGAAGAAGCCTTGCCTTAAAAAAAAAAAAAAAAAAGGCCAGGCCATATGGCTCAAGTCTCTAATCCCAACATTTTGGGAGGCCAGGGTGGGAGGATTGCTTAAGACCAGGAGTTCAAGACCAGCCTGGGCAACATATGGAGATCCTGTCTCTACAAAAAATAAAAAAACAAATTAGCTGAGCATGGTGTGGTGTGTCTGTGGTCCCTGCTACTTGGGAGGCTGGGGTGGGAGGATTGCTTGAGCCCAGGAGGTTGAGGCCACAATAAGCCATGATTGCACCAGTGCTCTCTAGCCTAGATGACAGAGCAAGACCCTTGCTTAAAAAAAAGAAAAAAAAAAAGAAAAATTTTGTAAAGCAATGGTTTACTAAACACATGTTCAGCAGAATACTAGTTCCCTAGAAATTTGGGAGAGACTCAGTTAATCAGGTTTTTCTACTGTGTTATGTCTCAGAGCTTTGATATAATATTGCTTGAGAATGCAAAAGAGAGGAACATACACACGGCATATTTTGCAGTACTACCTTAGCACCAACTACAGTGCTAGGGGCATAGTCAGTTTTCGTATTTTGCTATTAAGTCATTGATGCTAGTCTCGTGCCTCAGTCTCCATCCCTGAGAATCAAGTGAGTGTGTCTGTGATAAGGGCCTGATTCTTCACTGTCTTCTTCATGTATACCAACTCTGCTCTGCAAAACTGAAGAAACAAAATTAAAAGGAATTATAACATTACTTTACCTGTCATAGCAAGTTAGCAAACATCTCCAGTGGACTATGCAGCAAGTGATTGTGGTTTTAGAAATAACCTACCAGCCCCAGTTGCTCTGCAGTAACCTCCCAGGACTATTCCATAAATGCCAGTTGTCTTCACAGTAATTACCAACTCTCTCCTTGGTAAATTTACTGGTATGTCTAGGAATAATTGCTGGGGAACTCATACTTTCAAATTTACAAGAGGCAAACAACCTTGTATTTACCTCGGGAGGTATCAGGTATTCAAACTGAGCTGTGTAAAAGATCATAGAAATAAGGGGAAGAACTTGAATTTTCACCTTGATATTTTTTTCGATGGGTGAGAGCCTGGTTCACTAGATTTATGGTGGAAAGACCTACGGGAGATAATTGTCTTCTTCTCAGGGTCTCTCCTCTTCCTTGTGGTTTGGAGTAGCAGTAAAATCTGACCTAACTATACATTGTTGGAAACTTCTGTTGGCTTCAGACGAAACTGGCTAATTGGTACAAGTGGCGAGGAAGAAGATGAAAAACTTGGTCCCATCCTAATTCTCACCTGTGCCTTTGGTGTTCATCTTCTAGAGATCTCAGGGAACACAGAGGATATCCCTTTGGTGCGCTGGAGGCAGCAGTGGCTGGAGAATGGCACTTTGCTTTTTCACATTCATCACCAAGATGGTGCCCCAAGCCTTCCTGGACAAGACCCCACTGAAGAACCCCAACATGAGTCGGCAGAAGAGGAGCTGAGGATCCTCCACATCTCAGTCATGGTAAGAGCAGAACAGCCTTAGCCTCTCAGGCCATAGCTTATGTTACCTTGACATTAAGGGTCTTGGTATTATAGATATCACTCTATCAGACCTAACTCTGTAATGATCATTGATCATGTTAATAAGTAAATTTCCCATTTGTGGGAAATGCATCCACCTGTGATGTAAGTAATAATTGCAACTATTTCTAACAGTACCATTCCCCAACTGTTTTCTCTAGGAACATGCTCAGATATGAAGAAACTTTAACAAACCAGAGATAATATTAGATCAGGGCAGCCAGGCACAGTGACTCACACTTGTAATCCCAGCACTTTGGGAAACCAAGATGGACGGATCACTTGAGGCCAGGAGTTCAAGACCAGCCTAGCCAACATGGTGAAACCCCATCTCTACTAAAAATACAAAACTTAGCTGGGCACACCTGCAGTCCCAGCTACTTGGGAGGCTGAGACCTGAGAATTGCTTGAACACAGGAGGTGAAGGTTGCAGTGAGCCGAGATTGCACCTCTGCACTTCCGCCTGGGTGACAGAGTGAGCCTCTGTCTCAAACAACAACAAAATTAGATGAGGCTAATAGATTGTCATAGATGGGAATTATCCAATTAGTGTATTGGAGAATCTTAAAGTTGTTGCTCCACAAATGTTTGTTAAATGACTGACTCTCCAAGCTGCTTGCCACTACCAAGTTCTCTTTTCTCTTCTCCCAGCCAGGAGGAAGCCAGTAAACTGGCTTTCTCTCCTCTTACAATAGAGGGCATGTGGGTAGACACTTGCACCTCTCTCTAGCTCAACTCAGATCCTTTACTATTAACATTCCTTCTCCTACTTAGAAATTTGAAGCCTCAAAAAAAGTTGGAAGGTTTTTTCTAACATTGTAGGAACTTGTATTCTAGAATCTCACTGGAAAGTAAGTGCTATGATGGCAGGCCAGGGTTTTTGTTTAGTGTTGTTTTTTTTACTGATGTGTCCCCAGTGCCTAGAACAATGCATTCACATCGTTGATACTTAATTAATATTTGTGGAATAAGTGAATGAATTTCCCAGTGAAGAGATGAATAAAACCTGTCACACTTGGTATTTTATGTATTGATATTGTACTGGTAAACAAATACATTGTCTGCTCTTAGGGTAGCCTAATAGCAGGTTGAGACTTGACTGATTATTTATAAGCCATGTATATGGGAGGGTGTAGATTATTTCACTGTTAGGAAACTCAACTCAGAAGCAGCTTGAGTCTTAGTTCAAACCTTATTTCATCTGTTGCTCTAGTACCATCACTACATGCTATTTAGTTTTGTGTATCAGACTGAGGGAAACTGAGTGCATTTTAGACATAGAAGAATGCCTATTATCCAAAGATGGAAAATCTCTCTATAAAATCTCTGATAAAATCTCAAAATGTAAGCCTTCTATTTCTTCCTCAACCCATGTCCCCGTAAGTAAACTGGCTTGATAGGTTACCTGCATGTACACGAGGCACTTTGTTTAAATTATATGGTGGAGAAAAGAGTTCCTGAATTGCAAATGTTAAGCCTTAATATCCACATAAGGTCAGATGTCAGGCAGGTAAATGAGGTTGCTAATACTTACATTTACAAATTAATCAAGGTTTATAGCATGGGAGTTCCAGTACTTGCATCTTCTTATTAAAGAACAGTGTTTTTCCTCTGTGAGAAGGTTGTCTTCTTTATTGTAGCTTGTAGTGTCCAGAGAGTGGTAGGATTCAGGCAGGTCAGCTGAATTGGCCCTGGCATTGACTGGAGTGACGAATTTAGAGGCCAGATTGTCTTCAAATTTATAATATGGTCTGACTAAAAAGAAGGGCACAATGGTGGATTTCTCGTCAGCCATCCACATCCTGCCATCAGTGTGGGATGCAATGGTGGTCATGGGTGGTTTTGTTTTGTTTTGGCCTGAGACCATTTCAAAGAACCAGTCTTTGTCACACTGATGAAAATGTTTAAGGTAAAGAAAGGTGTATAGAGATTTCCAAAAATAAATATTGTGATTATATTTTAAAGAAGGACCCTAAATAGAAGAAGTTGAGACAAACAATATGTCAGAAGGGGAGTCTAGGGAGGGCTGGGGGCATAGTGCGAGAATCTGCAGAAAGATAAACAGCCTGAAGCTTGTACTTGTTGCCACATTGTATCTTCAGTGTAGGAAGCACCCTACCATCTATCCCTGGAATTAGGTGCTCAATAAGTTTTCTAGAGAAGTGTGTGTGTATGTGTGTGTGTGTGTGTTTGTTTGTGTATGTTTGTGGGGGTGGGTATACTGCTGGGGGGATGGGAGCACCAAAATCTTACAAATCACCACTAAAGAACTTACTCATGTAACCAAACACCATCTGTTCCCCAAAAATCAATGGAAATACAAAATTTAAAAAATATATATGCTGATCAAAAATGCCAAAGACTTTAGGAAATAGGCTGTGCCCTTAAAATAGAACAACCCATATGAAAAACCCTACATTATAGTGTTTTTTCAAATTAGATCCCCTGAGCAAGAATTAGTGGACAGTGGACACTGAAATGGAGAAAGAACAAGAGTCAACTTTAAACTTATCTCTGAGACCTCTCCTTCATATGCTACTTGTCACCAATGGCAGACCACTATGACATTTTATTTTTCAAATAAAATGGAAGAGATTATTCCTTCAGCTTAATTTTAATTTATTCTCTTTTATTTTTAACCAGGCTAAAGAGACAGAGGACAAAAGGGCATAGGCAAACGTAAGGGTGCAAAAGATTTGTGTTGTCTTTGGGTTGGCCTCTTGTATGTGGACAGGCCAACATCTCCATAAAAAAATCAGGAAGGCCTTTGACTTCCACAGAACAGGAATCTCAGGATGAAGTGGAGATATAAATATTTCCTCCCTACCCGCTCCTTTCCCTGTCAAAGATGGTTTGGTTAGTGGAGCCTACTGCAGCCCACCTAGCCGTCTCATTGTCCTCAATTCCCATTCCATACACACACCCCACACACTGCATTTCTCATCCTTAGGATTCTATTCTAGAAACAATTTCAAAGTCTGAAGTTGTGTATCTGCCCTCAGCTTAGAAATAAAGCCTGAGGGTATCCTGTTTGAAGATGTTGTTCCTAGAATCTCTGATGGCTTCCTCCTAAGAGACTCAAGTGGTGGTAGACTTTATTTGACACACTTTATACCATACCCTTTGGAGGAAAGGTAGGCAGCTATTTGAGGCATCTGGATGACAGCATTACAAAAGCCAGAAGATAGCAAAATTCTTTGATTTGTAACAATATTGAGAAGTGAAATGCACTTAAATTAAATCTTATTACCAAAACCCCTTTAGTTATGAAATAACAATAGCAAGACTATTTTTTCATTAACTCTAATGATCAATATTGATACAGTTTTCAAATTAGATCAAAATAGCATAATTGGAAAAAGAGAAAAGATAAAGCGATTATCGAAACATGAATACATCCAACCTCTTCTGTTAAGAAAATGTATAATTAAAAGCTTAACTAATAATCCTAACTATTTCCAATATGTGCAAGAGGGAATTAATGGTTTTATGAAAACCTTAAAGTTTACATTTCTCTCATTTTGTATGTATACTTTTTTATCCATATTTCCTCAATGCAGAGACCACTGTTTATTTCTATATTTTGCATATATTATGTTTTGTTTTAACACAAAATATAAGAAATTAGAGAATGAGAAGTAAAAGAAACCTTTTTGGACCCTTATGGCATTGTATGAATGAGAATTTGCAAGTTCTCTTTTATACCATGCCCAGTATAAATCGACCATCAGCAAAATTGTGGGCTTGCAGAAAGCCAATTCCCCAGCTGGGAGCTCGGCAATTTAAAACTGAAAAACCTTTTGCTTTTCTTATTTTTCAATCACATCCTAAAATTTTTGAATTATTTTTTCCAAAGAGGTACCATTTCTTCCTTGCATAGAATAATTGGATTTCCCTTCTGAAATCTTACATTATTGCTTTGAGGGTCAAATGATGTATTTTAACCTCCTTGCATGATTCAAACTTGGCTGAAGAGATTTATTTCAAATTTTGCAAGATAGTTGACATTCAGAACTATGAAAGTACACAAAGATACTCTTTTGCAAACTCTTCAACAAATGAAAGCAGAATCAGCAAATGAAAACTGAGTGTGAGTTTAAACCAAAAGTCAAGCAATTCGTCAGTTAAAAGGCAAATGGTTTACTCCATAGAAGACCAGGTTTCAATATGACTTCATGTCAGATATTCAGACTCTGTGTGGATTTAAATTTTCTTATTGTACTTGTGCTAATTTACCATACAGTGTACATTTTTCTTCTTAAAGTACGCAAACGAGTTTAATGGTGCACAGTAGAATTTAAATGTATTGTCTATATATTTCATCTCTTTAATTAAAGATGGCAGTGTTAATAGATTTCCTATATGCATATGGATTGGTTAAGTACATTTTTCACAGCAAGTAGCCTTTCTAAAATTCTTTGGAGATATGTGTATATATATATATATATATATATATGAAATTTTTCTGTATTGATAACTCCCACTGGTAGAGAATATCTTTTGTGGTTCAGCCTTCTTAGTCACTGTTGTGGGGAAAAAAATCTTAGTAGCCCCAGCTGTTTGTGGCTCCTTGGCCAGTATCTGGAGGCCCCCATGGCCTTCTACTGCTGGCTGCCATCAGAGGCCTTAGCCTGCCCCCAGGCTCCCTGTTTCTGGGATCTCCAGGTGAACCCAAGGTACAGAGTTCACTCCTGGGAGAAACAATGTTGGGAACAAGATTTGGAGACAAAAGAGGCAGGTGCCATTATACAGTCCCAGAGTCCAGCAAATAAAATGGGCACTGTGGGAAAGTTCCAGTGTGGAAAAGTAGTATTTGGGGCTGAGTCAGTACAGAACCCACAGAAGACACCTATGGGAGCCTCCAGGATCATGTTTCCAGTGCTGCATAACAACTTTCTACCAAAGCCTCATCCTTGCCCTTACTGTTACATTCAAGTTCAGTCCAGTTGCCTGAGCATCGCATGTGAGTTTGCTTGAAGCCGTGCCTCATTTCATACCTAGAGCACAGCCGCTTCCAATGTAGAGAGGAGCAGTTCCAAGTGTGGCAGTCACTGTGTGTCATCAACACTATTAGGTTCTTATTAAGTGTCTGTGGGCACAGGAGAGAGGGCTAGATGTCTTTTTTGTCAGCGCCTTTTGCCTTCAGCAGATCTGTTACAAAAACTCATTAACAAATTCATTAATCAAGGTCACTTTTGCATCTTTATGGTCAATTTGTAGTATTTTTTTCATTCAACTTAGGATGCTCTAATTTATCAGGACCAGTCCTTCTCATCTTTAAGCAACAAATGGAGACATTTAGGCATATTGTATGTTACCAGAAAGGACAGAGATAGAGTAATAAGTCGGAAAGTACAAAAAGACAAGTCTTGATTCAGTTCAAAGAAGACTTTTCTTGCAATTCAAGCCATCCTTCATGGGGCTGAACCGACTTACTGGTCATACTGCCCACATGCCAGGGCCATCACTGTGTATTTTACCTTCCATTAGGAAAGCTGTGGGCAGTTCCTAAGATAATCAGTAAGATCTCTTGAAACAAAACCTCTTTGCTCTTTGTTTCTTTCTGAAACGCTGATGTGCAAAAGCCTGGAGATGCCAGGGTCCATTTGGGGACCATGTCAAGTGCCAACTAAGGTTTGGCTTACAAACATCCCTCACCTGGCACCATGGAATGCCCTGCATCTCTTGTCAAGATGCGTCGGGCATAGGTATACATGAATTCATTCACCATTTGGGTTGCTCATCTATTTTGTTCTTGTTTGGTGCCCTTTCATATTCTAGTAAAGTGAGAGCTGAGATGTAGCAGAAAGACACGCTGGATTTACAGTTGGAAGAGTGGACTTCATATGCTGGCTTTACCACTTTAGGTAATTTGCTGCGCTTTTTGGAAGCTTCATTATCTCACCTATAAAATGAATGCACTGGTCAGGCTTTTTAGTTTTAGAGAATGAAGATCCACTGAGGCCTTCTCTGTAATAGAGTTGTACTGCAGAAATTTATATAGAGATAAAAGAGACAACACTCTCCTGATTTTAAAAAGTATATTCAAAGGGCAGATTTTCACAAAGGCTGGAACTGGGAAGTTGTTGAGGATCTGAGTGATTTTATCAGCCCTCAGCCTCCATAGCTTGTGGTTTGGCTCTTTCACACCTGTTTCTATTGCTCCTCTTGCTATGAATTAGCTTCTTTGTCTAGTCTATTCTATAAATCTTTCTCAATTGCAAAGCTTTTATGTGTTTGACACTCCATTTACTCATCAAGTCACCTCACTCATGACCTGTCCTGACTTTTCACAGCTTCACAGTGTTTCCAGCTTTGTTCCCACTGCTGTTAAATGTCCTGCCTTCCTCCCTTATTCTAACTCCTTAGTGAAAGAAGCAGATGTATCTAATTTGTTACCATAGCCCCTGTTTGTTCAAAGCTTTCATATCAGGTTATCCCACAGGTGAATGTGATCCTAGCCTTCCCCTGGTGGTTTTAGTGGGGAGGTGGGCTTATGTGGTACACTCCTGCTCCACGCACAGGTCAGAGCCGTTTCCTTTAGCAGAGGCTGAAAAACTGATTTCACGATTTCTTGTTTTCAGTACAACAAACAGACTAAGACCTAACTTATAGAGATGTTAGGAGATGTTAGGAGAATCAAAATATAACATAGACACCATCATCATTGTCATCATCATCATCAAAATTGTGTTTTGCACTTACTATGTGCTAGACATTGTTTCAAGTGCTTTCAATATATTTTAACTTATTTTTTATTCTTACCACACCATAAAGTAGGGTTTGTTATTACTCATTTTGCAGACAAGGGGACTGAGCATAACAGGCTATGTGATTTATCTAAAAGTAAACAACTATTAGTTTGCAGGACTATGAATTGAATCAAGGCAGTCCACAGAGTCCAGATACTATACTTTGAGAAGCACTCCTCTCCTGACCCATAGTGAGCACACAATATATATTTAGTATGTGTCATTTCACCAACTTTTGATGTTTTGTTGACTTTTGACTGCTGAGATTCATCTGACACTTTACTCCATTTTTACTTTGACACTAATAACGCTACAAGCACTAGGACCAACAACCATGATGGAACACAAATTTTCTTTCCGTGGCTACACCAGGCAGCTAACCCCAGAAGCTCAGACTCTGTTCAGCTTGGCTAATCCCACCTGCTAACCTTGGCTTCAGTCACACCACCTCACAGCTGGTGGTGGGTTTATTGGCAGGGAAGGGAAAAGGGTAGTTGGGGAATTCTAACTCTAAAATTGTGAAAGTCATGTAACAATGAACTTAGCTTCTTCATATACAAACTTTTGCATTTTTGCGGGAAATTTTTAGAAACTAGAAAAGTATTTTCAAAGCATTATTGACATATTGATTTTTTAAAATCATTGACTCATTCCTTCATTTAGATATTGATTATTTAACACTGTTTTCAGGCTTCAGATTTTTTTAGCTACTAAGTAGATAGGAAATGAATAAGACAAAGTTCTGCTTTCAGGGAGCATTTAATCACATTATTAATGCTTACTATTTGAAGAGGGCCCTTGGCAGAACTGAGAGACAAGTAGAGTTTCCATCATCTTTTCCACTCCTTTTCAGTCTTTACATCTTCTTTGCAAATCTGTTTTTCTCTTTCCTGAAGTTCACAGAGGCCTTATGCTACCCTCATCTCTGCAGATAGCAAGAAAAATAGCTAAGAGGCCAAATTTTCAAAAGGATGCTGATGTCTTTTTAACAAGTTGATGTAATATTCTGTTCAGCAATCTAGTTCACTTGATATAGAAGCTAGCAATTTACTTTCAACTACTCAGTTTCAGAAATCCCTGAAGATCCTTTTGAAAGCAGGAGTCATAATTTCCATGAGGTTTCAATCAATATTAGAAACTGGTAATATTCATAGTAATAAAGCTATTGCTCACTAAGCCCTCACTGTGTCTCCAGCACTGTATGGGATCATTTGCATACATACTATCAATCAATTTCCATAGCAACCTTTTGAAATAGCTATCATTTCTTCCATCTTTCAGATGTGAACACTGAGACTGAGAGAAAGTAAATTATAGGCCCAAAGTCACATAGGCTGTAAGAAAGGAAGCCAGGATTTAAGGCAAGTGTATCTGACTCCAAACTTGACTCTGCTACACAATTCTGCTACTTGGTGGTATTAGAGTTGGACAGTTTCTCCAATTTTCCAGGTTATGGAATAATTTTATTTCTTTTAGCTAGTACAGTAGAAACCCTTTATTTGAAGATTAGGAAGGAACATAGAGAATGGTACAAGATGCTGTCATGGTGAGGTCTATGAGCTGCTTCAAAAGGTAAAGGAAGAGCTGGATCGGGCAAGAAGACCAAATATTGCAAAGAAGCCTGAGATTGGCTCTGAGAAGATGCTGGTCATTGAGAACCAACCAAGACTATAGTTGTATGGTATTGAATTTTAGTGAGGCAGTTTACAGCAAGGGCTTTGCTCTCAGAGAGACCAATTTAAATCTTAGTTCTGCCATTTACTCGATCTTTTTGTTGACCTTGGACAAATTGCTTAATCACTCTAAACTCACTTTCCCTATCCATAAAATGGGAATAATAAATCCTACTTTATAGGGCTGTTTTAATTATTAAATGAGATGATTCTTATAAACCACTTCCCGTAGTGCCTGGCCTATAGGGAAGTACCCATTAAATATTAGCTCAGTAAACTCTTGGGGGGCCATGCAAGCTGCCTGTAACAATCTTGCATACAATGTGTGACCCAGGGGCCACCAGCTTAGAGAGTCAGAAAAGCATCTGTGATCATGGCAGCCTCTCAGAGGAGTCCTAGAGGATTGTGCTTAGGGAAAAGACCGAGGCAATTAGGGATATCAGGACAATAGAATAGGGCCATTACAAAGCTGGGATGCAGTCATGTCCATTCAGGGAATTGTTATGTCACTTCTGTTTCATTGTTTACAGGGTTTCCCACCAGGCGTCTTATGATTTAGGATGATAATTGAGGTCTGATCTCATAATTGACATCTGATACCTACCAGGTATCTTATGATTTAGGGTGATAATTTCAGCTCCAACTTCTCTGGAAGAACTTCATTTATTAATTTATTTTTTAATCAAACCACGTGATGTCATTTAGGGAATTCCATCACTGCCCAGGTATCCACACATACAAGATTGTTATTACTCTCATTCACAATGGGAAAAAGAAGACTTAGAGTAGTGGGTGATGCTCATGGCCAGCACTGATGTAAGAACTCAGAGATTCTGAGTCCTGATGCCATTACCTTTTCTCCAGATCACACTATCTTTCACCCACCCTCTGCCCATCTCATAAGTTTGGGGTCTGTCTCACAGACCCGAGGTCATCTTTAAATCTGATCACAAACTCATACCCATGGGCCTTGGCTGGAGACAAATTAGATTTAGGTATAGTAAATGTAGCCAGCCATGTGTCCATGGAGAAAACCCTAATATGGACAATGGCAGGAATTATCTAGGCCAGGAGTCTATAAAGGACCAGATGTTAAACATTTTTAGCTTTATAGGCCATCCAAGCTCTTTTTCAACTATTCATCTCTTGCCAATGTAGTGCCCAAGTAACCATGCACAGTATATAACTGAATGCACGTGGCTGTGTTTCAATAAACTTTATTTACAAAAACAGGCAGTGGGCCACATTTGGCCTGGAGGCCATAGGTTTGCTGACCTCAATCTAGTACATTCTCCTCATTTTGTCTGCAGAACCCACATAAAGACTACAACCTAACAACTGAGTGGAAGCTTTAGGGTTCTATTTGCAGTGTGAAAGACAATAATTTGCTAGTTTTAGCCAGACCCCCACAGATTGATTATAATTGTCACTTAAGGCACTGACAAAAATTGTTCTTGCTAGAAATTCAAGACATGTGGTATTCACAAATTCAGGTGAAATGCAAGCACATTAGCTTCTCTTGAGAGACACTGATGAGTTTAGCAAAGACAGATGTTAATGAAAACAAAACTATGCTTCGACTTGACAAGAAAAGTATAAACAGGATACTTATTAGCAAATATGCTGTTTTTTTTCCCTGTGAGTCTGATGGCTCCTGCTTGGTTTCAACTTTGAGTACACAGTAGAAATGTGTGACATGCCTGGATATGCTAAAATACCCCCTTGTAGAAAAATGCTTCATATAAATATGTAAGAATAGAAGCAGGATTATGCTTCCAGACATTGATGTCATAATAAAGTTGGTTTTTGTGAGGACTGTTACGTATCTTTAAGAGTTTATGGTAGCTCTTGGTCTTGCTGATAAAGTTTAGGGTGAACAAAGCATTTTTAGCCTTGCCTTATAAAATTAGCTGTGACACATTTAAGTATCTGCTAAAGTTTGTTAAATGGCTTACCTGTGTGAGAGGCAGATGTCAGTAGCCTTCCCCAAGATTGCAAGGGGTCTCTCTCTATAATAAATCTAGGAAAGTCAGGTGCCTCTTGCTGCTGCCTTGCTATTTATGATTTCTCTCCTGATGATACCTCTATCACTGCTGCTGATGTCCCTGAATAGCAAAGGATGAGTCAAGTAGCCTTCTAACTTGGGATGAATCAGATGTCAGTTTATTAATATGTTGTACTATGGCTGACAGTAGTGGGTGCTTCACAGAATCGTATCTGGGGCCTGCTGGGCTTTGGCTCCCAATTCTGACATTTGGGATTTGTATAACTGCTTAAGGTGGCCTGAGAGGTGAGTTCTGCTACCCTAATACCATAAAGAAGATAGGGCTATATGAGAGATCCATATGGGATATCAATCATCAGATGCTTATGAAAGGATTCAACCTTCATTTCCTCCATGTCTGCATCTTGTCTGAGGAAGAAGTGGGAAGGATTCGGGACTTAGATATATAGGCCCTTGGGATTTGTAAGAGTGAACATTTCATGATTTGGCATTTGTGGGTTTCAGATACATTCTTACGTGAGGTAAACTATCACACATAACCAACTTAGAAGAGCTCTGTGTCCCAACTATGATGTTAAAGCATCCATCTTTCATTCTCTTTTTATTTCCTAAGTGTCATGGAATGTATACATCCCAGTCATTATCCCTGGGCTTTCAGCTGGCTGTGACCATCCCCAGCCCCTCTTTCCTCAATGCTCCGTGGCTCAGAGTGAACAGCCTCGGCCTCTGAGGCCCCCAGTCTTTCCACGGCAGGACCACCCTCCTTGGACTCCACCTTGGGTTCGGATAAGGCAACACCAACAGGTCCCAGCCAGGGCTCTGCTTGTAGCTTTCAAAGCAGAGTGACGTGGGCCCAGCTATCGTCACACAGACTGCATTACATCTTCTTCTTCTCACTTGTGACGAAAGCTTGCTGATGAGGCAAGCAGCCTAATGTTGGGATAAGACTACTGGATTTGAAGTCAGGAAGCTTTGATTGTGGACCTTTTTCTCTCAAAAACATGTGAAACTTCAGGCAAGCTCCTTGACCTTCCTGAGCCTCAGTTTGCTCATCTACATAGGAGAGGCTGGAATGAGATAAGTGTTCTCAAAACTTTGGCGTTCATGTTTTATTGGCATATTTTTATGCAACCTCTGTTAGTATTATCTGAATATTTTTATTTAAATTGACTTGCTTTTTCAATTTAAACTTATCTGAGAGAAATATGTCAATAAAATCAGGGGTTTGATGTTATAGTTGATTATTTCAATACAGATTAGGCAAATAGTATTTTATACAAATAAATGATAACATAAACATGTCCCACCCCTTTAACAGCAATTGGCACACCCATACCAGGAGCACATAGGTGGGCTATGTCCTGTGCCTTGGGGGTCCTGGGCTAGCTGAACTTGTAAGTTGCCTTCAGCTCCCACATTCTAGGAATGTGAAAGTGAAGGACATATGGGACACTAGCAATCCCTGGTTGACACAGAAAGAAATGCATGAAAAAACTTTCTTCCATTCCCTGCAGCAACTCTGCTTTTCTTTTTTCCATTTACGAGTATGAGGTGATGGTCTATGGGCAGTATGCTGGGCTTGGCAGGCTTGTATACAGGTTGAGTTGAAAGGAAGAAGTTCCATCCTGGGAGGGAGCTATCACATCCCCTTGTGAATCTTTGGCTGCTCTGTTGGAGGGAGCCTGGTGACTTTGAACCCTTCACATGGCCCAGTGGGGGCTCTCTGCAGGTGCCTTTGGTCTGTGAATTGCTGGTTCAGAGCCATTGCCTTCAGCTGGCTCTGCTCCTCTGTGTCTCCAGCGAGTCTCTCTAGACATACTGTTAGCCTCTGCTAGCATGAAGTACTCTAGGAGCCTCCTGGGTTTGATTTAGGATGGAGTGGCTCCCCCACATTAGGGAGCAAGCCATGGGAAGAGCCTTCAGCCTCCAGCTTTGGAGGATTTGGGAAGGGGAAATCTCCCAGAATTGCCTCTGGAGGCCTTTGAATACTCCCGGAAGGAGACATTTATCCTCCTCCCTAAAATGACTCAGGTAAAGCCGGAGGCAGAGTGATTCTTGGCAGGTCTAGCCCAGCCAGCCTTTATATAATATAATTCTTTCTTATGGAAGTGATTGTTTCAGTTGCCCCATTCCCAGGATAACAGTTATGCCTTAAGGGGGAAAAAGTATTTACTTTAGAAGGGAACTTTCTGGTAGGATGGTGGACTCTGCCTTGCTGACTAACAATGCTGGGACCTGCAGGGCATCTCCCAGACTCCCCTTTTGGGCCAGCCTCACTGGTTCTCAGGAGAGTCCCTGAATCAGGGGAAGATAAGGACAAGTCAGTCCCATGTTGCCATTAGGAGGGAGAGGCTCGTCCGAGGTACTGGAGATTCAGCGCCTTTACCTCTTTCTTGCTTTCCTCTTCTACATCCTGAGCCCCTCTGGCGGCCGCCCTTTGAGAGTTCCTTTGCCTCTTTGATCAGGCTTGATTCTGAAGTTCGTTTTCACCTGATTTCATCTAATGAAAAAAGTTAAGAGTGGGAAGTGGGCCATGTAGATATTCCTGTATAATACTGTAAGTGCATTCAAAGGCCTGTATTTTGCATCCAGAAATTTTCATCGGCATCTGTGTTAAATGCTGCCTTACCTAGCTGATCGTTCCAGGTCACTAGGGTTGAAGAGAAGGAACAAAGGAAAATTACTTCACTTGAAGGTCTTCTAAACAAGTAGCGCATTTTCATTATTTAGGGACAGATGGATTTCAGTCTTCCCATTCATTCTTATTACCCATGTTTCCACTTTCTGTACCTGCAGACTCACTGTCCTTATGCCCAGCATGGCCATGGGATCCTCTTCTTGTGCCTTCCTTTTCACCATGCTCTGCTCATTTTATTTTGTAAACATCTCCAGAATACCTCTCTTCTTTCCCTCTCTACTACCACTATGAGTGCAGACCCCCCTCACCTCTCACTGGACTGATACGGTGGTTTCCATCCTCTTCACTCTTGTCTTCTGCCTTGTTTCCCTTAAAAAAATTCCCTTCAACCACCATCAGGCTGAATCTAATAAAATGCAGCTTGAACTATGTCCTCTCCCTAGTGGAAAACCTTGAGTAGGTTCCTCCATTCAGAAGGCTAACTTCCAGGGTGTTAAACCTTTCATGCCTGACCCTCATCTCCTCCACTCCTTGCCTTCCCCTCTGTGAGCTACCCTGACAATCAGTCATATTTTCTGGACCTCCCTGTCATATTTTGTGGACCTCCCTTGCTATTTAATACTTCTATGATTTCACTCATGCTGGCCTTTTGGCTGAAAATGTCTTTCCTCTCCTCTGAGTGAGGCCACCTCTTTCTACTCTTTTTAAAATTCAGTTTTGCCCCATGACTCCCTCTAGGAAAGTGTTTCTGACCCCCTTTTCTCTCTGGGCTGGGTGAAGAAGTTTCATGCAATTCCTGGTGCATATTTCTGCATCATCCTTACCTGTGCATAAGCCTATCTCCCCTGAGTGTAAGCTCCTTGCTGGGAGGGATTATGCTTCTCCGGATCCTAGCCAAGGGCCTGGCCTTTTGCTAAAAGGCTTAAAGGGACTTTGGGAATGGACAGACAACCTTGCAAGGAAGGCTGAGCAAGTCTGATAATATGGAGAGCTGAGGCTCAAAGAGGTTAAATGGCTGAATGGCTGGTCAGTGGCACTGTTGGGATGGGGAGCAGGTGATCAGTCAGCGCACTTTCCCCTCTGTCCTGTAAGATCTTCAGCAAAATGTTCTCTTCAGGCCTCGTCTCTGGTCCTGTGGCTCCCTTTTCTCCACTGAACCCTCACATCTCTTCCTCCCTTCACATATTCATGGAACAGGAACCTTAGGGGAAGGCTGTCACACACACCAGAAGTGGCTAGATCATGAGGCCATCTCACTCTCCCTCTGCATGTGTGTGCATGTATACATATAATTTTTTAAGTTGATACTGAGCAAAATTACTATAAAAGGTTTTCAGAGTGGGAACTTTAGTTTTGAGTGTCACGAGGCATGGTATAAAGGGTGGGATGGGACCACATGGTGTTCTGTAATGAAGAGGGCCCCTCCCAGAGCCCGAATGTCCAGGAAGCCCCTGACTCAGCCTTCTGGGCAAAGCCAACAGCTCCTCATTTTCCTGTCCTCAGTGGCTGCTTTCACACTTCTACTACAGTGTCACGATGGCTGGTCTGTCTGCATCATTTGTAAGATGTGCCAAGTGCATTTGATACTAATAATAGGTAAAGTGCTGAAAATTGTGACTGGTTTTCTTTTCTCCATTAGAGTGGAGTCAAAGTTATAAATGACCTATAATAAGGTCATTCTCACTCAACTTACATTGTGTTATACTTTGCTGACTGAGAGAGAGAAAAAATTGGAGTTACAGCTGGTGCCAGGGGAACACTGAGCCTTCAGTGTGCCAATGGGGTCTACCCGGTTTGTAGCCTGTATCTCTCATGGTGTGGTGGCAGAAAAAACTATGGAAAAGTGTTGGTCCTGACAGTGTTTGGTTCTCCTGTTAAGCCAAATTTAATTTCCCCAATTATAGAATGAAGTTAAGAAGAACTTCTCCATCCTACCTGTAGTCACTCTGCAGAAACAGAAATATAAATGCAAAATTAGCACTTTCGTTTCAAAGAGAAGGTACTTTTATTTTTACCCCATTCACTTTGTAAAGCATGTGTCTGTAGCAGCTACATGTCTGTAGATATAATTAGATTCTAAATAGACATTTTTAATGTGATTACAAGTTTTGACTTCTCTGGTGATGATACTCTATTCCTGCAGACCTCTAAGGGGTGGAGCAGGAACAGTTAGATTAACGTTCAGGTTAGTTTATTTTACTAGAAAAAAAATCTGTCACTGTAAGTGAGCCTTCAGCTGTCTCACAAATGCTGGCTAAAGACACCAAAAGGTAGGAGCTAGAGTGAGGTTGGGTGAAGAGAAGTCCTCACACGCTCTAAAAACATAGCCGTATCCTCTGGGTGATGTATCATGCACCTTGCATTTGAGCATCCTCATGGGAAATGAAACCACCACCTGACTGTAGTTCACTTTCTCCTGGGAGGACTCCATGACCAAGGGAGTGCCCCTCAGAGCTATCTAGGAGCCAGCAGAAAAGAAGGAAGAGGGATTTTCAGATGGAGGTCTTCAGTCTGAACTGACCAATAGTGTGAACGTAATGCTGTTTGTGTTTTGTCAACCTTAGCAAGCCAGCGGAATGTGCCTCCCTGGAGTTAATCAAGCCATGTAGCATTCACTGAGTGTCAGCCCCGTGCTAGACATTCTGCTAAGGCTGGGGCTGTGGAAGGAATTTAGAATGTGGTCTCTGCCTGCAAGTCCAGTCAGAGCCATGATATGGGGAGCAACAGAATTAGGGATTAAGGATTAATTGAGAAATGTCCACATATGCATTAGGAATTGGAATAGAATGATATGTCTATGGATCAGAGTAATCAAAGTCGGTTTCAGGAAGGAGATAGATGTGTGCTGGGACTTGAAAGCACAGAAAGGGCATAGGTAGGGGAGATATAAAGAAGGACGTTTCAGGGAAATGAGAGAACAAAGGTTCAGGGATAGGCAGAAAAAAAAAGACCTATTACCCCATGCCTGCTCTTTCTCCCTTTTCCTCTCCCTCCCCTGTTTTTCTCTCTTTCTGTCCCTCTCTCCCTTACAACAGAACTGAATGTTAAGAATAGAAAAAATAAATCACAACTATTAAAATGTAGAAAGAAGAAACTCTGTGAACACTATGATTTGAATTAATTTATAATGATGTTGCAGATTGGCTGGGAATGACCCCATGGGTTCAGGAAAACAGGTACAGAATTAGGCAACTGGCCCAGCGGATGATGTCGGCCTTGTCAGTTGCCTTGGAAGCAAGAACCCCTGACTGCCTTTGTATCACTCCAATGTCTCTGGCTGACCTATGGATTCCCTGCATGATCGAGCCACTCATCAGCAAATCAAAACCTGACAAACAATAGCAGAGTTGAGCCTTTTGTCACTTTCCCTGGCAGGTGGGGAAGAGCTGCCGCTCAATTTCCAACTTCCCTTTGCTACAGCCCATCTTTGGCTGGTGAGCGCCAGGCCTGCGCCCGAGGTCCTGGCGGGAGTAACCAGCATTTGGCTGTTCTGCTGGGAACAGAGGGGGCCATGGTCAGCTAGTGAAGAAATCAGGCCTAAGTAACAGACTCTTTACCTGCACCCCACTCAATCACAACCCCCATCCTCACCTCAAAAAAACAAAACAAAACAAACAACAACAACAAATGCCAGTACAAGAGAGGAAGCCTGAAAAAACAGAAAAACAAGGCTGACAGCCTGGGGCTATGGGTGGGTGGGATGCCAGGGAGAGAGGAGGTAGGACAGGGCAGTTGGGTGTGTGTGTATGTGTGTGTGTGTGTGTGTGTGTGTGTATTTTTTTTTTCATTTCTTAAAATTAATGATGGGAAGGATTTGAAGACTTGTACAGTAGCTTTGCCAGCAAAAAATGTAATTAGCTAAAGACAATATGCTGCTGGTGTTGGAGCTGGTGGCTTAACGAAGCCCGTCCTAATGAGAATATCAGTACCTCATTCAGTGATTGCCTTCACAAACCAGGCCTCTTCTTCAGATTTTGTGCTTGATTAGTTCCAGAGAAAAAAATTCAATTTAATAATTTTTTAAAGAGGGAGAAATAAGAGCCACAGCACTCGGTGTGGGGCCCCAAAGAAGACTTTTTTGACTGCCAGGGTTTCTCCTCCTTCCCCTGTATGATGCCAGACAAAGCTTGCTGGCAAGGAATGAAGGGCTTGGAAGGGATATTGGCATATGATGCTCTAATCGTGTTCGTACGTCAGCGTCTCCTCTCAGCCCTTAATTTCCTCTTCTGTTCCCTTTGCTACAATTCTTGAGCTCTAATGTGCATCTTACTTGGATGCCAAGATTGAGTCACAGCTGGAATGGTACAAGGGATAAGACCATGGTTACCCATTGTTCTCCCAGGGTTTTGATTAGAATTTGGGGCCTGTGATTAGAATTTTCTGTAGTGGGTCAAATCAGTTACCAGTTGGAGGAAGCTTATGAGCACAAAGCAATGTATACAAGTTTTGTTAACCTCTGTTTTCGACTAGCATTAAATGACTTGCACTGGGAATGGCCGTTGTCATCTTTTGGGTTCTAATGCAAAACATGGCCCGTGGGCTTTCTCCTGTCTTCTCCAAATCTATCAGCTAGCACAGTGTTTTTTGTGTGACCTGACTGTAATGAAGTTCCTAGTTTCCCTGAAAGTTAAGTCTGACATTTCTCCCCAGTCTGTTTATATGTGTGTTGTTATATTGTGGAAAATGTTTATTGTTCTTCTTAGGTCTCCCATCCCAGAACAGGGCTTACAGAGAACAAACAGACCAGAGTCTGTGTGCATTAGTGCCAGACTGTTCTCAAGGAAATGGTTGAGTGTCTGTACTCTCAGACTCTGAGGACAGTTGATTTCACTTTACATCTACCCAAGGCTGCAGATATCTCCACAGAATTTTTGCTGCCTGTGTCAAAATGACAACCTGACAAGTGTGACCCTCCTTGGCCATATTGGTTAAATTATTGTTTAAAATGTTGTATTTGGCCAATCCAATGATCAAGCTTAACTGGAGAAGATTGCAGGTATCTGGGACAGGCAGTGTAGACAGTACTAAGTGTAGACATTTAGGGATCCTCACTTGCATAACCTTGAGAGTTAGTTGTAGAAGCAAGGAAATCTGGGGTTTAATTGAAAGAAAATGGGAAGTTGAGTGATTAGAGCCCAGACCACAGTGGTGGGCTTCTTTCTATGTGACACGGTCATAAAACAACATCATTAATGTCAGTGGTTGAGTATTAGTTTGGCCTCATACTACTATGTAAACTTGGATAAGTTACTTTCTAAAAATGGAAATTATAATTTTTACTACTTATACTTATTGGTAGGACTAAATAAAATAATGAGTATAATTCATTAGGTGCTATGTCTGGCATGTGGTAAACACAATAAACAGTAGTTATCATTAGTATTACTTCTTTATTGTACCAGTATTCTAGGAATAAGGCAATGTGTGAATAGACTAACAGAATGAGGCAGGAGTTTGGAGGAAGAGTTAAGCACATGTAATGGGATTAACTGTAGGAAGGTGAGAAATGCTTAATTCTTTCATAGTGGTTTGTGGACTTTGAGATCATCACAAAACTAACCATCAGCTGTGTGATCTTTACCTCTCCCAGGCTAGGGACTGTGCTGCTGGAAATCCCACTGTAAAAGAGAACGGGGCAGGATCCTTGAATACTTGACTGGATCCTGTCACACCAGATCTCACGGCACTCATGAAAATCAAGTTGTACCTCTATATGTGGGACAAGAATATGATCAAGGCCACACTCCATGTGAAAGGCCTTCTACCTCCACCCCGACTCTCAGGCATCTCTGAATAGTGCAGCCTTTAAGGATCCATCTCAGTGTTAGCTGGAGAGGAAATGGATCTTCAGGGTCTTCCCTGGTTCAGATAGTGATACTGATGAATATGTGCCAAATTCAGAGAAATCTTGACATCTTGACCCTCTTTCCCCTCCTATTCCCAACTAACTATGTTATAGGCTGTTTACATCTGAAGTCACTGGAATTCCTACACATGCCCTGCATAAGGTCTTCCTGCAGTGACTAGTTTTTAATGCTGTTGATTTTCATGTACTCAGCCCCAGTTGCTACCTATGGAGCTATCAGCTCTCTGAGAACCTCTTTTCCCCCATTAAGCTGGGCTGCCTGACTTTGAGGAAATGGGAGAAAGAGGGATTAAACAACTCCTTTATGATCAGAGAAAAACAGGGATAAAGTCTAATGGTCATTAGCATATACTGCACCCGCTGCCTCTTCCGTTACTTGTTCAATAATTCCCTTAATGTTTGATCCTAATGGAGTAGATTATTGTTATTATTTTATTTCATCAAGATCACCTACTGCATAAAAACAAAGAAGAAAGGAGGAAAGGAACGTGGCCCAGAATAGACATTGAGCATTATCCAGCTGGCGATATTTATTTATTGGCTTCATGCTTGGCTTGTGAAGTTTTGAAGGGCTGGTGCCCACAGCCCATGGAGGGAGCCTGTCTCATGCAGCTCTGCCCATGAGTTGCTGAGACAGAGACCTGGAGTGCTTCTGCTTCCTTGTGGACCCTTTTATCTTCCAGCCTATCTGTTGTACATAATACACACATTTGTGCGTGTGCATGCACACTGATATCCATACACATGGGTTATATGTGGGGCCAGCCTCTTAACACATGATGCTGATTGGGGTGCCATCCATGATGTCATCTCTCAGAAAATTATTACGTCTACATCCAGAGGGATGAAGGACCTGAGCTCTCCCCAGGTAGCCTGATTCCTTACTGGTCTCCTACACTGCAGAGGTCTAGGTCAGTCTTTGGAATTAGGGATCTATGGGCTGAAAACCCAGCCCTTGATGAGCTGCTTCTCTGTCATCCTGCTTCACCCAGCCCTGCTTGGCCTTAACATTCTCGTTAAGGCAAACAACAGGTAACTGTAGCTACTAATGATGAGAGATCTCTAAGCAGCTCACAGACAAATGCACTCCTTTGCTTTTCTTTGGGATGACAGAGTCAAGGGTCTGAGGCAAGAAAAAAATCTCAAGAACGGAAAAAAGCAGTTCTATAAACAGAATCTGAAAGAGTACAACTTGAAATAGCCCAGGCTGACTCCAGCACACTAGCCTCCAACCACTGTCCCTGTAGGGCTTCAGGCTCTCATTAGACGAAACTCCTAAAGTCTCATACAGGAATTGAAGACAAACTTTCCAGATTAAAGAAGAAAGACGATCAAACCTAATGGTCTTAAAACTTTTAGAGCTAGGAGAAGCAAAATAAAACACAATTAAATTAAAAAGTAATTAAAAAGCTAGAGAGTTGAATTTCCTCCTGAGAAGAACATAGCCTCTTTAGGTTGGAAGGACTCAAATACCAACCTACTTAACCTTGGAAGACTCTTGGTCTTAGCCTTTGCCTCTTGTTTGTGGAAGGTTGCCTAGTCCCTATATTTACCCACCAATGGCATTTTATTGAGACAGAGTTGGGGGAATATCCTATTTCTTTCCTAAGCCTTGGATACTTGGTCCTAGGGGCATGGGGGAAGGGGATGCTGAAGCATCTTGAGGCAGCAATCAGCAGTAGTAACTGCCCCAGTGAGAGGTTAACAAGGCAGCGCGGGCTGGGCCCTGCCAGTGGGGCATGCAATTCATACCAGGAGCCCCAGAAGACATATTGAGGCCTCTTAATTAACTTAGTGGCCCGTGGCAACTGGAAAGCCTTTCCACACGATTAAAGACTTCAGAAAACCCCCAAGAGGAGGTAATCTTCCTAATAATTTATAAATCAAACTTGCTACTTAATATGCTTAAAGTGTTTTCACTTGCCTTTCATCTGCGAAGGAGATGGGCAGGGGATAATGGATTTCTATTCACCAACTACCACAGAAAAGAGAACCTGCCAGAGAAGCAAGGGCATTTTCTCTTCCAGTTTGGGCAACTCCTTCTGGCAGGAAAGGGATCTTCATGGTCAATAATGTGTTAACACAATTTTCATGACATCCACTCATTTCAGAGGTCTTTGTGTGCAATTGGGGAAGAGCGGATCTGCTTGTGAGGAGATCATTGGCTAACTGGGGTTGATGACCTGCTTCTAGTGGGCCAGCTCCATCATCTCCTTGGTCTGTGGTTTGTGACTTTGCTGGGCAGGAAGAATGCACATTTTATCTACCCTTAATTTACCAATGTAGAGCCATTTCCTGTTTGACAGGGATCAGTGTTACAATCAGAAAATTTTCAGATTGGAAGAGTCATGCATTTCTTACAATCACTGAATTTTATCAATGAAGGCTTGGGTTAGATTCAAAGGGGCTCTGCAATTTGCATACAATTACACAGCTGTTTAGCCCTGTTATTTTACTGGGGTTCTTCATGTTGCTAGTAATTTAAGTCTAGTTTTCCAGTAGGCTCCGTAGTATCACAGGATCAGAAGGGACCTTGAGAAGTTATCCAACTGCTTTATCCATTCCTTATCCCTGGAACATTTTGATTCTAGATTAGGATATGCCCAGAGTTTCCATGTGGGTTTGCACAGTTTTCTGTTCTTGTTCTGCCTCTTATAAAAGATATGAGTGATATCCAGAAAAACATATAAGTGATTGTTGCTGTATCAGAGAGAGGGTGTTTACCCCTGACCTTGGGTCATTGGTATTTAGACAAAACAGGAGACATGAGCTACCAAACTCTTGTATGTGATTCCTATTTTGTAACCACTATTTAATTCCTCAAGGAATATAATTTGAATTCAGTATGTCTAGTTGCCTTGAGGAGTAATTAATTCTGTCTCAGATTCCCTCTTCTTCTTACTCCTAAGGTAAAAGTAAGCTTTGAAATGTGAGCTGATTGATTGGCTGTAGTCTCTTGACAGATGGTAGCTGGAAGCATAATCTCAGCTTTTCCATTTCTCTGCCAAGGGTTCAGAAAGCCCAGGTGACTCTCTAAACTTGGTGACATTTAATAGATCCAGATTCTTTTATTCGAAGATTTATTGATTATGTGACACTGATTTGAGAAGGATTCCACTGGTCCATGGGGGTGTTACCAGAGTATTACCTCTAGCCCAAGATATCTTCATCTACCAGTTTCTTTGGTTTGAAGAAGAGAAGTAATGATGGGCCAGCACCTGTGATCTGTTTTTGTCTTCCTTTTATGCCTGTGTTTATCTTTAAAAACCAAATTATGTAGATTAATTTCTTTAACTAAAATATAAACTCCATGAGATCAGGAACCATACGTGTGTTATTCACCGCATTATCTTCATAACAGTGACCACTGAAAAAAAATGCCTTGCTAAAGTAGGTATCAGTAAGTGTTTATTGAATGATTTAGTAATAAATTGAATAAATGAGTCACCCAAGCAGCTGACTTATATAAGATTAGCTTGTAGGCACAGAGAAGATGACCATATTGAAATATATTGAAAGTTGATGATGCTTCTTCCTTTTCTTCCTTTTTTCTTCCTTCTCTTCCTCCCTCTTTGCTTCCCTCCTTCCCTTCCTTCTTTCCTTCCTCCCTCTTTATTTCTTCTTTCTCCTCTCCCTTCCTTCCTCTGTCCCACAATTATTGACCATCTGCTTTATGCCAGGCGCTGCGTTTTAACCTGGAGCTATAAAAGAGATAGATTAGACATGGCCTCTGCCCCATGGCCCCTGCCCCCTATAGTCTAGCAAATGAGATAGACAAGAAAATCAAAGGTAAATGTACTTGTGGTTAGAGTTATGTGGAGGGTTCTATGGAAAGTGCAGTGAGACTAGAGAAGGGTTAGCTGAAGTCGTGTCACTGAACTGACTTTGAAGGATGAGTAGGAGTTAGCTGAAGGAGGGAGGTATGACCCAGGACCCAGGATGAATATACAGGTCAGATAATGAGACAGTCTTGTGGTTGGTCCAGAGGACTGGGATAAGCATAAAGGAGAGATCTGCTTAGAATTTTCCATCCTTCGGCAATTACCAAAAATGTTATGTAACACATTGTTACATAAAAATTCTAAAATCTACAAATTATCTGACAAATCTCATACTATTCTCTTAAGTAAGTGCTGAAAATGTCAATTTCATAATAAAATAAAAGCTGACTTCATTTGTGTGGTATCTATTACAGCCAGTAGAAATGATTTATTGATTTTTAAAAAGAAAAATGTATTTTAAAATGCCACATTTTTTTGCAAGGAACTCGTTAATAGATGTGGGTTTCTCATATACCCCAAACACACTTCTAGTTACCAAATGTTAACAGTTTTGAGAAAAAAATCAATAGAATAATCAGAAAATTCATGCAAAGATGAATAATGAGCAAAGCAATTCCATGTTTTGCAGCCAGTGCTTACAGTCAGTGTTTCTTTTTTAATGTTCAGAGTTTACAACTTGTTACTTGTTGCCTGAATCCAGATATACTGTAATGTTTTGTCTTTGTTTTTCCAATGGCTATAAAAATTGGAGCTAACACAAATAAATGAAGAATACTTTCTGAACACAGCTAGGGTAAAACAGAAACTCAAAGCAAGACATGTGCATGTGAAGAACTTCTGTATGCTCTCTGTAAAGCCTTGTGTGTGTGATAACTGCCCATTCTGTTTCTCAGTGTGCTCATGAGCAGATGTTGAGTAGAGGTCTTTTTGGAGCTGAGAATCCAGAGGACAATTGTTGCTCCCAATAAGCTGTGTGAGATATGTGCATCTCGCCTTTCTCTTTTCGACTTGGCTATCAGGATGCTTCCAGCCATAGTCTTTGGCCTAGGGTTTCTTTCCATTCCATCTGCCCCCTTTTCATTTCGCTAGACTCTTTGAAAGGAAAATCCTACAGTATCCATGATATTTACTGAAACTGCTTAAAATTCTCTGCAAAAGTAGTAAGATTAAAAATAATGAAATTGGCTGGGCTCAGTTCCTCATACCTGTAATCCCACCACTTTGGGAGGCCGAGGCAAGTGGATTATTTGAAGCCAGAAGTTAGAGACCAGCCTCCCCGACATGGTCAAACCCTGTCTCTACTAAAAATACAAATATTAGCCAGGCATGGTGGTGCATGCCTGTAATCCCAGCTACTTGGGAGGTTGAGGTGAGAGAATCACTTGAACATGGGAGATGGAGGTTGCAGTGGGCCAAGATCACACCTCTGCACTCCAGCCTGGGTGACAGAGTGAGACCCTGTCTCAAAAAAAGAAAAAAAGAAAAAAAAGAAAGAAATTATCCAAGACCTATGGTTTATTGAAAAATGTAACAGTAACTGAATGTGAGCCAAGTCCTCACTGTAGAAGGACAGTTACCAAAGTGGCTAGACCCCTGCCTTTTCCTAGTGTAGTGGTGGGCCTATATTTTCTTCCTACGTGCTACCTGCTCAAGCAGGTAGAGCATTTCAGAGAAATTTATGTGTAGTGATTTTACAAATAATTATTACAAAATATTATTAAATAATGTCACATATTAATGTCACATCACATTACAGTATATTATTATTTATGTAATAGTCCACAATTAGTAAGCCATTGCAAAGTATTTTGACATCTGTCACCAATTTGAGTTACAGAAGCAGAGAACCCATACCACAACTTGAGTACCTGAGAATCCTTTTTCAAATGCTTGTGCTGAGTTTTACCTATTGGCTGAAGCTTATTCCTGGTAACTGATTATTAGAAAGCTGAGGTCGGCCGGGCACGGTGGCTCACACCTGTAATCCCAGCACTTTGGGAGGCTGAGGCGGGTGGATCACCTGAGGTCAGGAGTTTGAGACCAGCCTCAACATGGAGAAACCCCGTCTCTACTAAAAATACAAAATTAGCCGGGCGTGGTGGTGCATGCCTGTAATCCCAGCTACTCAGGAGGCTGAGGCAGGAGAATTGCTTGAACCTGGGAGGTGGAGGTTGCAGTGAGCCAAGATCGTGCCATTGCACTCCACTCCAGTCTGGGCAACAAGAGCAAAACTCCATCTCAAAAAAAAAAAAAAAAAAAAAAAAAAGAAAGCTGAGGTCATCCCATCCAGAGTCACTGACTCTAAGCAGAGGAAGCGTTTTTTACTAAAGCAAAATTAGAGAAGCTAAATATACTGGCTTAGCAAAACAAATCTTCTGTTCTAGCTCCCTATAAGTTATGTTTTTAAGAAAAATGAACATAAAATATTCTTAATTGAGTGTCTAGGCTCCACACATGGTTAAGAGAATTTTGGATGAACTTACCAAAATGGCCTGTGAGAAGAGCAGTGAAGGAAGATCTGGGACTAGAGCCAGTTCTGCACTGTCTAGTTCTGTAGTTTCTCTGAGCCTTGGTTTTTTCATCAGAAAAGGAAGGGGCTGAACCTAGAGATAGATATGCAATGGGTCCCTAAGTTGAAAGAAAGTACACATTTCTCATCTAAATTCAGCTCAGTTGAAGGCCTAATGGTATCTCTCAGGCATGTAGTGACACAAATAGTCCTGTTTAAACACAGATAACTTGAAATGTGAGTATCGTCTTTTTACTACCAACTAATCTTGGATTTGGATGCTTAGTAGGTGCTTACTAAAGGTCGTTTGTTTATGATAGCTCCTCCTTTGACCCACTGTCAGCTAGATGTGCATTTTGAATATTTGAAATTTGAGTATTTGAATAGTTACTCTTTTTTTCTTCCAGAACTGACAATGGGTCTGGATGTATTCATCCATACTCTCCTATTCTGTCCTCTTATGTTGTGCAAGATAGATGCCAGGGTGTAGATGTCTCTCCAGTGAGCAATGCTCATTCTGGGTGACTGCAGGCTAGTGCTTAAGAATATAGGCTGTGAAATAAGAGTTGTGGTCTCATTCCAGTCCCACTCCTCATTTGCTGTGTGACGTTGGGCAAGTTATTTAACCTCTGCGCCTCATCTTTTTCAAATGTAAAATGGGGAATTGAGTTAAAAGTGAGGAACCTTTTGAACAAGTATCTGGTACATGGTAAAAGCATGATAATGGACAGCTAATCTTGTTTTATTACTGCATAATATAGGGAATGAGTCTATGCCTCAGACCTCATCATAACCCTGTTGTGATCATCTGAAAGGAGAATTAGAGAGGAACAGTGGAAGGAGCTCCTAAAAAACCCTACATGAGCAAAAAACATAGTGTTTAAGCCATTCCTTAGAGATTGATGCTTACGCTACTCTTACAGCTCCTTAGGGAATAAAATTACCTCTCGTTTTCACTAGCTTAATTCAATGTCTGACAACTTCTCTCAGTTGGGAAGTTATTCCTTCTGTGTGGCTTAATTACCTATTGTTGCAGTTTCAATTTGGGGTGAAGGAAAAGATAGCACTGACTCTGAGATACAGGTTCTGCTAAAAAAAAATGTCAGGTTGGACACAAATACTCGCTGTCAATGAGTGGTACAGGGCTTAGTCATGCACTGTGGAGGCACTGTGTCTTCTAGGCAGTGTTCTGGGGGGTCCCAGGAGCTCTGTGTGTGTGTCTGCAGGGCTGCCAGGATGGATGGGAGTGGAGGTGGCAGTTAGCAAGGACCTAGAATACTTGGCTTTGGACTCATACCCATAATGGAACCTGAGCATGTTTATTCTTTCTCTATACTTGCATAAGAGCTTGCACCAGGAGAAAGGGTTCTGCAAAAAAAGAAATAATTGAAAACCAGGAGGTCAGCATACATCTGTCCCCAACAAGCCACATGATATAGGCTGTCACTTGGCAGCTGACTCTGTTGCCTCGTGTCTCTGCTCCTCTGTGCTGCCTGCTTGAAAGTGGCAGTGTGTGTGTGTGTGTGTGTGTGTGTGTGTGTGTGTGTGTTCCTTTGCTCACAGCGATGGTGAGAGGGGGAGGATAAATAGGAAGATTTTCAGGGAAAGAAATTTTATAAATCCAAGGTATAATTATTATGAGACTGGAAAAGCCCCCTTTAATGTATTTGGAGGCATACTCTTGACCTAGCTTTATGTGGGTGGGCCCTCTGGGAATTAGTAGCGGATTTTTATCTCTAGCTTATTTGATAGGGAGGTATGATTGAAGCCTAAGGTTGAGAGAAGAACCATTTGGCACATGCTGGCCTAATGAAATAGGTTTGGAAAGATATTGACCAAAATAAAGGGAGTGAATAGAGATTGTGCACGGGAAGATTTATGCCCACCGAGTGCCATGCAGCACCAAGCTTAAAGGCTGTCCCTCTAAATGCTGCCCCGGTGATGTCAAGGCCATGTGTTCAGTCTCACTGAGTTCTGCATCCTCACCTCTGGCAGTCGACAGAGTGGTGTCCTGATTTGTAAGGAATGACCTTCGAGGTGTTGGCCTTTGAGCACCAGAAGGTAACTCCTCCACCAGCCTGACTCCAGGACTTGGGTTTCAATCCCTTCCCCTGAGCTTTAGTAAGAAGACGGAACATCACTCAGGACTGTGTGGTTAAGGGAAAGCTGTGACCCAAAAGTCATGTTCAGATGATGAGATTCCTCCCCACACTTGGTGGTAAATTCCTGATGGATGTAAATTTCTATTCAGATTTGTCAATGGTTTTTCCTGCTGGGCCAGTTATTCAGATGGAGACATTTAAGGTTATGCTGAGAACAGCTTTGATTGTGTGAGATATATTATGCTAGGCACTTTACATAGTTAGCTAACCTAATTCTTACAACCACCCTGGGTGGTTAAGTGGTGTCTTCTCCATTATACAGATGACGTATCCGAGGTTTAGAATTTATAGGACCCACTGATAATTGGTGGAACCACTGTTAGAATCTATGATTGATGTTTAGACGTGAGACAGGAAGAAACCAGATGTCACCCCATATTGCTAAAAAAAATAAAGTCCTGAAACCAGCGTTATGTGTGGCAGATTTAACTTAATACATAAAAGCTCTCCCCTGTTTTTGCAGCTGAAATCACGCACACACACACACACACACACACACACACACACAGACTTGTTTCTTCAAATTGTTTGCTAAGCCCGAAGCAACTGGATCACTTGAAATGATGCACTGGTCATCCCAGCTCCATTTTTCTCTCACCCTAAATACCAGTCACAGTAGAATTTCCCTTTGCTGCTGAATGATGCTTGCTGTAAATGCTTAATACAGCTGAATGAATGAATGCATAAATAAGTGATGAATGGTGGTAGCAGAAGGAGCAGTGACTCTTTGTGGGAAGAGCCTACCCATCTTCCCACATCCATCTGTGGTCCTCTCTTCCTAGGGTGGCATGATCGCTCTGCTGCTGTCCATCTTGTGCCTGGTGATGATCCTGTATACTCGCCGGCGCTGGTGCAAACGCCGCCGGGTCCCGCAGCCCCAGAAGAGTGCCAGTGCTGAGGCAGCCAATGAGATTCACTACATTCCTTCTGTGCTGATCGGCGGGCACGGACGGGAGAGCCTGCGCAATGCCCGCGTGCAGGGCCACAACTCCAGTGGCACCCTGAGCATCCGGGAGACACCTATCCTGGACGGCTATGAGTATGACATCACTGATCTGCGCCACCATCTGCAGAGGGAGTGCATGAACGGAGGGGAGGACTTTGCCAGCCAGGTCACGCGCACCCTCGACTCCCTGCAGGGCTGCAATGAAAAGTCGGGGATGGACCTCACACCAGGTGGGGATGGGAGAAAGGCAAGGGGCTGTTTGGTCCTTCATCTCAAGGAGCTGGGGAGTGGGTAGGAACAGCTGTGTGACAACAGCTGGTTGTCCTACATAGTGTGATGTGGCAGTGCCCTTCCCTAGATAGGCAAGAATAACCTGTTTCCTGAGATGATGGGAGCTGTTTTCTAATCTAGAAAACCAGAAGAACCGTGTAAATTGGATCTTCTTTCACTTCCACCAGGCACTGGAAGCAACATACTTTAACGTTCAACAGAGGAGTGAGTTAGAGCCATTTTAGTATGTAATGAGCAACCCTCTGGGAAATGAGATAGCAAGAAAAATGAACATGTGTATATGACTTCTTGTATATTTTATACTTGCTTAGGCAATTTAATTCTCCATTGAAGCGGAGGGGACAGTGGTATCTGCTTTTTCCTATGACTCCTGAGAATTGGGCCTGGGGTGTTTTCTTTATGTTTATCTTGCTCATGCCTCTGTGCTCTCTACAAGGGATGCACTTCTTCAAAGAAAATGAAGGATTGCAATCATGGTATCAGACCCCAGATGCATTGTGTATCTATGGAGACACTGACTGGAAGAACTAATCCAGATGAACAAGATTAGGGTCAAAAACTGCAGAGAGAGAAAGACTGCACTCTTCCTTTACAGTAATCTGCCTATTTCTCTTTAAAACTTCTATGAATCAGCAAATCTCCATAGATAAACCCTTGACAGTGATCCTTCAAAGAACTGCCCAATTATCTTTGAGGAAGACATGTTTGATGCTGAATGTTGCTTACTATATATAGACTTTCAGTGGGGCTTGAAAAAGTGGAATCACATAGAGGTTTTTATTCTGCTTGTTCTCTACAAGACATTCTACATGAAGAGCCAATTTCTAATGAGATTTAAAGCCTGAAAATTCCTTGAGAATATGGGGGACATATCATCAACATCTCTTCATATTGACCATAACACCTGGTGTAGTGCTAAGCCCACAAAGTAGACATATGGTACTCAGGGGTTATTATCAACTCAAATGCCTTTAGGAGGCCAACAGATAACACAGATATTTGAAGCAGAGAAGAGGTCAGACAATACAGAATGGCGCAGACTGTGATGAAAGAGAAGGGGCATGTTCTGCCTGAATGCACACAAATTCAAATTCTTTTAAAACTCTGTGCTGACCAAAAATAAAGAAATCTGCAGTCTGTATTTAGCCAAAGGGTTACAAGTGCTGACCTTATCAATACAGAATATTATAATACATAATATAATAATAGTTGAATTGGATTTTCAGTTGTAGTTCCCTGACTTCACTGCTTCTCCCATAACTTTGCAGTCCCTCAGAAATAAAAAAGGAGTATTTCAGTTTCTTGCAGCCAGTCTCTCAGTTTGCTGGTGTCTTATTTCAATTCTGTGAGACCTTATCTTCTTGGTTTATGCAGATTTCCTTCTTCTCCCTTTCTTTTGGTCTTTTCTCTTAAAGTTTTTGCCTCGTCTTTTCCTTATACAGGAAGTGACAATGCCAAGCTGTCACTGATGAACAAGTATAAAGATAATATTATAGCCACTAGCCCTGTGGACTCCAACCACCAGCAAGCCACCCTTCTCTCTCACACCTCCAGCAGCCAGAGAAAGCGGATCAACAACAAAGCAAGAGGTATGCATGTCTGACATTAGGGCTCGTGGGTGGATTCCTTCATATTGGTAGAGGCAGGGCCATTAATATCTTCTACCCATTCTCTCATGCGTGGCTGGAGAGGGTATGCCCTGGCACAGCCTTTCTGGAGGCCAGTTAAATGCTACTTACCAAAAAAATGTAAATGTGCAAACCTTTTGACCAAGTAATTTCACCAACAAGAGTCTATTCTTAGGAAATAATTGGACAAGTGTGCAAAGAAGTGTGTAAAAGGCCGTTCATCACAGCATTGTTTAAACAAGTGAAAAATTGGAAATAGCTTAAATGTCCATCAACAGGGAATTGGTTAACTACCTAGCACATCTGTCTGCTGTCCAGCACTTACCATGCAGCCATTTGAAACAATATAGATCTATATTTGTTAATATGGAAAGTTGCCCACCCATCTATTAAATGGGAAAAAAAATGAAGTTATAAAATAGAAGATACAGCATAATGTCATTTTTAAAGAGAGATTAAAAAACCTTTACCTGTTTCTGTGTCAGTAAAAGCCAGAGAGTATACACATGAAATGTTAGCAGAGTTTATCTCTGATTTAAAGGATTTAGAGGGCATTAGAATTGTTCCCTTTACATAGTTTTGTGCATTTCCTTTATTCTATTCTGTCTTTTTTGTATTAAATATATATAATTCTAGAGCCAGAAAAAACACAAAGATGTAATTTCCTATACCTCTTAGATAGTCTCATATTAACAGAATCATAACCTGTAATGAGGGAAATTTCCCTTTCTTCCTATTCCACCCACTTTCCCTGGAGGTCCTCTCTGGCAGATAGGTGCCAGAAATGGCCCTAGTCAGAGGGAAGTGGGTGGGGCAGGGTAGAGCTCCAGTGATTGCTGTCCCAATGGTCTACTTCTCCAACATATCCGTGTATGAGGAAGCCCCAACCCCCTTGGCTATTTCTCCCAGATTATCAGTCAGCTTACTTTCATTTTTGTTGATTTTCCCATTGAACTTGCCCAAAGGTTTGGTGTCATGAAACCAGAACTGAAAACGCTTTCTTGACCATGCTGCTTTCATTACAGCTGGTTCCGCCTTCTTGAACCCTGAAGGGGATTCTGGCACAGAGGCAGAAAACGACCCCCAGCTGACCTTTTACACGGATCCTTCAAGGAGCAGGAGGCGTAGTAGAGGTAGGAATGATAGAGGTGGCAGAAGGTGGTAAAGGATCTGGGAGTGAGGGAGGCGGGGGAAGGCGAAGAGGTGTTGGGTTGGGTTGTGGGCTCTATGGAACAAAACCAGTTTCTGCAAGAAGAATTTTTGGACCACAACTGGTGTTTCCTCCTAAGGAAGAAAGAAGAGCCTAGAGTGGAAAATTTCAGAGAATCATCTCTCCCAGATAATGGCACTCTCAAACAAGTTTCCAAATTGTTTGAAAGGCTATTTCTTGGTCAGATGACTCTCAATTTCTTCTGGAAGACTCAGGAGTCATATTTTGCTGTTCAGACAAACAAAGTTAATAAAGTGTGTTGTATGTGAAAAGATGGATACTATATGTACCCCTGCTTCCTCTACCACATTGGCCTTGGGTTTGAGCTAGGCAAGGATTGGGGGCAGTGTAGTTGAGGAATGATCTATGGCCTGAAAATCTGTGTAATTGTCTTTGACCTTTAAGCCCCTGCCTGGTAGAATCACAGGACCCCGAGCCTCCCAGTTCCTTCCTTTCCCCTGGCAGGGTTAAGGTGGCTAATCCATTCTCCTCCACGTGGACAGAGCTGTCCTTCCACGCAGCCACTGTGTGCCACTTCACTGTCATGATCAGTGGCTTCAACTGTGGCTATTCCGGCCACAGCTCCCACTGCCTCTGACTTCACTTGTATCACCACCACACCAGCGGAGTTCGGAGCACAAGCGCCGGTCAGCTTTACCAGTTATTTGCTGTGTGGTACTGGATAAGAACAACAAGTTCTCTGACCTTCAGTTTACTCACATGTCAAATGAGTTAACAATACCTTGTGCGTAGAACATAGAGCTTTATCAGGATTAAATTATATTAAAATGTGCCTTTTTGGAGATTGCTAAAGCACTATGAAATCCCTATTGTTGCTGTTAGAACTCTCCATCATGCAGCCCCATATTTATACAGTGCCCCATCTTAAAGAATTTTAGGCAGCGTCCCTGTAAGATACAGTAGAGGATATTTGAGTGGCATCTCCTTGTAATACATTCCATAACAATTTCCTCAACCAATAGTCAACCAGTGTCTCCTGAAAGACATATACATTTTTATTCTCTCGTACCTCCACTTGAATTCCCTTCATAACAGGTGTTCTTCCCAGAGATTTGAAGAAGCCCTTTTGATTATAAATTCCAGTTTCTATAGGCTTAACTACTATCAGTATAATAAAAGTTTTTCCATCATTTTTCTCAAGAGATCATTGTGGCTCTGGGTATTCTAATATTGAATGGCCAGGTTCTGTGAGGCGAGAATGTGGATTAGGGTCTCCCAATCTCCCTTGATACTTATTACAAATTTTAGACAGTGGATACCCAACCTAGGCCCAGCTAATCCAGGCCTAATCAAAGCAGGGTGTGTCCTGCTTTAATAAAGTCTTGTTTCAGAAAAATCCATGGTAATGAATTAGTTTCTCGACAGCATGAAACTGTTCCTTTTAAATACCAAGGTCTCCTAATGCATCAACTTTTTACGCTATTAACCAGACTGTAAGCTTCTTAGGGGTGGGGAATGCCTAATTTATTTTTCCAAAGTGCCTAGTGAAGGATTTTTCCTGTAACAGATGCTTGTAAGTGTTTGTTGAATTGGATTGGATATATCCATCAGTGCAGCAAAAACATTTTATAACCCACCTGCTGTGGGTCAGGTTTGTGATAGGTGGTAGAAACATGAAAATATGGCCCAGTGATAAGGCTTAATTTAATAATATAAATAAAGTGAAGAGAGTACTCAGAAGAGAGGACAGTTAATCCTACCTGAAAGCAATGGGAGGCAAAAAAGGAGAAAGTAATTAGAACTAGGTTTTATATATATGTATATATACACATACACACACACACACACACACACACACACACACACACACACACACACACACTGTACTGGGTTTCTCAAAAGAGGAGAAGAAGTCTAGGATAAGGGCATTTCAGTAAAGGAAAATGGCACATAAAAAGCCTTGAAGGGACAAAAGAACATGGTGTTTTAAAGGAAGTAAAAGTCGTTCAATATGGCAGCTGTCATCAAGTTATAAATATATACGCACACGAGATGGTAAGGATGAGGCTGGAAAATGGCTAACAAAGGACCATGCACATGCCATGTGACTGAGTTTCTGCTTGCCTCAGTGGGGTGTAAGGAACCATTGGAGGTTCTGAAACCAGGTAGAGATGCTGGATTATGGGTCGATGATGCAGAAAGACCATAGAGTCAGGAATATCCGTAGCAAGTCATTGAAATCACATGAGAGCAGTGGCAATTGCCTGTAAACAGTGATGATTCTATGTGATAAGAGCTCTAACAGCTCTTATCACACCTTATAGCACCAAGGGCTAGAACACCAAGGAATCAGTGAGAATCTGTTCTTGGAGGTTTCAGGGAAGTGTTTACAGGGAGATGTTGTTTGAGCTGAGACTTGAAGAGTAGGTGTATACCAGGCTGACAAGGTGACAAAATGGCCTTCTGTGGAGGAGGAAATAATCTGTGCAAAGTCACTGAGACATAAACTATGATGGTCTTGTCAGGGAGCAGTAAAATGTTTACTAGAATAGAGCTTAGGGTGCAGGTTTGTGGTTTTCTTAGGAAATAATGTTAGAAGATCAGCAGAAGCCAGAAAGTACATGAGCTTGATTCCAAGGGCCTTGGACCTGACAAAAGAGCAACATCCTGGTCTGCTCTGCTCCATGAAGGATCCTCCCAGGGACAACATGCAGGATAGGTGACAGCAGGGTGAGCTTGAGGCAGGGGAACAGGTGGATGGCTTCTGCTTCAGTTTAGATATAAGATGATATGGGTAGGGAGGGATGGAAAGAATGGAGGCCAGATAAGTTTTGGACACAAAATGAGAGAAACGCAAATCAAAACTACAATGAGATATCATCTAACCCCAGTTAAAATGGCTTTTATCCAAAGACAGGCAATCACAAACACTGGTGAGGATGTGGAGAAAAGGGAACCCTTGTACACTGCGGTGGGAATGTAAATTGGTACAACCACTATGAAGAACAGTCTGGAAGTCCCTCAGAAGACTAAAAATACAGCTGCCATATGACCCAGCAATCCCACTGCTGGGAACATACCCTAAAGAGACAAAGATTTAATGGCATTGGTGAGGGCAGGGTGGGGGTGTGGCTTGTAAGCAAGAGAAAAGAGTTGGATATAATGGAGTTTTTAAATTTGAGCAACCAAATGTGTGGCAGTGCCATTGGCTGGGCAATGGAAGTAGTTGGAGGAGCAGGGTTTGAGAGAAGGTGGTGAGAGGAGGTAGTGAGGTTTTGAGAGAAGGTGGATCTGCATCTGAGGCCTGGGCTGGGCTGGAAACCTGTAAGCGTAGGAAAATAGACTGTATTATGAAAGGATAGTAACATGCACAGAATATTTCCATCTATCAAGGACAGAGGACCCAGAGACTACCTTCTGCCCTCAAGTCTCTCCTTTCCAGCTACTGCCAACACATGCACCCAGAGGAAACTGCTCCCCTAAAGGACAAGTATATCCATAAACCAAAAACTCATCCCTGTGTTCCTGAGGACATCAGTTCCAAAGGCACCACTGGGCCCAAAGACTGAGTAGTGCATTGTTCCTGTGTCCTGAAACCTCACCTGGATCTGCATTTTTATCTGGCTCCACACCTTAGTAGTTTCCTGGGACTAGGCATGCTCTCCAGCCTCTCTAACCCTCTATTCCTCCAGGGGAGCTGCCTCCTAAGACTGGGGACACTAGTCAATGATGCGAGCCACATCAAACCCTGAGCACTGGAGCCTGACACACAATCATCACTTCATAAGTGTTAATTGCCACAAGGAGCGTCAACTCTTACAGATCTATTTTCCTTATCTGTAAAGTGGGTGGTTCCCATACAGACTCATAGGCTTATTGTAAGAAAGCAAATATTAAAAATAAAATAAGGTACGTAAAAAAACTCAGCACAGTGTCTGCCTTAATGGAAACCTTTTATTGCTATCAATAATAAGTATTAACACAGAGCAGAAGAAAATTCCAAAAGACCCACACATTCTGTCGTCTTGCTTTCTTACTTTCCCACATCTGTTCTGCTTCCATAAGCATAAGGCTCCCCTGCTTAATGGCATTTCGTCTTCTCCCCAACAGGAAAAAAAAAAGCCAAGAAACAAAAAATTAAAAAAAAATAACAATGGTACAAAAAAAATAAAGAAACAAAACACTCTTCCCTCCCTATCCCTATTTCCACCTCCCCAGGAGTGTTTCTTAATCCTCAGCAATGATTATTTCCTCCAATGATTCCAGGACTGTGGAGAGCATCCTGGTGTGACAATGTTGTCTGCTCATACAGAGCAGACATTCCTCATTTTCCTCATTCCAGGTCCCACAGAGTAAGAGTCACTTGGTAGGAGTCTTGCCCATAGAGTAAGCACAAGCTCTTCCAGCTCAGGAAGTTCCTCCTGGAGCAGCAGTGTGCACTATGGGGGTGGAGTTGCTCTGTGCAGAATGCCCTCTGTGAAGAGCGATGGGAGGTATAGTGTGGGATTAAAGCATCCCGCCCACCCTTGGCAAAAGCCTGGAGCTTAGTAAGGCGACTAGGGAAGAGAATGCCCCCTCTATGATTTCTCCTGTGAACTTGGCCCAGGAAGAGTGAAAATGGCCAACAGACTATTATTGACCTGGAGGGCCACCAGTTGGCCAAGTCCCCTCTGACTCCAACTGATGGCATGGTGTCTGTGAGGAAGAAGGTCACTGAGGTCATGCAGCCAGAGACAGTTCCCTCCATGGGCTAGTTTTGCCAACTGTCTCCCCTGTTTGCCAGGATGATTGGCAAAAAGCCAAGTTGGACTCTCAATGCCAAGCTTTTTACCACCATGTATCTTGCTTTTGTCTCACTTTCAGTGGGTTCTCCCCGAAGTCCTGTGAATAAGACCACCTTGACCCTGATCAGCATCACCAGCTGTGTGATTGGCCTCGTGTGCTCCTCTCACGTCAACTGCCCTCTCGTTGTCAAGATCACCCTGCATGTCCCTGAGCACCTGATTGCTGATGGTGAGCCTGTTCTTCTGAGGATGCGACCTTGCCCCCCAAAAAGGAAAGTTTTCTGGTTGGGCAAAGGCTAGAGAAGACAGGAGTCACTGTTACCTATTACTCTACCGGGGGAAAACCAAACTGAAATAAGTAAGGATGAGGATACAATTGTATTGCCCATAGATGAACTTAGAACACAGGTTAAAAAATAAACTAAAGTGATCACCTCTTCTTCTCTATGCCATCTCCCATTTTTGTTTGTTTTTAATACGTCTCTGTCTTTGAGAGAAATGCACAGCCCACTGGCTAGAGGAAGGAAGGCACCAAGACTCCCTTAGCCTTTGAAAAGGAAAAAGCTAAGTGGAGTAGTAGAGGTGTTTAAGAATTAGCCATGCTTTGGTTTTGTATGCCTGGGTGAGAAATTCCTAATTGCAGTAACTTGCTGTAAGCCTAGAACTCAGAAGTAATAATTTACTTTCATCCAGGGGGACCCCAATATAATGAGGGAGTAATATAGGTTCTGAGAGTCCCTGAATCATTTAAGCCCAGAGCACCTAATTGACTTGTTAATGTCTGTTCTCTGAGTTGCTGTAAGGCTGGAAACAGGTGGGGACTGTTCACGCAGTGTTAGAGGGCCTGCAATTCTCATAGCACGTGAAGACAGGCAGCAGCCCCTGTTCTTTGGAGGAGTGCCAGTGCCTGTGGCTGGGTCTGATGGAGCCATGCCATGGCCATCACAGGGCTCCTCTGTCCCTGTGTTCCTTAGGAACTCCCTGGAAAGACGGAATGGAGCAAGGCAGCAGGGGACTCCATTGCTGGAGAGTTCAATGTCTGGCCTCACAGAGGTCCAAGTGATGGCCCAGCCTCTGTCTGCTGATCCCTTGCTCTGGGGCTAATGATGGGCTAGGAATGGTGAGAGTTAGGATCTCTGATTGGTACTAATTCTCAGGTTGGGATTTCCTTGTCTTCGGTGGCTTGTGGACGTGTGCTGTGTTGCACATATAGGCATGCTTCCTTTCTCTCACCCTGCAGGGAGCCGCTTCATCTTGCTGGAGGGGAGCCAGCTGGATGCCAGTGACTGGCTGAACCCTGCCCAAGTGGTTCTCTTCTCTCAGCAGAACTCCAGCGGACCCTGGGCCATGGACCTCTGTGCCCGGCGGCTCCTGGACCCCTGTGAACACCAATGTGACCCCGAAACTGGTAGGCGGGAGCACCGGGCAGCGGGTAACTGTCAGAGAGATCATGCCTCTTGCAATCACTCCCTTGAAATTCAGACCATGCCTCCCAACTCCCCGTCCCACTGCCATCTCGAGCCTAGACCATGCGGACTGCCTGCATGTGGTTGGGCCGCAGAGCTTATTGGCTAAAACTGTGGTCATTTTCTGGCAGAAGACTTGGAAGGATACTAACTGTAGTCCCAAGCCAGAAAACTCAGTTTTAGGATGACTTCCATAACCCATTTATCCCATAGTCAGGGGATATTTAAATACTGGGGCTAGACATTTTATGATGATAAAATTAATGCATGTTTATTGTAGAAAACTTTTTAAAAATTAGAAAAGTTTATAGAAGAAAATGATAATCATCAATATTTCTATCTCCTGGATAAGTCACTTTTAAAATTTTAATGTCCTCCCTTCCAGTCTCTTTACTATGCATGATTTTTAAGGGCTTCCTAGAAGCATACTAAGTCTAGTAGAGTTCTCCTGCTTTTTTCACTTAACATTCCATCATAACTTTTCCAGAATCATTAAATAATCCTCAAACACATAATTTTAATGGCCATTTGGTATTCCGTTGTATGTCTATATCATAGCTCATTTAAACAGTCCCCTATTATTTGACATTTAGGATGCTTTAAATTTTTATTTTTATAAATACTATTAAAATGAACATCTTTACACATAAATGCTGGACACATTTGAAGTTATTTTCTTCAGATAAATCTTAGTGAGAGAGTACTGGGTCAAAGAGTAGGAACGTCTTCAAGTCTGTTATACTATCAAATGGAGCTGGGGTTTCCCTGAGGGAGGGTTCAAATTCTAGTGTGGCATGAATTAGAGCTCTCCCATTGCTCCTTGGGTTCCAACAAAGCCAGGAGCATGGATCTCTTATTTCAGTTTGCTTTGCACTTTCACTGAAGAAGACATTCACCTACAGTAGTCTCTATGATGGCTTGTTTTTGGTAAATTGAGTACCACAAATAGATCCTTCCCAAAGTAGTATGATCCCTTAGAGCAAAGGAAAGCGTTAAAGTGATATCTAAGATTCCCAAGCTAAACGTTGCTGGAGTTGGGGCCCAAACCCTGAAGCTTTTTGTACAGCATGTGCAGCCACCCCCCGCCAACCCCCTCTACCCCAGCCCACCACACTCGCATCTTCTTCAGGTGCTGAGGTAGAGAGATCTTAATAGAGGATGAGTCTAAGATATCTAGCCCTTACTTCTGTTATAATCTATGACTAGATCCCTCTGGGAGAGTAGCAGGTAACTGAAACATCTAAAATTCACCATCTTAGGTGTTAAAGTTGTTTTATGTGGGCCCATCACAGAGATTCTAGGCCCCCATATGGAGGAGAAAGTACAACATTTTAAACATCTGAAGTCTAAGACTGTGCTTACTTGCTGCTCCTCCCACGCTGTCAGGCAAACACCAAACCAAACAGATGGGCTGTGTACCATGCCCAAAAGCTAGTATGCTTGGGAGAAATTAAAAAGAGCTAATCTCAGAGGTGGGGGCTCTCCATGCAACTGAGCTAGTCTCTGGTACCCTAGTTCTCCAGCTGGCTTGGATTGGAAGGATTTGGGACAATCTCAGTTGTTAAACTCACTTCTGAGAGAAGCTTGATCCCCGGGGGGAGCTTTGGATGCTCCTACTTGGATTTTAAAGAAAAGGAAGCACACCTTCAGTTACATGTGAAAAGAAGGGATTGGTGCTTTAGGCTTGGAGGGGTCTCAATGATAAACTGCCTCTATGCTTTACATTCACATTTGAATTCCTTAAGAAGTTACACGATTTGCCCAAAGTCCCACAGCTACCTAAAGCAGAGTCTGTGTTTTATTTATCATGAAATCTGCAAAGGTGGGATTATAAAGGTTGCTTAATTTCCCCAGACATGTCAGATCCAACATAGTTGTCATTCAAAACTATTTAAAAAACAACCATTACTAAGCATTACTGTTCCATGTGCCAGGAAGCTGCTTGTCTACAGCAAAGCTCTCCCATCAACTCTTCAGTCCCTTCCAGATGTCTCATTTCTAATCCCTGCTGAAAATGACTTTGGGAAGCCCCTCCCCTGCTAATAGCTTCTCAATGTCTGTGACCATGAATGAATTTCCTATTGGAAAGACACAGAGGAAGACTAAAAATAATCTCCCAAACCCCAAGACAAAACTAAGGTGCAGCATCTTCATTTTGGATAGCAGCTGAGAAACAATACTGCAAAGACTCTCATTTTCATGAATGCTGGAATTGGAAAGCATTGGTGATGTGGTCATCCCACATGCTCATCAGTAAGAAACTTTATCGCCTCCCACACTCTATCCCAGAGCCTTTCTCCAAAGAGCTGAGTGTGGGAATTGGCTTCAAGTCAAGTCGACGTTATTTTTGAAATCCTCTAGCTAGCTTACTTGGAAATGTCATAGTGTTGGGACATGTGCTTTCCCAGCCATACTGAGGGGTCTGCCCATATGGATGCATGGAGCTGTGCAGTGCACTTGTGTACTTTTACACACACACACACACAAACACACAAACACAGATGCTCAGTCACTGCAAAGGAGCAGCCTCCTGGTGCCAGAGCTCTCCTCAGGCATCCTTCCTAAGAGCATCCCCAAGTGAGTCTCTGTTTACCTGTCACCTGCACCATGCTTCAGAACACCAGGTGTGAGAGACACAATAATGCACTCCCAAAAATGTCCACATTCTCATCTCCAGGACCTGTGAATGTGTCACGTTACATGGCAAAGGAGAATTAGTGATGCATATGGAATGGAGGTTGCTAAACAACTGGCTTTAAAACAGGGAGATTTGGGGGGAAGATTATCTGAGTGGTCAAAATGTAATCACAAGCATTCTTAGAAGTGAAATAGGGAGGCAGAAAAGGAGGTCAGAGTGAGGTGATGTGAGGAGGACTCAAGCAGCCATTACAGACTTTGAATATGGAGGAAGGAGGCATGAGCCAAGGAATGTCAGCAGCCTCTAGAAGCTGGAAAAGGCAAGAACACAGAAAATAGATTCTCCCGGGTGCCTCCAGAAGGCAACATAGCTCTATAGACGCCTTGATTTTAGCCCAGTGAAACTCATGTTAAACTTCTGGTAAGATAATAAATGTATGTTGTTTTAAACCACTTTCTTTGTGGTATGCTTTTACTGTAGGAATAGAAAACTTATACACTAAGGAAGGAGAGAAAAGATAGGCCAGGCGTGGCAGCTCACACCTATAATCCCAGCACTTTGGGAGGCTAAGGGAGGCAGATTGCTTGAGCCCAGGAATTCAAGATCAGCCTGGACAACATGGCATAAACCCCATCTCTAATAAAAATACAAAAAATTAAACAGGCATGGTGGTGCAACACCTGTAGTTCTAGCTACTCAGGAGGCTGAGGCAAAAGGATTGCCTGAGTCTGGGAGGTCGAGGCTGCAGTGAGCCGAGATTGCACCATTGCACTCCAGCCACAGTGACAGAATGAGACCCTGTCTCAAATAAATAAATAAATAGAATAAAAAGACAATACAAAAATAGAAAGAAAAAGCATTGTTTTGCTCCCTCTTTATATCCTCCTTGTGCAATTTATAGACTTTTCAAAGATGTATCAGGAATCTATGGAAGAACTGGAGCTGGAGAATACTTGCTGATCTGTTTTTCATTCCAGCCTCCCTCTGTATTTCTATTCTAGCAACATGCTACCTGGGAGGGATGTAATATACCTAGAGCACTCAGCCCAATGCATGGGATATACTCAGCACTAGCAACTGTTCTTAAGATCATCAAGTGCCCAAAGGCTTTCCAATTTGAACTTGGATGCACTTGAGAAATGGTAGGCTGGTACCCCAAGGTATGCCTGCCATTCCCAATCTTCTGCTGAGCACTGTGACCTCTTCTAACAGTTCTCATTCTATAACAATTTATGTTTTTATCATTTGGCTGTCTGGTAATTCAGCATGCATGTAAATTAGGTTCATTGCATTGACAATTTCAGAAAGCCTACTGTGTGCCCTTCCAGGTCAGGGGAGACCAGTGGGAAATACCTAGGAAAAAAATGGTTTTCGGTAAAAATAAGGATAGGTGATGTTTGAGAGCTCACTGTGTGTCAAGCATTGTGCTTTACTTAGATTACGTAATTGGAGCTTCACTGTAACACTATGAAGTAGATGGTACTCTTATTCCCATTTTACAGAGTTGTTGACTTATCTGCCCAAGATCACTTACCTAGTTAATGACCTAGCTGGACTTCAAACTCAGGCTGCCTGACTCAGAACTCACACTCCTGACCATTATTCAAACCTGTCCCCACTGCTCAAGCTGCAGGAAAGGAACTAAGACAGAAGGCTTAGAATTGTTTCACTTCTATGTGGCTGCAGCAGAGCCCCAGCCCCCTGATGCTTTGCTGTTAGCCCCCTTTGCCAACTGCACCCTGACATTCTCTCCCATATGTCCCCAGGTTTGTAACCCCAGGTGTGCCTCTGGTTAAGTGGGGCTAACAGCAAAACACTAGGGCTGCATGGCTTAATGCTCCCTGGATCCAGCCAGAGGTTGACTTTCCCTGCGCTTTGCAAGGGTTTTTTTGTTATGGTTGTATGTTTGTTTGATTGTTTTGGTTTTGTGTTTTTGATGGAGACACAGACTACCTGGTTTCAGTGACCTTTCTCTTTCCTCTCTCCCTGGCCTTCATTCTGCCATATGGACAGCTGTTGGCTTCACACACCTGCTTTATTTCACAGCCCCCATCAATCCTGGCCACAGACCCCTCATTGCCCTTTTCAAGATATGTAGCTTTTATGGTTCTGCAAGGAGCATAGGCTTCCCAGCTAAATTAAGTTTTAATCTTTATCCAAGACGTTCACTGAAATCTCTTCTGTCCCAGGTCTTTCCATAGGCCAGACCCAACCATGTGGAAATGTGTAAACCTGTTGAGGGGCATTCGACCCACTTCCCAGACTCAAACCAGCTGCCCTCTTCTTTGCTTGCTCTGAACCGCTGTCTCTCTCTCTAACCTTCCCTGTTTTTGTTTGTTTGTTGGTTGGTTGGTTGGCTGATTGGTTGGTTTGGATTTTTACCTAATTTGGCAGGGTAGCTCAGTCCCGATTTTGTTCCTGATACCTGGATTGCTAACACATGCTACACTCCGTTCTGTAACTCCATTAAAGCACCTTCCTTTAGGATGTTCTTTTGGCACACTTCCCTCTGACTCCCTTCCCAGAGTTGCTTGGGGCTATTTGACCCTGGACTTGCCTCCTTTCGATGTCTCTGCTGGGAAGGGAGATCAAACAATTAGATAATACCCAAGTCAGATATCTTACAAAGATTTCCCTTTTTAGAAGGAGCACACCCAATTTTATTTCATAAAAGCCAACCCCTTCCTGAAGCATAGAAGCGGTTGAGGGCATTTGGCCTTAATCTGCATTTTCCTCATGGAGAACTTATGGTGAGCCCAGCCATGTCTGAGGACCCCTAGCTTCAAGGTTTTTCTTTAATCTTTGAATGAGATTTATGCCTCAGTCCTTCAGCTGTAGAATGGGAAGTGACCAAAAGCACTGTCCATCATCCAAGGTACCTCGAGGCGTCTACTGTCAGGGTACCAAGCACAGATCAAGTGCAGCTGTCTCCAGACCCTGCACCAACTACCTTTCAGGGCCTTTTCTTTTTCACAGTGTGGTTGCATGAGTGCTCCTGCAGGGCACACTCTGTCTGGCTGGGCTCTCCTCCGTACCATGACACGTCTCTCCGTTGGAGTCCTATGTACACCACCATGGAGTCGGCGCCTCATGCGTTCCCACCATCTGTCACAGCAGATGCAGAGACTGTAACACTTCTAGCTTAGGAGGGCATCCAACACCCTTGTGGGGTCTTTAAAATTCACAGCTAACAGTCGGAGCCTGTGCTTTCACGAAACCCCTCTTAAAGTCAAGATTTAGCAGTTGGTTGCCATAGCAACTTCCCCCATCAAGTCTGAAATCCTTTCGTTGGAGATGGCCAAACTGGTTTTGTGGAGGAATACAGACGAGGAATGCTTGGTGGGTTCCAGAAATAAGGATCCTGTGAGAGGCAAATTTTGGAGATCCCCAAAACCTAGCATGATGTGTTTGAAAATTTCTCTGTTTCTTGGACTTTGGGCTGCATCTGCCATTATGTGGAGGAAAGCTTTATTGGTTGTCGGCAGTATGTCCCCACATTGTAATGAGTGACGGAAGCCTCATAAGGAGATAATGACTACGAAGGCAATTTCAGAAGGTAAATGTGCTATACAAATGGTAGGTATTGCTGTCATTAGGAAAATAAGGCTCGGCTTGAACTTTGAGTTGTTACTGCATTTATTTTTATATGTTTTGTGGTAACTAGATATCAAATGTGAAAGAGAACTCCCATTTTTGTCAATCCCTAATTCTAGGCAAGGCGTCTAGCCGAGACCATTCTAAGAGTCAGAGTGATGGCTTTGACAAACTCCTAAGGTTACTTCCTGCTTCTAAATATGCCCATGGCTAATTGTCCACAGAAGGACAACCAGGAGAGTGTCTTTCCCGAAAGGAAAAGTATATTTGAGACCTTGACCTATTAACTGGCTTACATATCTGCATCTTGGGGGTGAGGTGTAAATATCTGTAAATATAGGGCAAATCCTTTAATTAATTTATTTTCTACTGCACAGTATTTGTCAAAGACCTACTCATATGGGGGAAGACTAACCTCGTTCCTTGTTTCTGCCCTATGTATCTTATAGTCTAGCATCCGTGCTTTCTTTGGAATTGAGAAGGTGTGAAGCCTTCTCAATGAAGCCAGGCTCCTGGTACTCTCTTCTTTTGCCCTCCCCAGTAGTTGCCTTCTTTATCTTTCCTTTTCTCAAATAAACAGCCTTCATCCACAAACCTTATCGTCAACCATCTAATTTAAAGCTGTGTTTTTCTATTTTTGGCTCAGAGCTCCCTGACCATTTCTAGATATAGCTCAGTACCACTGAAGCCAATAAACTTGAACCTACTGTGGATCCAGCCCATGTAGAAGCCAGAATTCACCATGCAGGAGACAATGTCCTGATCAAATACTCCCTGTGGGCTTTTTTTTTTTTTTTTTTACAAATGAAGAGGTTTTCACTCTACTTCTCAGAACATTGAGCTGAACTGCTGTGGGGGACAAAAATGGTGTGATCTGGTAGTGAGGCTCTGATGGACAGCCGCTTGTAGGTCAATCTTGAAATGAATGGCTAAGCTAAGATGCTAAAAAAAGCTCTTGCTCAGGCCCTATCCAATACCTTCCCCCTTAACTGTGAGGCCCCTTCACTTCGTTTTTACTGGATTTTATCTTCAGAAAAGAGAAAATAGCACTCAAAGCTATTATTCTATTTATATCATCTTAAAGTGTTTCTTTCTGGGGAGATAAAGAAATGGTATGCCCATCATTTCACTAGGGCATGGCACCTTTGTTATTTACAAATTTTGGAAAGTCACACTTTGTTCTTTCACAAGGTATAAATTAAGCAGACATTTAAATAGTAGGAACTAGTGTTGTAGTGTAACTGGCCTCAGTAGTTTGGGCTACATCTCATTGCATAAAGAATTATTAACATAATGAAGCAGCAAAAATTTTCTTCAAAATCGGTAGTAAATAGAGCAATGATTCTTAATCTTTTGGGGATCTTGGATTTACTTGTAAATAAGATGAATGTTATGGGACCCTGCCTCAAAAAAAATGCATATACACACATATACAGTTTTGCATGAAATTCCAGAAGATTCATGGGTCCCTTGGTATACTAATGGAATAACAAATTATAATGAAATGTAGTGATATCCTAAATAAATGTGGAATTGTAGATGATTCTTCTGGTGACCCACTCCCAGATAATTAATCATTTTTACTTAAAAGCTAAAACCCAGAGTTCCTTTAAAACCATAATAGATGTAAGAGGCCTCCTGTGCATATAGTAGTTGTTCTATGAGCTAGCAGCCTGGCATGGTGGGAGAAAAAGGTCTGGAGTCAGACAGACATAGGCTCAAACATTAACTCTGTCACTTACAAGCTGTCTACAAGCCTTCAATTTTCTCAAGGCTGTTTTTCCCATTAGCATAACATAGCCAATAATACCTACTTTCCAAGATTCCTAGAAATATTTGGTGAAATAATTCACTTATGCAGTCTTTAAACATTATTATTCATCTACTGTGTGCCTTGTAGTATACTGGGCATTGAGAAAATAAAGATGAAAAAGTCCTTTTCCTCAAAGAATTGTTGGTCTTTGTGCTTACAGAACATATATAATAGATGCTTTCTAAATACTAGATTCCTCTTCTATGAAAAGTATCACACACTGGAGAAGGGAGAGATTGGTTGGAGTATTCATTTATGTGAGTGGTGGAGAGGGGAGTATATGACATAATGGAACTTACTGTCTCATTCATGCTAATATCAGAGTAAGAGTTTACCCTGACTATTTCATGTTAATTTTTACAAACACAGACATGTTAATCAATTCCTTCATGTTTCTCTTTCTTCCTCCTTACCCTGCTTCTAAGGGGAATGCCTCTGCTATGAAGGCTACATGAAGGATCCAGTACATAAGCACCTTTGCATTCGGAACGAATGGGGGACAAACCAGGGGTAAGTGAGGGCATGACGACTTAGCTGGTTCCCACATATCACTGCTCCTTACACAGACATGACGTGGAGCAACTGCATGGAGAGGAATAGAGCTAAAGGGTGGCTATATTCTGAACAGCAAATGGGTAAAAATGTCACTATGCCTTTCCATATTTATACCATTCCAGTGACGTCTATATCATCTTTTTCTCCATTTACGAGCCTCTGACTCGCAGCCCTGCAGCTTCCAGCTGGGATCTGAAAATCAAGCTGTCCCTCTCTTCCTTTTCACACCACCACCAGCCATGAGGATTCCACAGGCAGAATTTAGCTGATGATTTTGTTGGAGACACATGAAGCCACAGAGACTCCAATGTAGCTCTCCCAGAGCCTGATGAGCTTTGCAAGACTGACATGAGTGGAAATTTGTTTTCACCAGGACTGTCAGCAGGGGTGACATACAGAGACTCAGGAAGTACTCTGTATTGAATAAGAGAGTATTTTTGCTTGATCCCCAATTACCATTTCCCAATGAGACTTTTGTTTTCCCCTAGACACACACGAGTGGGACAAAGTAGTTATCTCATGTATTCCTTTTTTGTTTTTATTTTTTACATTTTGGAATGTTTTATTGGGATAAAAAATATATAACATACAATGTGTCATTTAACCATTTTTAAGTATACAATTCAGTGGCATTAAGTAAATTCACATTATGCAAGCATCCCACTATTCACTTTCTATTGCCTTTTTTTTTTTTTTAATTGAGACATTGTCTTGCTTTGTTGCCCAGGCTGGAGTGTAGTGGCATGATCATAGCTCACAGTAACATCCAACTCCTGGCCTCAAGCCATCCTCCCACCTCAGCCTCCCAAAGTGCTGGGTTTACTGGCATGAGCCACTGTGCCCTGCCCTCTATTACTTTTTAAAAGCAACTTTTTAGTTTCCTTTAGATGTTGAGAGTTAACTTTCTGCATTGGCTGGGTCCTGAAGGAGGGTGGGAGGAGAAGGGGATCAATAAATGCGAACTAATAATAGCAATCAATGGAACAGGAAAAACTAGAAAGAAATCAAGGCAAAAGCCATCTCAGAATGGTTGCTTGGATTGCAAATTAGATATGTGTTTGCAGCTTGACAGGTGGAAAAAAGAAACCAATGTCATTTCAGACATCGCCATGGAGGACTCACATCCCTGAGGTCAATGATCTGCCCCTTCCGTGTGATTCTGATGAGACCAAACCTAGAATACTGAATGTAGTTCTGGACTCTCAAAGCAATAAATATGGTGACAAATGGGTGAGCGTTTGGAGAAGAGCAATAAAAATGATTGAAGAGCCCAAGGGAGTGATTTATGATAAAGGGATAGAAGAACTCAACTCTGAGAACTTAGCCAGCTGATGACTAAGTCAAGGCATGATAGATGCCCATAGATGTTAGGAGAGGGCAAATGTTCTGGAACAGGTTGAAGTTGGGGGATAAGGACAAGAGAAAATGCAGTTGGGGAAAGGAAATCTGAGTCACAGGTCAGAAAACTTGGGGAAGTCAAAACGCCATGAAATTTTTCTGTTCGTGAAAATGAAGGATTGCTCAGTTTTGGCAGAATTTGAGATCATATCACAGAGAGAGCCCACAAATTTTAGAGGAAGGTGTTTGTAGAAGGGCAGCTACATATGAGGCAGCCTGTTATTGAAAGATTGGGGAGAAGGGCAGAAGGTTTGGCTGATAGATGTGCAGTGGGATATGAATGAGTAATACCACTGGCTATTTACATTCTATGGAGTCCCCTTACCATCTTTGCCTCTGAAATGTTTGCATAGTTTCTGGGGATCCAAAATTTTAGCTAATGGGATGGCTAAGAATTGCGGTGGACTGTGGTTCTTACTGATTAAAATAGTGTAAAAAAGTGATGGATAACCAATCTCTGTCTCTTAGCTGCTGACTTGCTGCTGGAGAAAACAATGACAAAATATTTCACTTCTGCCCTGAGTGATCCAGGCTGGCTCGCTGTAGTGACTGGATTTGGTGGTTAATCACTCAAGCCTCCACATCTCTAGCCTTGTAGACAGATCATGTGAGGATGGGCCTGACTTCACTTGATAATTGCATAAGCCTTCATCATTCCCTCTGGCTGTATGTAGAGACAGTCTTAGGATGTAGACAAGAGTCTCAGGGGAAATGTTTGAGGTCCCAGCATAAGTGTCATTTAAAACAAGACAGGCTAAAGCAGTGAGTTATAGACTGACAGAAACATTAGCCCCAGGAAATAGACAAGAAGACCTAATCTGTCATTTCCATCTTTAATTTCCATTATTCTATGATCATCACTGTCTATGAGGTCTCATTTTGGACACTAATAAAATAATGGAGCAACTGTTAGGAGGAGGAAAAAAGTGAGTACCTTGAGGATAATGGAACCAGGAGTGATAAGCAGTGTGAGTTTATATGTACTCAGTATTAAAAAAGCGCCAGACAAATGACTGTATTTTTCCTCATAAAATGACAAGGTAAGTGAAAAGTATAAGATGCCATACATCTTGATTTAAATCAGGGATCCGATGCCATGTTTCTTTAAATGATTCTCACAAAATTAATCGAAATTTGTTTGAACATGAAGACTGTCACTCGAATTGAAAACTGTCTGACAGATTGCCAACTAATGATACATATTGGGGTATTATGGAAAAATCAATGGTATGTCTGATTTTCCTGAATATTTTATTTAATTCTCCTGAAGTGGAGGTAAGCAGCCCATGTGTGAATGGTTTTCACTTCATATTCTTGTATTGCGTACATTAAAATAGCTGAACATTCCTTTGAAGTAGAACAACCAAATCCTAGGCCAAATAGTTAAAACAAATTCTTTAGTGAAGTATCAAGGTCAATGTACCAGGAGAAAAGTAGCAATAAGCCTTTATGACTTTCAGACAAGGAAGAAAATTGATCAAGGACACTAATATAAGAAGTTACAAATTGATTTTTTTTTTGAGGTGGAGGAGTGGCACCTGCAACTTTACCCAGCCTCTGCCTCCTTCTAGTTTCCTGGTCCTGAATGTGCATGTGTGTGTGTTTGTGTGTGTGCACGCATGTGTGTGCATGTGTGTATGCATGTGTGTGGTGTATGTGTGTGTGTGCATGCATGTGTGTGTGTGGTGTGTGTGTGTGTGTGAGTGGTGCCTGTGCATTATGTGTGCACATGTGGTATATGTGTGATTGTATGGTATGTGTGTGTTTGTGTGTGTGTGTGTGTGTATGTGCATGACAGGAAGCCAGTTTGTTTATAGTAATTCTCTCACCACTCCATCATTTATTCTCCTACTCATTTGTGTTTTCAACAGATATTCACCCCATTACCTATTATGGTCCAGGGTATGCTAGGTTGTTATTTATAGAAGAAGATGGGTTCCTGCTCTGGAAGAACTAACAGTCTACGTAGACAGTTGAAAGAGTAACAAGTAATTGCAATGAAATCTAATACTTACTAAAATAAAGATGTGAGCGAAAGTCTGTGGGATTGAAATTTAAGGGGTGACTTATGTGAGGTCAAAAATATGGAATAGGGTTTCATGGAGAATTTGGATTGTGAACTGTTCTACTTGCCAGATAACAAAGATCATTCTAAGCAAAGGGAACTAGCATGCAGAAAGGTACGGAGACATGAGAAACATGGTTTTTTCAGGAATGGTAAATAAAAAGCTCAATGTAGCATAAGAATTCACTTTACAGAGAGAGGATAAGAGGCTGGTAAGGTGGCAAAAGACTAGATAGCAAAGAGGTCTTGTTTACTGAGGCTGTGGACATTAAAGCTCCCATACTAGACCCGCTAGCAGGAGGGAGGGAGACGTTCCAGGTGTACTCTCACTACACTTTACTTTTTTGGGACCTTTCATATTAAATTTAAATGATCCTAAAAAGCAAAGAAACAAACACGAAACCTCTTGGGGTTAGCTAGACTTTTATTTATCTGGATTATCTCAGTAAAACATATTCCTAAAATTGTCTTGTAGATAAAAGTCAAGACCAAACAGCCAAGAATGGCAGAGAATTGGAGACCATATGCAGAAAGCATGTGAATCGAGGAGGTTGCAATCATTTCCTGGTGACTCCAGTTCTGCCACAATTGCTCAGGCAGAAATGAGGCAGGTTGAAACATTTGTGTGTTGGTCTTAGTGGTGAAGCTAGTCACTTCAGCTCAGCCAGGTGACAGGGTCCAGATGGCAAATTACAAGATCATTGAATTCAGTGCACAAGAAGGTCCTATTCACTAAGAGTAAAAATAGCTTCAGAAAGATTTAAACAAAGTCACAGATGACAGATTTCTAATGGGTTATTAAAAGAACATGGAATGTTTGAGGTTACAGCCTTGGTCTTTGAGGTTGGCAACAAAATCAATCATTCCCTGCCACAACATCCCTTGTGACCCTGCTGCCAGGCACAGGACCCAGGGTGGACAGGTCTTAGCCCTGCACAGTGGCTTACCTTGTCTTCTGTCTCCCCTGTATGAATTCACTGAATAACTCCTTGGCCTGCTATCCCTGTGGCTGCATAGACACAGACTATTAAACACAGACTATTAAAGTCTGTGTTTGATATTTGTTTGCTAGGACAACAAGGACAAATTGGAAATTTTCACAGAAGAGAATTGAAAACAATAAACAAGGGTGGAGGAGGCAAGAGAGATTGATTTACATGAAAATATTAGAGGAGGAAAAACAGATTTATGTAGCTACTTTGGAAATGATTACGAAAGACTACAATCATGTTTTTTTGTTAAATTAAAAGTACACCCAAGGGCCTCTAGATACAATTTTCAGAAGATTACAATTAGGTTAAATTCATGCATGTGAGGATTCCCAGTAAATAATAGCCTGATTTCTTATTCTGGCATCTCAGATACAGAGGGCAACACCAAGGAGATTCCCCACTAGAGAGATATAAAATATCACTAGATTTCAATGCTGAAGGATGGAGACAGAGCGATCATTCATGAGATGGGAAGTGACCTGCTGTGGAAAATGAACAGGTGTTTCTCCAAGGTGTTAGAAGCTGTTGTCAGGAATGGTCCTGCCCATCAGAGTACTTCTTCCTTACACTGCCTGCTCTGGAGGCAATGCACTTACCATGACATGCCAAGTAGGTGCACACAGGCACACACACATTCACTTACTCATACATGGCCCATGCTGCCTTAATATGTCATTCTCATTGTCCCAGGTGCATACTGTCTTCCCTTCTATTTCTGCAACTTCTTCCTACTTCTCACCCGCTCAGGAGTGACTGCTTAGGGAATCTATATCTTTATAAGGAGCAAATGTCCCAAACCATAGGAGCCAGTTCCCACTTGAAGCCAAGAATGAGGACTGTGTTCATCATGACTGGCCTCAGCTCCTCTGTCTTGCTCAAAACATGTCCTTGACAGGAGGTGTTTTTATTTTGTCCTGCCTGAAGGATGTCATTCTTAACAGTTCCTTAGAGACCACTAAAAAGACAAAGACCACATCTGGTGGAGAGGATACCTTTGCCTCTGAGTTCTAGGATGAGGTGAGACCAGCCTTCACTAATTATTCAAAAAGATCCAAAATCAATCCTGACTTCTCCTGTCCACCTAAAACTGAGCAAGAACCTCCTCTCAGCTGTCATCAAAGTGTAAATGCTTAGACCATCTTAGGGCAGTGACTGGCATGTTGAGCTGTAGCTGTGATTCCAAGCCCAGGTCTTAGGCCATGTCTTGTTTCTTTGACCAGCCCAAAGTCTTTTCTGAGGTGACTCAGGTGGGGTCAGACAGTCTGCTGTGACATAGGAAATTTCTGACTCTTTGCCTATTTCTAGCTCATCATCTGGCTGTTACTTCTCCCATCCCTTTGCTGGTTTCCATGTCACTGCTGTCCCGTTCACCTTCATCCGACCTCTCAAACAAGATTTGCTGGCCAGACTATGGCTGTTTCTTTATCTCTGGGTGCCCTCGTTTCCTGCCCTCCAGCCCAGACTTCATTGTCTGTGCCCAGCTTCTGTCATTGCTTTGCCATCCACAAATGGGATTATCTTCCCATTAGCTCTCTTTTAATTCTTCTTCCTCTCTCTCTCTTTCTCTCTCATCATTATCACTTATTGCTAATAAGGGTTTCCAGCATATTCATTCAGCAGTTTATTTTATTCATCCTCCTTCTCCTCTTCCTCCTCCTCCTTCTTCTTCTCTTCCTCCTCCTTCTTCTTCTCTTCCTCCTCCTTCTTCTTTCTCTCTCTTCCTCCCTCTCTTGCTCTTCCTCTCCCTCTCTCTCTTCCTCTCCCTCTTCCTATCTCCCGCTCTCTCTTCCTGTCTCCCTCTCTCTCTTCCTCTCCCTCTCTCTCTCTCTTCCTCTCCCTCTCCCTCTTCCTCTCTGTCTTCCTCTCCACCCCCCCTTCCTCTCCTCTCTCTCTTCCTCTCTTTCTCTCTCTCTTACTTTTATCTTCTCCTCTTCCCCTAGGAGTCAATGAAAATGCCACTACCTTTTCTCTTACGTTTTTCTGTGTCCAACAGACCAAAGGGGCTCTTGGAATTAAACCTAAAGTTCTGTTTCTTCTCTCTAGAGGTGCCCTGCTGAAACCTGATTCTAGCAGAAACATTGTCCCTTAAAAGGAAAAAAACAAAAAAACCCTTCCTTGGGTGAGCAGGCAGGAACTGAGTGCTTGAAAGTAAATCTCCATCTACCAGGATTTCCTCCACAGACAGACTTAACAGAATCGTCCCCTCCAGTTGGCTTGGGAAACTCTGCACCTCCTTCTCAGGGATTTTCTCAAGCGAAAACATGTAACTTGACCGATTTTTCACAAAACCCTTGTGGTCAGTCAGCTGAATACAGTGATACACTGTTCTTTGTAGAGGACATCAGGCTAAGAGGACATCTCTCCAGCAATGGAAGGCTAAAACCCAACCCATGCTTGCTAAGACAAGCCAACTCTGAGAGAAGGGGCACATCTGTCCAGATGGGTACTTTTTTCTAATTTGCACAAAGGCCTTTGATGAACTAGTGCTGAACTGTGGTCATTTTGAATGATGCCCTTTGCTCCCCTCTCAGAGGCAATTGTAACCTTGGTTACTCAGGATGATAAAAGAACAAAATGTGCCCTAATGAGTGACTCGTGCATGCCGGTTCATAGAGCAGCTACCTAAGTATCTTCTGATTTCAGACGTCTACCCCCAGAGATTTAAATTTCACAAGTCTGGGAGAGGGCCCAGAATCTGTACATTTGACAAGCTCCCACAGATGTTTCTGAAGCACAGCCAGACTTAAGAACACTTCTTAAGCAAGACATGGAGTCTCCAGACGCCTCGAGAAGGCATCCTTTTATCAGTTAACTTTTTCCAATGAAAATAAGAATGAGCTTGTAGACAAGTGGCTGAGTGCAGCTTTAAAGATCCTTGCATTTTATTAATTTTTTTTTTGAGACGGCATTTCACTCTTGTTGCCCAGGCTGGAGTGCAATGGTGCTATCTTGGCTCACGCAACCTTCACCTCCCAGGTTCAAGGGATTCTCCTGCCTCAGCCTCCTGAGTAGCTGAGATTAAGGCATGTGCCATCACGCCCGGCTCATTTTGTATTTTTAGTAGAGACAGGGTTTCTCCATGTTGGTCAGGCTGGTCTTAAACTCCTGACCTCAGGTGATCCACCCGCCTCAGCCTCCCAAAGTGGCTGAGATTACAAGCGTGAACCACCGCACCTGGCACCTTTTATTAATTGGGAAAGGGAGAGCCAGAGAGGTAAAGTAACTTGCCCAAGGTCACATAGCTGGTAGTCAAGCTTCATAGTAACCGCTGGGTGTTGGAGACAAGTCAGTTGGTTAAATAAAGATTTAAAAGAGAGAGCAATGTGAAGAGCATATAATACTCTGAAAGTCAGGGATCAGCTGTAGATGGGAGATGGACAGTCTATGTTTGACAGCCTGCTTCTCTGCATCCCGCTTTCCCAAGACTGAGGGATACATCTTCATCCCACCTCCTCCCCGTGGTGATGAGAGTCCACCTACAGTGCTGTCTACCCCCAGAGGAGGGGGGAGGCTCTGTCAGCTGTTGTCTCTGACTAGTCCAGTCACGGCACCAAGAGACTTATTTTAAACAGTGCCAGAGGCGGGAACACTCATATTTCCTCCAACAAGTCCAACAGGGTGAAAAAAAATCAACCTCAATTTACCCTCTCATCTGCTCAAGAATGGAAGATAAATTGTTTCAATTTTATAGAAATGAATGTTTTATGTCTTGCCTATGCTTTCCAGATAGTGTCCTGCATTTGTATATTCTACTGCATGCATGGGCATTCCACTAGGAATGCTCCCTAGACTTTCATCTTGGGTTTCAGTCTAAAAATACTAGGTTTCAGAGTGCTATTATTTTTCCTGGCTTTGGAGTTTTTGGCTATTTATCTTTTTTTTTTTTAATCAATAGAAAAAAATACATTCATTATCCCATGTGTAGAGAAAACTGCCATTACGATTTTGGCATGTTTCTTCCCAATTTCTGTTTCTATACATGAAATGCTTGCTTTTTACTAACCCCCACCTCAATTCTGTATATATTTTTGTTCTCTCTCATAATCACAAAATAGGGTAACGTATAAAGAAGCATTAAAAGTATGTTTGTGATACATTATTTTTCTCAAAACTTTTTCCTTGAGGGTGTTATTCTTAATGCCAAAGTTAAAACCTTCAATTTTAAGCTATTTTTAGAGGAAAGAAGACAGCAGCCCAGGGCCTAGCATTCAGGTGAAACTCCTTTAATATAAACATCTCTGTAAGTCTGTGTATAATAAGAGGTTGTAGGAACACCATCTAGCATCCTGCACATTCAACACCATATTTAATGCATTACAACTTAAATGTCACTGAACACTTGGAGTAATCCCTCACATAATGCTAATTAATTGCTGTCATTAGGCAGGGCACGGTGGCTCACGCTTGTAATCCCAGCGCTTTGGGAGGTCAAGGCGAGTGGAACACCTGACATCAGGAGTTTGGGACTAGCCTGGTCAACATGGTGAAACCCCATCTCTACTAAAAATACAGAAAATTAGCTGGGCGTGGTGGCGGGTGCCATGGTGGCGGGCGCCTGTAATCCCAGCACTCACACACATACACATACACACCATGGAACACTACTATACACACACACACATTTTATATATATGTGTACACACATTATATATATGAATATGTATTATATATATAAAAAACATTTTCTTTATTCACTCATCAGTTGATGAGCACTTAGATTAATTCCATATCTTTGCAATTGTGAATTGTGCTATGACAAACATATACATGCAGGTGTCTTTTTGATATAGTGACTAGTTTTCCTTTGGATAGATACCCAATAGTGGGATTGCTGGATCAAATGTTAGGTCTACTTTTAATTCTTTGATAAATTTCCATGCTGCTTTCCATAGAGGTTGTTACAATTTACATTCCCACTAGCAGTGTATAAGCATTCCTTTTTCACCACATCCATGCCAACATCTGTTGTTTTTTGTCTTTTTAATAATGGCCATTCTTGTTGGGGTAAAATGGTATCTCATTTTTTAATTTACATTTCCCCGATGATTAATAATGTTGAGCATTTTTACATGTTTCTCTGGCCATTTGTATTTTTTTTAAATATGTCAATTCATGTCCTTTGCCTATTTTTTAATGGGATTTCTTTTCTTGCTGATTTATATGAATTCCTTGTAGATTTTGGATATTAGTCCTTTGCAGATGCATGTTTTGCAAATATTTTCTCCCATTCTGTAGGTTGTCTGTTTACTCTTGATTATGAAATAAGATGGTTGTTTCTTTTGCTGTGCAGAAGCTTTTTAGTTTAGTTAAGTACCATTGATTTGTTTTTGGTTTTTTTGCATTTACTTTTGGGGTCTTAGTCATAAATTATTTGCCTAGGCCAATGTCCAGATGGTTTTCCCTAGGTTTTCTGCTAGAATTTTTATGGTTTCAGATCTTAGATTTAAGCCTTTAATCCATCTTAAGTTAATTTTTATGTATGGTGAGGGATAGGGATCCCGTTTAATTCCTCTGCATGTGGCTATCCAGCTTTCTCAGTACCATTTATTGAATAGGGTGTCCTTTCCTTGGTTTTTGTTTTTGTGTGTTTTGTCAAAGATCATATGGTTGTAAGTATTTGGCTCTATTTCTGGGTTCTCTATTCTGTTCCTTTGGCCTGTATATCTACTTTTATACCAGTACCATGCTATTTTGGTTATGATAGTCTTGTATAATTTGAGATCAGGTAATATGATGCATCAAGATTTGTTATTTTTACTTAGGATTGCTTTGGCTATTCGGGCTTTTGTTGTTGTTGTTGTTGTTCCATATGAATTTTAGAATTGTTTTTTCTAATTCTGTGAAAAAAGTTCTTGATATTTTGACAGAATTTCATTGAATCTGTAGGTTGCTTTGGGCAGTATGGTCATTTTCATGATATTGGTTCTTCCAATTGATGAGCATGGGAGGTGTTCCCATTTGCTTGTGTCTTGTATGATTTCTTTTAGCAGTGTTTTGTAGAGTTCTCCCTGTAGAGATCTTTCACCTCCTTGGTTAAGTATTTTCCTAGGTATTTTTTTTTTGTCGCTATTGTAAAAGAGATTGAGTTCTTGATTTTATTCTCAGCTGGGTCATTGTTGGTTTATAGCAGTGCCAATAATTTGTATACATTGTGTAACCTAGACTTTACTGAATTCGTTTATCAAATCTAGGACTCTTGGAGGAAATTTTAGGGTTTTCTAGATATAAGATAATATCATCAGCAAACAGAGAGAGTTTGACTTCTTTTTTTCCAATTAATTTGGATGCCCTTTTTTTCTTTGTCTTGCCAGATTGCTCTGGATAGGACTTCTAATACTATGTTGAATAGAAGTGGGGAAAGTGGGAATACTTGTCTTGTTCCAGTTCTTAGGCATAATGCTTTCAACTTTTCCCTTTTCAGTATGATGTTGGTTGTGGGTTTTCCTTTCTTTTCTTTTCTTTCTTTCTTTTTTTTTTTTAGACAGAGTCTTGCTCTTGTTGCCCAGGCTGGAGTGCAGTGGGGCAATCTTGGCTCACTGCAACCTCTGCCTCGCAAGTTCAAGCGATTCTCCTGCCTCAGCCTCCCGAGTAGCTGGGAGTACAGGTACCTGCCACCATACCCAGCTAATTTTTTGTATTTTTAGTAGAGACAGGGTTTCACCATGTTGGTCAGGCTGGTCTCGAACTTCCAACTTCAGGTAATCCTCCTGCCTTGGCCTTCCAAGGTGCTGGGATTATAGGCGTGAGCCACTGCACCTGGCCTGGCTGTGGGTTTTCATATATGGCTTTTATTATTTTGAGCTATGTTTCTTCTATGCCTATTTTCTTCAGAGTTTTTATCATAAAGAGTTGCTGAAATTTTATCAAATTTTTTCTGCATCTATTGAGTTGCTCATATGGCTTTTGTTTTTAAATGCAGTTTGTGGGATGAATCACATTTATTGACTTGCATATGTTGAACAATTTCTGCATCCCTAGGATGAAACTCATTCGACTATGGTGATTTTTTTTTTTTAATGTGTTGTTGGATTTGGTTTGCTAGTATTTTGTTGGAGTTTTTGCGTCTATTTTCAGTAAGGATATCGGTCTGCAGTTTTTGTGTGTGTGTGTTATGTCCCTTCCTGGCTTTGGCATCAAGGTAATACTGGCTTCATAGAATGAGTTAGAGAGGATTCTCGCCTTCTCAGTCTTTTGGAATAGTTTCAGTGGAATTGGTTCCAATTCTACTTTGCATATTTGGTAGAATTTGGCTGTGAATATGTGTGCATCTGCCCCTGGGCTTTTTTTGTTTGTTTGTTCGTTTTGGCCTTTTTTTTTTATTACCGATTAATCTCACTGCTTATTATTGGTCTGTTCAGGGTTTCTATTCCTTCTTGATTCAAGCTAAAGGAGTTGTATGTCTTCGGGAATCTATTTCCTCTAGATTTTCTAGTTTGTGTGAATAGAGGTCGAACTGGATATTTTAAAAAAAGGTGAGTAATTAATTATATTTATTTCACCTACAATTTCTGCAAAAACAATGCTAATAAAAATAATATTAAGGTTTATTCTTCCTATGCCAGTACAATGGATTCTTGTTCAAACACTCATACTATAATCATTTTTCCTAAGTTTTAAACTTTATGTAATTTCAAAAATTAAGAGCAAACATTTTGCCACTGCGTATCTTGTTTTCTACTTTATCTATTTTTTTTACAAAAGGAATGCGTGTGATAAAAAATCTAGAAAAAAACAAAACAGCAAAAAGAAGAAAATCCAAGCCACCCAAAGTACCATCCCCTAGAGAGTGCTCATACTCCTGGTTTTATTTGTTTAGCTATAATACTTTTGTTAACAAAATAACATTGTATTGTTCTGTCTCTTGATTTGTTCATGTGTGTGTGTGTGTGTGTGTGTGTGTGTGTGTGTGTGTGTTTGTGTGTAAGGCACATTTTATTATTTAAGGGTCGGTAGTACATTGACCAGAATCACAGTTAGTGAACAGAACGGTCTGATGCCAACATTTAGGCTTTTTTCATTAAACCACAATGAACTTCAACAATTGGGGTGACTTTTTCCTTCCTTTATGGCCCTTCTCAACAAGTTTATTAACCTTTCTGTGTGGTTTTCCACACTGAGACTAGCATTGTTATTTTGAAGAAATATAGGCAACACCAGAGTTGCCAATTGGTGTTGGCCTTTAGATTTAAGACTCTTGGATGTCAGAGGGTCCCTAGACTTCTGTGGGTCTGTAAATAGTTGTTCAAGGCCCTAAGACTGCATTAACTCAATTAGCACTATAGGTGAAATTCCCTCATGGGGCTGTCCAGACCACAGTTCTAAGCGTGGTCTTCCATTGTGACATAGAACAGACTCCCTTGTGTATAACCACAAAAGAAGGCTGACTTTGAAAGGAACAAGTGCTCACCATTGTTGGATGGTCACAAGTGGAAACATATTCTACACTAGGAAAAACCTATGAGGAGTTGAATTAACATCAATGCCAGTGAGCCATTGTACTTTGCATGCCTGGTATTATTATAGCACCCCCTACACTCTGCCCTGCAGGTGTGGGAGTAACCACCTATTTCATCTTATTCAAGAGATTGCATACACCTCACTTCTAAGAGGGTTAACGTTCACCTGCTCACATTTGTATCTTTAAGAGAGGCAGCAGAACGTAATGGGAAGAACACAACCTTGGAATCAGATGGACTTGGATTCAAATCTCATTTCATCTTCTTAAAAGCCCTGTGTTTTTGGCTAGCCTCATAACCTTTATGAGCCTTATTTCTTAAAAATGAGAATAATAGTATCTACTTCATAGATTTGTTATAAAGATTATTTTAAAAACCTAAATGAGATGAGTTGTGCTCAATAATATTACATGAAGTATGTAGGTACTCAATAAGTGATGGCCTGTTCACATTGATGATGCTTTGCATTGGTCACAGCCTCATTTGTGTTCTTTGAACTTTCACCAAATGATGTCAACCTTAATGTCAATTTGGCATTTGAGTTTAGAGTAACCTACTTCTAGAATGTAAATTCCATGAAGGCAGAAACAATGTCTCTTATGTAAAATTGCACTGTCATACCTTAATACACTGTCTGGAACATAGTGGATGTTCCAGAAGTACTTGCTAAATAAGAAATGTGTTTGTCTTCCCATGGTCTTTCATAAGCAATACCTAAGAATAATAGTAGCTACCACCTTTCAAGTATTACCAAGTCTGGGGGTGGTTTGGGCAGAACATCCACAGACCTCTGTTTTCTGAACCTAATTGGATCTTTAAATTATCTCATGGAGTGGTGAATCACCTCCCTAATTTCAGGAAGTAAGAGTAGGAATACCAGCTGAATCGCTGACAATTCTAGACACATAGAGGTGGAAGCCCACCTCAAGGTCATAATATCCAATCTGCCACCCATTGTAGAAATCCCTCCTACAGCCATTTCATCAGATGGCTGCCCAACCACTGTTTGAACACTCTTGGTAATGTGGGCTACATTATTTGAAGAGGCAACTCATTCCATCATTGTAATGCAGATTCTTAGACAGTTCTTTAGGCTGAGCAAAAATATGTTTTCCTGTAACTTGCATTTGTTTGGTCAGCTCCGTCCTTTGGAGCAATAAAGAATATGCTGATTTCCTACTTCTACGCTCAGGACTGCTGCCATATATAGTACCTTTGTGTGCATTAGAAAAATATACTCATCTACTGTAAAGTGTGGGATAGACGTCTGTGAGCAAATAGGACCACTATATACAGGCTGGCTACATGTTAATGTCTCAGATAATTGTGTATAGGATGATGTCTCTGCTGGCTCTTCTCTTCTAAATAGAGCTTGTTCCTTCAACTATTCTTTAGATCATAAGTTTTATGAGTCTCTTAAAGATCCTACTAGCTGTCTTTTGCATGTCCCTAGTTTGTCATTATGCCTTTTAGACTATGTTGCCCAGGACTGTTCAAATCACTATGTAAAATATGGCATGCCTGTTTCTTCCCCTGTATTTTCTATTAGTGAATTCTAAGCTAAGCTTGTGCTAGGATCTTTAAGAAAAGTCATGACGTTTGCTTATAGTAAGTTTGTGGTCAATTAAAGATCTTTCCTGCAGGAACTGTTGTCAAAAAGGCAAAGTGTATTCAAGACTGAAGTCAATTGTCTTCTTAACCTAGGTATAGGTCTTATATAAAATCATATTAAATTTTAGCTTTATCCCATTGAAATCCTTTGAATCTTGACTTTGTGATCCCATGTATTAGCTATCCCTTCTTCTTTATGTAATTTGCCAATTTAATTAACATACATTCGTATTACTCCATTCTCTTGCTGCTGTAAAGAAATACCTGAGCATGGGTAATTTATACAAAAAGAGGTTTAATTGACTCACAGTTCCACATGGCTGGGGAGGCCTCAGGAATCTTATAAACATGGTGGATGGCACCTCTTTACAGTGGCAGGAGAGAGAATAAGTGCCAGCAGGGGAAATGCCAGACACATAAAACCATCAAATCTTGTGAGAACCCACTCACTATCCCGAGAACAATATGGGGAAACTGCCCCCATGATTCAATTACCTCCCACCGGGTCCCTCCCCATACTGACATGTGTGTATTTTGGGAATTACAAGATGACATTTTGGGTGGGGACACAGCCAAACCATATCACCTTCAGTCACCTCGAAGTCACTGACAAAATTGTTAAAGAAAGCAAGATCAAGCCCTGCTTCACTTAGAGATCTTCCTGAAGGTTGAACTTAACCCCTTACTCAAAACTTCTTGGCTATGCTTGTTCAATTCCACATGAATTCATCAAGTATACTGATGATCATTGAACATATTTCCATCTAGTCCATTTCAAAGATTTCATCCTGTCTGGACCAGAAGGGGCATTTAATACATTTTCTAAACCAGTTAGTGCATGCTTTTCTAAAAATCAAAGATGACATCAGTGCCAACCTGGAGAAGTCTCCATAAATGGCCATGGCCCTAGCTTGGGATTTTGTCTTGTTAGTGAATCGATTGTAGCTCCTAGACATCTTTGGATTCTTTATTGTTTTAAAGAATTGATCCATCCTCTTTCTCTGGAGAAGGCAAAGCTGTTGAGATTTTGCCTCCACAGTCTCCATGTGTCTCTTAGGCCTTGTCTTTCTCTAAGCCATGTAGTTTTATGTCATTTAGAGTCTTGCTTTAAAAGGAGTTCTGATGGCAGGACCCTCAATAGTTTTTTATTTGATAAGTGAAGGTGAAGACAATAATAATAGGTAATAATTTACTGTCAGTTTACTCTGTGCCTAGCACACTTCTAAGAGTTCTACATATTTTAATCTAACCACAACTATGTGAGGCTATCCCCTCTTTATAGGTAGGAAACTAAGGCACAAGGAAGTTTGGTACCTTGCCCAAAGGTTACACCCATAGAAAGTGGCATCATTTGGGATTCAAGCCTAGGCATTCTGACTGGAGTCCATGCACTAAAACCGTCACGGTGCCGCCTGGCACAGAAGGCAGTACACTCTATGGATAAGCAGTTTTGTGGGTGACAAGAGGCCCCCATTTTATGTCTTGCTCTCCCTCTCACATCCTCCTTTGAAATGCGGGGTAATGTGAGTCAGACAGCTGAGCTCACTGTGTGCACAGCGGTCGGGTGGGTGAAGTTCCCTCTAGAGGATTGCCCTCCACCTGGTGTTCTGATTTTTCTTCTTTGAGAGGTTGTGTAATGATCTTCTCTCCACTGTCAGTGACTTAATGAGCTCCCCACCCCCACCTCTCCACCCAGGTCCCAGGAGATTTTGCCCTTGGAAAGAAGCCCGAAGATAAGTAGAGCTTACCCCAGGGGAATGAACTTGTTCAGGCATCAGTGAAGTCCATTTGGAAAAATATTTGGGGTGCCTCATGGTCTGTATAAGAGCGGGAGGGAGATGAATATACCATAAGCTTCTTTTATGAGTCAGACACTCTTCTGGGTGCTTTAAATTTGTTGCCTCATTTACATAATACTAGGTAATATTTATTGAGTGCTTTCCATGTGACAAGCATTATTTGTAAATGCTTTATGAGTATTCATATTATTTGCTCCTCACATTTTACAGATGAGGAAGCTGTGGTACAGAGGGGTGCAATAACTGGCTTGAGAGTCACAGTAGGAATAAAAGGAGATAGAGTGACCCTAATAGTCTGGCTCCAAATCCTGGCTTTCAGCATGATGTATGAAGACAAGTATGGCAACCATGTGAGCTATTAGGATAGACTCCTTCTGGCACTCAAGACTCCTAGCAAGACAGACCCAGCATTTGTTTCAAAGCCCGATTGAACTGCTTGTTCTTGATCACACTTGCCTTTTACTTTACCCCCTCCCCACTTTTGCTCAGGTCATTTATTTCCCTCCAGTTCCTTCCCTTTAATACCCTACCTGGTTAATTCTGTTCATTCTCCAAGACCCAGCCCAAATACCTGCTCCATCATAAAGCCTTTTCTAACTCCCCAATTGGAAGCCCTCTCTTCCTCCTTTGGGATGCCTCAGGCCTGTGACTATCTATTGTGGCAATCGTCCCAGCGTGCCTTGTCTTATTTCTATCCCTTGTCTTGACCTGTGCTAGACCATAACTTTGGAGCAAGGGCTTATTTTTGAGTCTCATTCTCAAGTACATATAGTAGGTGCTCAATAAAAATAGAATAATTGCTACTGGTGAGATTTCTAGTGTCATGAGAAATGGACTCACAGGGACACATCACATCACCTCCTCTGTGATGTGATGTGTCCTCCTCGGAGGATATCCTCACAGGATATCCTCACAACCCATCACCTCCTCTGAGGATATCCTCTGTGTCAGACACCCTATTTGATCCTCACAATAGTCCTCTAGGGTCTTATCCATTTTTGAGATGCGAAACTTGAATCTGAAGGGAACCAAGCCAGCAGAACACAAGGGTTAAAACTCTATAAGAAGACCACCTGGGTCCAAATCCTGGCTGTACCTCTTACTAACTACTCACTTTGCTGGGAACAAATTACATAAGTTCTCTGTGCCTTAACATCCTCCCCTGTGAACTAGGGATCACAATAGTACCTGCTTCATTGGATTGCAGTGAGGAGTAAACAAAAGAATTATGGAAAGTGAGAGTGCCTGGCTTGTGGAGTGTGCTTGGTAATACCAGGTGGCAATGCAATCAGATGATTATTTCTGTAAGAATCAAGAAATTCAGCATCATGCATTGTAACCCCTGTCAGGGAATTGGTTTTCAGGAGGGAAGTCCTGCATGCATTATTTAAAACCTTTCAGCTGACCACTGGCCAACAGTCCCTGGGTAGGCTGTTTTTTGTTTGAATTGGTTTGGTTTTAACTTTTCTCGTTTTCTCTGTCTGCATCAAATACACACTTCTGCTCTTCTAAAGCTTTGTGTCTCCCTTCCTCAAATTGCATTTTCCATGGGGCAGGGGAGGGTGGTATTGGACACACTAACCTGAACTCCAGCCTCTTGCCTAATTACACTGCAGTCAGATTTTCCATGGGAGCCCCTAGCGTGGCAGGATGCCCTCTTTGAAGTCATTAGTCTTCACAGCAGGGAGAGCACATCATCAAAGACTCTGTTTCCCAGCAACCCCTGATGTGCCCTTGTGCACCAGAGGATTGCAGAGGGAGGAAGAGGCAAACCTACACGTGTATTAAGTCTGCTGTTCTCTCCTCTGGCCCTGAACTGCAATTCCTTTGAACTGAAGCCCAGAGAGAGGGCTGGTGATGCTATCGCAAAACCTCTCCCCATTCTTTCAGTCTTCAACCAATTTAGCAATTAAACTTCCTAGGGCCAGCAGTACAGAATGTAGGGCATAGTGAGGTTACAGTTGGTAATCTAAGGCGCCATGGGATGGGGGTTGGGAAGGGAAAGAAACTGCCTGGGAAGTTCTGGATATATACTTGATAATTACTGTGAGGAATCTGCTATAAAGTTAGAAATCTCTTTCTCTTTCTCTGTCTCTGTCTCTCTCTCTCTCTCTGTGTGTGTGTGTGTGTGTGTGAGAGAGAGAGAGAGAGAGAGAGAGAGAGGATATATGACTCTGTCTCTTACTTGCCATTTACCTTGGGAACTGGGGAGCCTCCTTTTGTCCTGACTTTCAGTTTCTTGGTCCCTTTGAAGCTCTGTGGCTATTGTGAATGAAATAATTTTTAACAAAGCCATTACTTAGACCCAGATTTTAAATTTCTGCGTGAACCTAGGTTTTTGATGCCAGCACTGAAGTCCAAGGACCAGACTAACCTAACCTGTTCTATTTTTGGAAGGCCAGTTGGTGGAGTTCTATTATGGAATTCTTAAGTTGGGGGACAGCATTGAATCCAGATCTCAGGGGCCCTTGCCAGGGTCCAGCATGGAGCATCTCCTCTTCATCACTGCAACATTTGCCCTTACACATGTACACAGACTCACCTGCCATCACCACTGCTCTTGGGCTGGCATTTTATCTCTCACTTCTACCACCATGATGGTCTTCTCATCTGGCTTCCTGCCCCCTGATTTATCCCCAAGTCCTTCCTCTCTAGCCACCAAAAGATCTATCTAAAATTTATGTCCATTTTACCCTCTGCCCCAATCCACCAATGACCCATATGGCCCTACAGAAAATAAATTTGGAGTTTCCTAAGGTGAACTACAAGTGCTTCCTGACCTGGTTCCTGCCAACCCTCTCTGCCCCATCTCCAATCCCTCCCTGCCTGAAATTTTATGTTGCAATGACATTGAATCTCTTGCAGAGCCCTTGTGTGTGCCGTGCTATCCTACATTTCAGTGCATTTGCTCAGGAGTGTGCTGTGCCTAGAATGGCTTTTCCTACTCTGCTCCCTCTGCCATCCCAGGCTTATCTGATTACTTTCTACTTACTGTTAAAATCTGCATGCAGATAGTCTCATCTGAGATACCCATCTGATGCTATCGAGTCTTAATAAAGTGGCCCTCTTCTGTGATCCTGTGACATCCTTGCATATCTCTGCCATTGTATTCAAACTGTGATTATAATGATCTGATAACTATAATCATCTGTTCACTGGTCTGCCCCTGCCCATACTATCCCAAGCTGCAAGTTCAGGGCTGTGTCTTATTTATCTTTGTAACCCTATGTCATTTCCTGTCACATTCATTATTAAGCACTGAATAAATGTTCATTGAATGAATCAGCGAATGGTTGCATATAAGGTTATGTGTGCAAGTTCTATCAAATCTCTGCTTGACTTTCTCAGTGCATTCCCCAGTGCTTAGGTCTCTCAATCCACAAAAGAGAAATCAGATTTTTATATTTAACATTTGGCATGGTGTTCTTTACTGAGGTAAATCATCTGTGTTCCACCTACTACTGTAGTAGAATACATCCATCATTTATTCATTTAATAAACATTTATTGATGACTTTCTGTGTCTCAGGGATTGTGTTAGGTACCTGGAAAAAAAAGATGAGTAATAATAGCCAACAATCATTTAGGGCTTATTACATGCTACACACTGTTCAAAGCATCTAGTATTAACCCATTTAATCTTCACTACAACCTTATGAATATGAACTATCATTATCCATCTCCACTTTATAGGTGAAGAAATTGAAGCACAAAGGCCGTTTTAGCTGAAGTACCCTAGAAACAAAGGTTATAGCTAATGATTTATAAGAAGGCAAAATCCTTGACAGGGCAAGGTGGCTCACACCTGTAATCCCAGCACTTTGGGAGGCCAAGGCAGGCGAATCACTTGAGATCAGGAGTTCGAGACCAGCCTGGCCAACATGATGAAACCCTATCTCTACTAAAAATGCTAAAATTAGCCAGTGTGGTGGCACAAGCCTGTAGTTCCAACTACTTGGGAGGTTGAGGCAGGAGAATCTCTTGAGCCTGGCGAGGTTGCAGTGAGCTGAGATCATGCTACTGCACTCCAGTCTGGGAAACAGCTCAAAAAAAAAAGTATAATTCCAAGTCAGCAAGAGTGAGGGGAAAAGATAATTGAGACAGGAAAGAGGAAAAGTAAATGCAGGGTGTTGCATTAGGAAGCTGACCATAGCTTTACAAGAAGACTGTTTGAGATCCACAGGACGTACTATAAACAGGCCTTACAGCAACTTTTACCACTAAACAGTCCATAGAAAGTGAAGGTTAGGGAGGAAGGGAGAGGAATTTACCTGCTATTTTCTTTCCAGTCTCTTAGTTCTCATTGGTGGGTGGCGGGGGGGGTGGGGTGAAAACTTTCAAGTACTTCCATAATATCAGAATGAACGAAGCGGAGGCTATTCACCACATTCACACACACACACACACGTACACACACAGTTCTCACATCTAAATGAGTCACTGATATGGATCAACCTCAATTGAGGAAGTGAGGAATCTCCATCGGAACTATAATGAAAAATTCACATTTGACATAGATCAATGTATAAAGTGCAGAAAGTGTAGGCTACAAGAGAGTCAAATATAAGAAAGTTGAAAGCTGACTGTTAATGTCTACTGAATGAATGAGTGAATGAATGAATGAGTTGGGATGAATAAATGAATGAGGAGGGAGCATCCTAAAGAGAGATTTAGATATACATAGTAGAAGAAAATAGAATAGTCCTGAAATTACCCCATAGATTACCAGAGTACTAATGCGTATGGGGCAATGAGTATCTCAATGGCAAAATGACAAGCTAATAGAGTCTCCACTGACATTGATTAGGTGACTCAAGTGTCTATTAGCGAGATGAATGCAGCTAGACTTTATAGCAGGTGTTTTTCTGAAAGGAGGATGTTCTTGGGAGAGATACTAGATTTGTAGAGGTAAGGGAGTTGAGGGATTAAGGATAAATGTCTTCCTGCTCCCATTTGACTCTAACTCCTATTCCAGAAAGCCTTCCCAGAACACTTGCTTCTGTTCTCATCCTTGTTTTTGCTGTCACAATTTAAAAGATTCTCCCTGGAGTTCCATAGCACCCACATATAGCCAAATAAGAAAATTCAAGACAGTATAACTATTGGTGTTCTGTCTGTTTTCCCACTTGACTGTAAACTCCTTAAGGACATGGACTATACCTTCTCTGGCTTTGTGTTTGTGATACCTTACTCTCTAAGTCATACAGTAGCTGTTTGTAGTAGTCAGCTCAGCCTGCCCATAACAAAATACCATAGACTGAGTGGCTTAAACAACAGACATTATGTTCTCACAGCTTTGGAGGCAGGAAGTCGAGATCAGGGCACTAGCACTGCTGGGTTCTTTTGAGGGTTCTCTTCCTGGTTTGCAGATGGCAGCCTTCTTGCCAGGTTCCTACATGGCAGAGAGGGAGCTCTGGCGTTGTCTATTCCTCTTCTCGTAACGAAGCCAATCCTATTGGATTAGAGCTCTGCTCTTATAACCTGATTATCCATAATGACATTTTTAAAGGCCCTAGCTTCTATAGAGTCACATGGGGACTTGGGTCTTCAACATAGGAATTTGGGTGGAGTTTCGGGGGTGACAATTCAACCCACAGCACTGTTCAATAAACACTAAATCAATGATAGAATCAATGACCAAATAGTGCTACATGATTGATGGGTCCACTGGAGTCACTTTCTGAGAGGGAAGAGTAATGAATTTTTCTTGCCCTTTTGAGTCTCTGTGTACTCCTGTATTCTCCACCAAGTAATAGCTAATGAGAGATTTTGCAATAAAAATCATCTTAGAAGAGATGCCAAGTCGTTTTGGAAAGAAAGGAAGGGAGACAAGAGCTTCTTTTGCTATTTCAGTTTAGACTTGAGAATGCTTTCTAATCCTCATCTAGCTTGCTTCTTCACGTCAGTGGATACAAGGGCCCAATTGGGGGTGCTTAATGAGTTTAGAAGCAGAATTCTCATTGTCTCTCAACTCATTTTTTTTTACAACGTTCAAGGCAAATTTTTTTTTTTTTCTTAAGGGCAGGATCCAACCCAGAAGGTCACTTCAATATTCGCTCATCTCCTCCAGACTTGAATTAACACTGTGGAGAAGTAAATGAATCCAGATAAATAACTTCAATTTATTTATTTAGGTCCTGTGTTGGATGCCAGGGAAATGTTCCTATTGGTAGCAGAAATAGCTGCCATTTGTTGGGTCCCTGCTTTTTGCTTACCAAGAACTTTACTTACACTTTATTTCCATGGTTCCCAACTCTGCATTGAGGGACTTGGGGGATGGCAGCAATCTTACAGGGGCACTGTGAGATATTTTGAATTGTCAACAGAAATGGCAATATCAGTCAGATACCATACTAACGACTTTGAATTTGTACTTATTGTATTTTTTCTATTATCTACTAATACATTTTCAGATGTAAAGACTTATTACATTGTTCAGACATAACTATTTAATACATAAAACTAGTAGATACTTATTTTGGCCTAGGGGAGCTGTGAAAATTAGTGAGTCACTTTGAATACTATGATCCAAGAAGTTTGAGAACCTCTCTTTGTCTAATGCCCTCAATAAGATTGACATCATTTTCTGAAGTTTACCTCTGAGGATACCAAGGACCAGAGGGTCAAATGAATGACTACATGGTTAAATGGCTTGTAAGTGGTGGAGCCAAGATTTGAACCCAAGATAGTCAGTCTCTGAAACCTATTCTTCTAAAATGTTGCCCTTCTGCAGGATTATGAAGATTAGATCTTAGACTGTCAGAGCCAAAGCAGGCTTCAGCAGTAATCCAGCCCGGCTCACAATCTAGCCCGGTCACACAGCTAGTTAGTGTTCGAATTATCGAGCGATCAGGTCGCCTGGCTCCTGGTTCTACATCACTTCATCTCCGTTTTAATTCTCTTTCTTTCCAGCTTTGGACAGCCACTCATTATGGCTCTATAGCGTTTCTTTTTGTTTTGTTGTTGGTTTTTTTTTTTTTTTTTTTTTTGGTTTTTTTTTTTTTTTTTTTTTGAGACAGAGTTTAGCGTTTGTTGCCCAGGCTGGAGTGCAATGGCATGATCTCGGCTCACTGCAACCTTCGCCTCCCAGGTTCAAGCGATTCTCCTGCCTCAGCCTCCTGAGTAGCTGGGATTACAGTCATGTGCCACCATGCCAGGCTACTTTTGTATTTTTAGTAGAGACGGGGTTTCTCCATGTTGGCCAGGCTGGTCTTGAACTTGAACTTCCTACCTCAGGTGATCTGCCTGCCTCAGCCTCCCACAGTGCTGGGATTACAGGCATGAGCCACTGCACCCGGCCGGCTCTATAATTTTTATGGTTAAGTGTTGAAGATGTTTTATTAACTGAAGTACAGAGAAATGAGGGACTTTGGGGAAGAGCAGCGAGGCTAATTATGAGGGCAAAGGGATTGGCTTACAGGGAGAGATGAAAAGAACAAACATGCAATGTATAATTTGGATTAAACATACTTAAATGAGATGTGGCCATCATCTTTAATATCTAAATGATAAAAAGTCATAGACCAGGGAAGAGAGGTTGTTTAGAGAATATAGCCAGGAAGTGGGATAAGAAGAAGAAAGAAACGTTTAGGCTGATAATGTGATGTTGATATTTATTAGATGGGCGTGAGAAGGATGGGGACAGTGGAAGGCTTTCCTTGCCTGATTTATGTAAAGTTGGATTGGAGAAAGCACCCTGGGAAATATCTGGGGGGAGACTACGCCAGTCTCTGGGGGGATTACCTAGGTTCTCCTATTTGTGATTTTTAGAGTCCTTTAACAGCCATATTTTCTCTTTCATCTTCTACTGTGTTACTTACCCTTTCCATTATTTTCACTTCCTGCTCATTTATATCCAGCCAGCCTCTTCCTTCCTTTTTCCCCCTCTTACTTCCTTTTGCCCCCACTGCCTCACACTCGTTCTTGATTTCTTTTTTTCTCTACTTATTCTCCCCCATTCTCATCTTCCTCCTTGTCTTCCTCTAGTACCTGGTATATTCCAGGTTTCCAGGCCATTGCACTTCTTCCTTCTTCTTCCAAAATAGAAGATGAATTTTGCCACTCTGACAAAGAGAACAAAAGCTAAAAGTCCCTGCCAAAGTTACAAGGACAGCATTTTCTCTTTTTAGGGGTTTTAATTTTAAAAGGAAAAAAAAAATCCAGCCTCTTCTCCCCACCCACCCCCCCACCCCTGCTGTGCTTTCACTGCTTTCTGGGCTGTGAACATCAGTTGAGGGACAGCCAGATAAAAAGCCGCTCCTTGGTTCAGATCATCTCAGGCTCTCATGTTCCCTCCCATCCTCAGCAATGCTCCTTTTTACTGCATTTGTTGGAAATCCAGGCTGAAAATGGTAGTATTAGCATTTTTAATAAAGGACACTGGAGAAAAGACAGGCAGTCCAAGAAAGCTGAAGGAGGGGAGGGAACCCAAATCCACTGAGAGTCAGAACTCCCTTTTGGAGCCAGAAAGAGCTCAAGATGGGGGCAGGGGGAGGGCGGACAAGAGTAGTAGTCTTATAAGAAGCATTCAGGCTGGATAATTGGAGCTTTGAGCACAAGCAGAAACAGTTGGGAGGTGGGAAATTGCTGTGCTGGATTGAGTTTGGCTCAACTTGATACTGAAGCTCAACATTATGAAATGTTTTCTAATTTAGCCCATTTTCTCTGTCTTCCTGGAATGAGCCATTATTCGTCCATTATCAGCAAAATGTCATGGCCCTGCCGGACCCCTTCTTTTCTTTTATTTTCTCTTCTCTTCTTCGTCTTCTCTCTGAGCTCTGTAGGAAGGGAGAATAACTAAAGAAATAAAGCTCTATAGGAAGGGAGAAGAAATAAAGGGAGCCCCACATACTCTTCATTTAAAAAAAGAAAGTGAACCTCTGGGACCTGAAGTGGCTGACATCATTTTTCCCTATTTTGTTTTTCTAGGGATACGAATGCAAAAGTTTAATGGAGTTGCCAGGTTTATGTTTTGTTTGTTAGGCCATTGTACCTCTGCAGGACGAAGCTTAATTGGCTCTTTTCCTATCACTGAAAAGAAGAAAAAATATCTCCTTGCAGAGGTTACTGTTCTCTAAAGAAAATGGCAGTGATTAGATCTAATGCCTTTGACAGCTGGATAAAAAGTTGCTAAATAAGAATAAATTGAATGCCTAAACCTGGAGTCAGTCACAAGTTATCACAAATCCCAAACACCAAAATGAATCATCCTGTCAGAATTCTTTCCCCATCACACTTATAATCACATGTGAGTAACACAGTGGCAAATCTACTTTACTTCCCCGAATCCAATTTTATAGAGATCTAGGGCTAAGTCAAAGTTGGGAAATGCCCCTTTTTACTCCTGGGTTTCAGCCTATTAATTACTTAAGACCTCTCCATTTGTGAAGTATCAACCTGGATAATTGTCAACAGTTCATAAATTTAGACTTGATACTAATTCCATTGTTTAAAGCCTTTCAATTTTAACAAATGGGTGACAATTGCAGCCCAATATTCCTTATACTTACAATCAATCATTTTAGCCTCATCTGAATAGACAGGAGGTGTATATATGTAGAAACATTAAATTATATCTAGGCTATGCATCTTAATGCTGAATCTTGGTTTCCTTCATTAGTGAGTTATTTCTCTTTCCCCTGTACTTATAGCCATGACCTGGTACCAGATGCCAGGCATATGAATACACATAAAATTATTAAACACAGCTCTGAAAAGTTTCCAAGATCTTTAAACCAAAATCCCTTTGAAGAGTGGAGAAAGGCAAATGGGTTTGTATTTCTTAGTTTCTTTCAAGGAATAAATGCTGCCTCCGAGCTTCATATTCAAGGGTAGAATTAACATCAGTTGGAGACTCTCAAACACATTTATGTTTGGATAGAATGTAGGTTTAGACCCAGAGCCAAGTTCTTTTGAAGGAGTCAGAAACTCATTTGGAAATTGCTTTGTTACTATAACTAGGGATAAGAGTTCATTTTTTCCTCATGTCTATTAATTTGCAAATAACCCAAAGTGAGACCTTGGCCTTCAGCTTTTCTCATAATAAAACTGTCCTGGACAAAGTTCAAACATTTGGGGATCTAAAAGGAAAGGTTTTTTTTTTTTTTTTCCCAATATATCCTCTGCAATTTCTACCTCTTCCTGGAGTTTTGGCAGGGTCCTTTGTTCCCTTCTTTAGTAGACAACACATTTCCCCTGGGTGACCTCCCCATCTCCCAGATCTCTATGATTATGTTGCCAAATTTTTATCTCCAGTCCTAATCTCTTTTCTGGGTTTCAGGGCTCCATTTTCAACTACCTCTTGGATATTTGTTCATGAATTTCCTTCAAGTATCTCAAATTAACTTGTTCAAAATTGAACATGAGACCTGTTCCCACCCTGATGCCTGCTCTAACTCCCATCATTCTTGACCTGTATAAATAGCATCAATAGCCACTCCATTTTCCAGATGAGAAACTTTGGGGTTATTCTCCATAATTGCCCCCAAATTACCCTATCCTCTGTCCAGAGTTCACACATATCCTGTTAGTTGCCAAATCCTCTTTGTTCACCTCAGATGTGTCTCTCAAACCTAGCTGCTTCTTGCTATTCCCAAAGCTATTCTTACTCTAGGACAATCCATTGCCTTTAAAATTTGATAACATCTTCCTAACTGCTCTCACTGCCATTAGGCACATCTGTTGAAATGAAAGATGGAAGGGAAGAAAAGAAAGAAAGAGCCTGGGAATTAATTGGAAGATATGCCTGATAGGAAAGTTACCATGAGCAGAGTACAAGGGGAGAAGAAGAAATGCACATAGCTTATTCAGGGAATAGTGGGCATGACAGGGCAATGGATCCTGACAGGAGAGGCAGAGAGGGTGAGGGTAGAAATATAGGCAGTGGCCAGAAGGCTTTGAACTTCAAATGAGAAGCTTGGATTTTACCTAGTAGGAAATGGGAAGCTATAGAGTATATTTTAAGCAGGAGAGGGGATGATGAATACGGTATTATAGGAAAGCACAGGAGGCATTAGATCAGGGTTCTGCTAACTACTGCCCTCAGGTCAAATATGACCTGTCACCTGTTTTTGTAAATAAAGTTCTATTGGAACACAGTGATACCTGTTCATATATATATTGGCCATGGCTGCTTTTGTGCTACAGCAGCAGAGTTATGTAGTTGCAACAGAGACTGTTTGGCTTGCAATGCCAAAAATATTTATTGTCTGGCCACTTACCAAAAAAGTATCATGATTCCTGCATTAGATCAGGGTTTCTCAACCTCAGCACTATGGACATTTGGGGTTGGTAATTGCTTGTTGTGAGAGGCTGTCCTGTGCCTTATAGGTGTTTGGCAGTGTCCCTGACTCCCTCAACTGTGTACATGTAGCACCCCACCCTCCAGTTGTAACAACCAGAAGTGTCTCCAGATATTGCCTAGTTAAGAGGGGGGTCAAAATCCACGCTTGCCCCCATTGTAAACCACTGCATTTGATTATAGTGAGATTAGCTCATTTAGGGGACAGTTGCAACAGGTGATGATGAGAATAATAACAACAGGTACTTATATAGTACTTAACATGTGCCTGCCACTATAAGCAGTTAACACGTGTTAATTCTTTTCATCTTTTTAAGAATTCTATAAGGTGACTATTATTTTCTTATTAGTATCCAATAAGGTGAATGGCATTATTATCGTTGTTCTACATGGGAGGAAATGAGACACAGAGAGAAGATTTACTTAAGATTTCTCAGCTCATAAGTGTCAAATTCAGGCTTTGAACTCAGATCATCTGGCTCCTGAATTCACATGCTTAACCGTGAGACTATACTGAGTGACAAGAAAAAGGAACTGCTATGTCTTGGTGGCTTAATGAATATGAGAGTAGTAAAAAATAGACATTTTGAGTTATCTCCTTCCCCCCACTTCCAAATCACTTTTACTTCCCTTTAAACACAAACACCCACATAATCTTTTCATATCCCTTTGTACCTGTAAGGTGTTACATCCAACTACCCTCATACTCCTTAGCCACATGTACCTCCTTGCAGAAATGTACGTCAATCTGGCATAATGCACCTGTATTTTGGATGCTCAAGATGGTTGCTTTTCTCTTGATGTTAATAATCATTACCTCTCTGCAACATTTTTAAAGTAGTGATTTCTTATTCCCACCTCTGGAGTGATCAGAACCCCTTTTCTGCAGTTATTTCTTATTTAGACCTAGCAATAGCTCTGTCATCTTCCTGGTTTTTCTGTCCACAAAGAGTGCAAATGTTGTGAAGAGAAATGGGCTGAAGATGAGTCTAAAAAAATGAAGTAAGCTGGAAGATGTCCATAAAGGGAGACAATGCTTCTAGGGACAAAAGAGCAGGCTGGAGAAGCAGCTTCAGAGGCGGGCGCAGGAGGCAGTTCTCAGCTGCGCCCTCTGGAAGCCTGTCATCCAGTTCACCCTGCTCACCGGCCACCTGAGTGTATCAGGGTTTCAGCCTGAATGCTGGTGCTGGCCACCTCAGAAAATACCCTAGATGGGAGGAAAAGGCTGTCTGTGTGTGTGTGTGTGTGTGTGTGTGTGTGTGTGTGTGTGTGTGTGTGTGTAGAGAGAGAGAGAGAGAGAACCAATAAAATAGCTAGGACTAAAGATGACAGTTTGAAAATAAAATAAAAATCCTACTTAATGGAGAACAGGGTTCAATACCTATACCTCAGAAGGACAGGATGGAGTGGTCAATGCCTGTCCAGGTAGAGGGGCTTTTAGCATCTGGGACTGGAGCTTTGGGCAGAGGAATGAGGTGCAGCGAGGGATCTGCACCCACAGACCCACTTCCTTGGCTTTGAGCTGGTACCAGGGAGCCACCAGGTAGCAGCAAACAGCAAAGGGGAATAATGAAAGCAGAACCCTGCCATTCAGGCACTCTGATCCACTTGATTTAGCCTGGAGTCTTTGTTTGATTGGCTCCATTTTTTTTAAGTTGCAAAGAGTGTGAGGGGTGCAGTGACAGCCAAGAGCAGGGACAAAGAACAGAAGAAGCTCCAAAAACCTTGAGGACTCGTAAGAGGGGAGACAAGCGGGGGAGAGAGGAGAGGAGAGTGTCAATGCATGGGCAGTGGGGCAGTGCTGGGGGAGGACTCAAAGACCACAGAGGTGCGGGTGGAGACTGAGTCCTGCACAGGTCAATGGAGAAGAAACTCTGGGTCTTCCTCACTGATAATTCCTTGGCATAGGAAAAGACTTTTCATGTTATCTACGCTTTGTTTTACCCCTGGCAGATGAAAGTGACAGAGGGCCTTCAGTGCACACGGAACAGGTGACTTCTCCCCACAAGGCAGACTGGTATTCGGAGGGTAAAAGTCCCTGCATTTGAAGAAGAAGAGAACTTATGGGACATGAAGGCACAAAGTTGCTTTCCCACCACTGCTTAGAAGCTGGGCTTGAGTCCTGTGGGGAGGGAGAGCTTTGTGGGTACAGGTAGTAGCTCATAGTTGCTCTATGGCATGTTGGTCTGATCACTCAGAGTTCAAGGTTTAAGTCCAGGCAGTTCAGTGACAACTGGAGAACATTCAGGCAAGTGTGAGCAGAGATGGCTCAGTCATTTGGCAGGAATGAGTAAAGCACCAGGGGATGTTTATTATGGACAAGAAATGAAGGGAGGACATGCTAATAACTATAGCAAGGAAGTTATGCTTGCCCTGTTTTGTCGCAGAAAGGCAGACTGGAAAATAAGAAGTATAAGTTAGAGAGAAGCAGATTTTAGCTCAAATCAGAAAAACATTGATTGCTTATCACCATTTCAAAATAGAATGGTCTTCCCTAGAAGAAGAAATGTGGGGACTGAGGCTCATGACTGTTCGGTGGACACATGGCAGTAGGTTTGCAGTGAGGTTGTAGCCACTAAGTCCTTTGATTTTATAATCTCCTCCAGTCTAGTCTTTCCCTGGAGGCTGTAGTCATCTCAACAGCATTTCCACAAGCAAAAGGGTCCAGCCTGTGAGCTTTCAGTGCGATGGCAACCTCACTACCTTACAAGGCACTGATTTTTGTTTTTAGATGGTTCTAATGGAGGTAAAGTCCTTCCACTTCCTTTTTCCCAGAATAATGCTTACCATCCCCCATCACTTAAAATTGGAGAAAGAGGAAATCAAAAGCCATGTACTGCAGAATGGCACTTTCCAACACTCCATTCTTCTTGCTGTCTGTACTGAACAATTACTGAACCTCAGCGTTTTGTTGCTGCCTGCTGCACCAGCGGTGTGGAGAGAGAATAAAGGCCCCATCTTGCAGAATGCTAAGAGGCCCAAGAAATTGCAAAGCATTCACGGTATCGATGAGGTATGGAGGACAGCCTCCACTGCTGTCTCTTTCTCTTCCTTGCCTCTGGCTGGGCTGTTACAATCACTGGACTTCCTGAAGTCTCCTCTTGCAGTCGGCTTGACAGAATGGATTAGGCTCTGGCTGGATCATTCTACAGCAGCACAATTAAACAGTGGCAGGCCCAGCATCTGTCATTTGTATGAGTGGATTGAGGCTGGTGGGAGATGCATGAGGATCAGCCATGGGAATCAGAAATCTTTTGTTAGTGCAGAGGCCTGAGGCTGCCCAACCACTGTGCCCAAGTCCAAGGTCAGCGCGAATACATTCTAGGCTTGAGAGAGAGAAAGAGGCTGGTATGCACAGTACAGGGGCACTGAGATGCAAAAAGCAGAAAACATTTTGAGCTGATGAGTGAGTTGCCTTCAGCAAAAAAATGGCCCACGCAAGGAAACATCCTCACACCCCAAATCAGAACAAGTTTGGGAAGAGAACAGAAAACAACCCTGTGAATTTTAACTATGTCTGTGAATATTTTCCCTAGGAAAGATAAGGGAAGTGAGTGCAGAATGAGTTAATGCTGCCAAAAGGATTAAGTGGAATAAAAATGGTGTTTACAAATATACCAGGGAAAAGAAGCATTTGGGGAAAATATGTCCATAAATAAGTAAAGAGGATTGAAATCTACTGCGAGTCTAACAAGACCAAGGTGCTGAATTGCTTTTTCCTATCTGTCTTTTACGTGGAAAATAACAAGAAAATTGAGAAACTTGTGATAATTTTCAGGGGGAGGCTGTGGCTGCGAGGCAGGGAAGGGAGTCCAGTGGGAGTGCTGGAGACAGTGTGGAGAGATCTCCAGGGGCTTGTCATGACTCCCTAGATGGCCCAGATCAACCTGCCAACCTGTCCAGCCTCATCCCAGGCCTCTGCCTTCCACGACCCTTGTGCATCTGCCACATTGAACCACTTACATTATCCAAACAAACCATGTTCTCACACATTCTTCAGCTCTCCCCTTCCTGGACTGGACCCTCCCTCTTTGATCATTGAATTTCACCCACCCCAACATCATAGCTGCTCTCCTACTCATGTGCATACCTGGAAACATCAGACCTTTTCTGTCTTCCAGTGTCCTTTTGCAAATCCCCCCTCAATCATCATCTGTGGATTTCCCTGCCTCCTCTTAGTTTCACACTGCCCTTTTCCATCCCTCTATTCCTTACCTTCCTTACCTTACATAAACATGTGCAGACATATAATTGTCCCTGCTAGACCATGAACTCCTGAAGGCTCACGCTAGGTCTTTTCACTCTGTGTTCCTGGGTTGTCTATCACAGGGTCAGGCACAAAGTAAAGCAATTGTTCTCTCTCTATGCTGCACATTAGAATCTCTTTGGGTACGTTAAAACATACCCATGGCCATGCCCCATATCAGACATACTAAATCAGAAATTTCTGAAGGTCAAAAGTTCTCCAGGTGATTCTGGTGCCCAGTGATAGTATGGCTGTTCTTAAGGTCTGATTCACAGTCCAGCAGCATGGCATCACCGGAGAACTTGTTAGATCAGGTGAGATAAAGCACGTTCAGGGTGGTAGGTTGTAGACCCGAGAACCTGTCATAAATGCAAATTCTCCAGCCCACCCCAGACCTACTGAATCAGACATTCTTGAGGTGGGGCCCAGAAATTCACATTTTAATAAGCCCTCCAGGTGATGCACGCCGAGGTTTGCGAATGGCTGCTCTAGCAAAGGCGTCCAATAAGCCATCCCTGAATTGGACCATAAAGGCATTCCCTTCATCCTGAGTTACCGGCCCCTCGGTTTGCATAGCCCTCATTACTTCCCAGGATAAATGCAGTTGCTAAGGCCATGGCTTTGGAATCTGATTCTCTGTCTTCCCCCTATTTCTTTCCCACAGGAATCAATTAATAACAAACCCTATAACTCACAGGACTTTTCTTCAGGTTGGCCAGTCCCCTGGAGAAGGAAATTTGCAGAGACACAGCCTCCTGCTTATTCTGCAGCTGGAAGCTTTGGGCACATTTAGTTGTAAAAGCCCCTTTACTGACTGAATTCTGCATGCTTAAGACTCTTCTGTCTTCCTGCTGACCTCCCCTTCCAGTTAGTTACCTCCTGTTGACTTCGCAAGCCTTTTTTTATTTGGCACAATGTAACAGGCACCAATCTTCACCTCTTTGCCTCTCATGAAGCTAATTCCTACCCAGCATAACAATCCAAAACTTGATAACATTTCTCATATAGAAATGTTATCTTCACTTCAAATTTGATACATACATTAACTATGCTGCCTCATTAAAACGACTGAAACTCTTAGTTCAAATGTTTTCCTCCCTTCCCTAGCACAGTGAACTGAATAGAGCCACCACCACCTGGTATTCAAGCCGAACTATGAGAATCATGCCAGACTCCTCTCTCTCCTTCATCGTCACATCCAATCAATCACCACATCATGATTGCTCTACTCCCTCAATATCACTTGGAGCTCTCCAGCTCTGATTGCTACAGGCATTCCTTGGCTTGGAGATGCATCACTTCAGTCTCTGCCTCCGTCTTCTTGTGGCATTCTCCCTGTGTGTGTCTGTGTCTCACGTGGCCATCCTCTTAAAAGGACACCAGTCATATTGGATTTTGGCACCCCCTACTCCAGGCTGACCTCATCTTAACTAATTACACCTGCAAAGACCCTATTTCCAAATAAGGTAACATTTTGAAGTACTAGGGGTTAGAATTTCAACATATCTTTTTGGGGGGACAAAATTCAACTCATGTTGCCAGCTGTAATAATCATCTGCTTACTTGTTTCTTTCCTTAAGCTGTAGGTCCTGAAGGAGAGTTACCATATCTTATTTGACTTCATTTCCTTTGTGCTTCCTTTTTTTTTTTTTTTTTTTTTTTTTTTTTTGAGACAGAGTCTCCTTCTGTCACCCAGGCTGGAGTTGAGTGGTGCAATCTTGGCTCACTGCAGTCTCTGCCTCCTGAGTTCAAGTGATTCTCCTGCCTCAGCCTCCCTAGTAGCTGGGATTACAGGCACCTGGTACCACGCCCAGCTAATTTTTGTATTTTTAGTAGAAATGGGGTTTCACCATGTTGGCCAGGCTGGTCTCAAACTCCTGAGCTCAGGTGATCCACCCACCACAGCCTCCCAAAGTGCTGAGATTACAGATGTGAGCCAGCGTTCCCAGCCTATTTCCTTGGTGCTTACTGTGGTATCTGGCGCATAATAAACCCTCAGTAATTGTTTGCTGATTGAATGAAAGGAGAAGCATACATGTTAATTACCCTTCTAACAGATTTCTCAGTTTTTCAATATCTTCAAATTCTTCTTTATTTTAGGTAGTTACCAAGGCTGTCATGTTCCTAAAAGCATCCCACCTTTTAGCATTTGAACCTGAAGTTTCCTAGTCTCTCAGCTTCTCCTTGCCCCATTCCATCCCACCCAAAACTCCTCTCTTTGATCTTATTTCCCAGTGTCATCAAGTCCATTGGCACATTTCTGGCTTCATTTCCTCCCCACTCAACCTAGATCTCACCTCGAAATCCCTGTCCCTTTTATTTTCTGCCACCCTGCCTGGCCCAACCTCAGCCTTGCATTGGTTTTCTGTGTGTGTCTCTGCTGCTCTGGAGCTTCCTAGAGTTTGGGAGAGTCTCATAGAAACGGGCTGTGGGTAGGCATTCTGTAAAACCAGCCATGGACTCCAGCAGCATCGAACTCTTCTTACTCATTTCTTGTCATGTGCCAAAAACCTGTCCACTGTCCTCAGGCCTCAGCTCTTTCCCAGACCCTCCCTGTCAGCCTCAAACCTCAGATCTAACTTAGTGAAATGGGAACCTGGCTCCCTCACCTTCCTGTCATCTTACTCCCTGTCACCTCTCCTCTTGTTCACCCCCTCTCACTCCTTTCTTTGAAGTGGATGTGTTCTCATGTCACAGCTAAATTCTCCACCCTAAATTGTTGTTTCAACTCCTCAATTTCTCCAATCTTTGCCCCCCAGTCAGCCACTTCTTGCTTTTATGGTCATACCTACACATCCTCTATCCCTTATTCAAATGTCAAGTGATCCCTTGACCCTTTAACGCTCCACATGGTTTTTCTCAGTTATTTTCACTGCCTGTACTTCCTAAGAAAAATACATACACTTATTGTCTTTAATTTTGTCACCAGTTAATTTCTTAAAGATTGTTGATGCTGGTGTTATAATTATTACCTTGAAAGTTTAGACTCAATTTGGCAATCTCTCCCTCTCTTCCTCTTCCTCTTTTCATCTTTCTTACACACACAAACTCTCATACACACACATACAAACAGCACACTCATGGAAATTTTTCTAATATCACACTAATATCACACACTTCTGCTAACTTATAATCACCAGAATCATTCATTAAACAGTTTGGCTTTGTTTTTTTGTTTTGTTTTGTTTTGTTTTCCTGAGGGCTTTGCTGTGTTTTGAACTCTGCCGCATGCTGCTAATACAGTGACAAGAAGGCTCACAGGGTCCCTGCCCTCGAGGGACTAACGCTCTGGCAAGGGAGTCACTGAAACAAACAACTAAATAAATACATCACAAGTACTTACAGATTGTGAAAAATACAAGGGGGTAAAAAGACAGGGAGGAGTGGACTAACCTGAAATGGGGGAACCGGGGCCTCTCTGAGGCAGTGTGTTTAAGTTGACACTGAAAGATGAGAAAGGACCAACCAGGTCAGAAGGGAGGGAAAGAGCTTTCCAGGCCTAGGGCACCCTGGATGGCCCTGGAATGGGAGAAAGCCAGGCCCCTTCTAGGGACTGTCAGCCACCATTGCTCTTATCATCATAGATGATAGCCACCATTGCTACATCATCATAACAGGGAGAGAGAGGCAATGGGCAAGGTTGGTGTGGTAGGCAAGGGCTAGAGCATGCAGGAGTCTTGATGACCAGGGTGAGGATTTAAAGCATGGAAGTTCCATGATCCCCCTATAGCCCAGGGCTTAACCCTTACTTTCTCAGAGAGGCTCCCCTTCACCATACATGCTCCAGGACTGTTTCCCTTCTTCAGAGCACTTTCCTCAACGTGTGGTTATATATTCACGAACTCCCTTTAACAGACCCCCATCAGTTTTGCTTCTGTTCACCTCTGTATCCCCAGAGTACAGAGCTTGGCCATGCCAGCTGCTGAATGCATATTTTCTGAACAAATGAGTGAATATTTCCTCATTTCTCTTAGGTATGATTTTTGGCAATTCAGCCTCTCTGAGCCTCAGTGAGTTTATCTATACAATAGGAATATTAAGTGATCAGTCACTGGACTTGCTTTTACTGTCTTCTGTTTCTGTGTCCTTTATGTTGACTCCCAGTCTTTATCTTTGTACTTGCCTCTCTTCTAAATGTCAGCTCTGCTTAGCTAGCTACCTGCCGCACACCTTGCCAGACGTTCACAGATAACACTCAGCCTTTTCAGTTCAACCTTATCATTTCTTGCCCCACTAGACCCTCCCCTTACCCCCACACACATAAAATCATCCTCTGGAACTACTTGTTTCTATTCATGGCAAAATCATTCTCCTAGTCCTTCTAGCTCAAAACTCTGAGGCCATCTTACACTATTTCCTCTTCCTCGACCACTGCTTAAAATATCTTCCAAGAAATTCTGCCTAAGAATTGCCCTTCTCTTCCAAATCCACGTCTTCCCACTGAATTCAGATCCTAAGTACTCATTTTACCTTGATTGCAAAAGGCTTCTCTACTGGTTCCTCTCCCTCTGGGTTTCTCTTTCCCATTTATCTTGCTTTCACAGAAGCAAAATCTTGGTGCTATCTTCCTGTATTCAAAGCCCATCAGTGGCTCCCCATTCGCTACCCAAGTATAGATTTGCTTTCAGGTACCATCATGTTATGGCTTTAATTTATTTTTTCCATCCCTGTGTATCCCACATTTCAGATGAACTGGTACCTTTGCTGTTTGTAATGTTCCATCACATCCACCCACCTCCATGCCTTTGGTCATACTATTATTTCTGCAGCAAACCTCCCTTCCTTCTGCACCTTCAATGCCTAGACTCAGTGCATCCTTCGAAGCTTAAAGCTTATCTAAAATAGCTCTTCCTGACTGAGCCTTTTCCATGACCCTTGAACAGGATGTGATTTCTTCTTCCTCTGAACCCACTCACTCCCATTTCACTTGCGATCTCTTCCACCCTGCCTGGAAATGAGGATGTCACCCCAAGTCATTAGCCTTCAGCCAGTGCAGCCCAGTGACTCTCCTTAGTTCTTCTGCAGGAGTGGGTACTGATAACTCACAGACGTCTTTGCCAGGGTTCTGGTGTCTGAGAGCTCTGGGCTTGAGCCCTGGCTCTGCTGCTTGTTAGCTATGAGACTTTGGCTTATGTTATTTAATTTCTCTAGGCCTCACTTTCCCCACCTGTTAAATAAGACTAATATAACAGCTGTGCCTCAGAGGGTCTTATGAGAATTAAGTGAAAAAAAGTACTTGGCTCACTGACTAGTATAAATGCATAAAAAGTAATAGCTTTTACTTGTTCAATCATCAAAATTGACAAAATAAATGCCATAGTTTCTCTACTTGCCATCCTTGTTTCATCGGCTCCTGATCCAGGACAAGGACCCGGCCTTTTATCTGTGTAGCCCAGTGCTCTCCATAGCACCTGTCTCATCAGAGGTGAGTGATAAACACTTGAGGAATGAATCAGTGCGTTAATGACATTCTTCATAGCAGAAAATGTGTATTAATCATTTCTGTGTCCCTTGACTGTATTTAGCCAAATGTTTTTTTATATGGAAACTGGATAATATTTTTTAAGTAAACAGATAAATGAAGAAATGAATGAGTGATTGAATTAATAGTGAAACTTGCTAAATATATGTTGAATTTAAACAGATTAGTAGATAGAAAAAGACTTTGGGAAAAGGATAAAAGCTCTATACTAAATATAGTTCCTTAATGGATATTTTATTCTTCCCCGGTTTCCTTATTTTGTCAATTTTTCCTGACATAAAATCACAGAAATGTAGGAAGCTATGTTTTCTATTGTACATCCTGTCCCTTATTATTCACTGTCTCTTGTGCTAGTACTGTTCATTCTCCTACCTTGTCACTGGAATTTAATGTGAGCGTCTGTGGTGGAGGAGGAGGCCCCAGGTTTGCACCGTACTTAGTACAGGGATGTAACATTCAGTCGTGAATATGTGTTAAACTGTTTTTCTTGTACAGGGATGGATTTGCACAGGTCCATTGCCAAGCTCTTGTCCTGTTCATTTGTGAGCAAAGATGGGTGTCCGGGGACACATGGCAGACTGTGCCCATTGACGGGAGTAAGCGAGCTGAACAAGCTTTCAGGACCACTGAACTTGAGACCTTGGCTATATGAGCCCAGGGTAAAAGTCAACTGAGCCTTGAGATGCAGAACCAGAGAGAAGTGGAGGGAGGAAGACAGTAGTTACTATTATCACCATTTTACAGAAAAAGGAAACTGAAGCTTGGAAAGGTCAAATATCTTTAGCTGTATCAGTTGCATGAAGTTAGCAAGAGACTTGAATCCAGAACTTGGACTTGAATGGAGATCTATCTGACTTCAGAGCTAACCCACAAAACCCCAGCCATGGTGAGACTGTCTTGGGGTGATTTGTATGGGAGACTGCAGGGTCAGTGTTGGTCAGCGACGGACCCTGCTCTCAGCATGCTCTTTCTGCCTGACTGCTTTCAGTGTCTGCAGCAGCTGCTAGCAGGGTGAGAGAGGAGGAAGAGAGCAGTCGTGAGTCTCACCAGCCATCTGACTCCCTACCCACAAAGAAAATGCTGCAGCTGTGACATGTGTGTTTGTCAGTGTGTGTCACATGTGCACGACCACATGTGTGTATGTGTGCATAGGTGGGGGCATCTGTACCTGTAGATGCATTTCTGAATGTAGGAAAATCTCAATGCTGCATAGTACTGTTTTCATGGAACTGTTGATCCTCAGAAATAGAAATGATTGACAGTTTTTCAAAAATGAATATGCATCTCATATAATTGTAATGAGATTTGGGATATCTTAATTCATCAATAAAGGGGACAGGAAGGAACTCAATTTGCTTCACCTCTCATTATCCAGAAATTTAAAAAATGGGTTCCAGTGAATTCTTAGGCTGGATTGCAATTTCTGTTTCTATGGCAATTATATTATACAGAATGCCAAACTCATCTATAAAGATCAGCTAAGGTGTGAATGTATACATGTTAGGTCAGCAATTCCCAACCTATTGTGTGCTTTAGAATCATCCACCTAATATTTTAAAAATACTGATGTTTGACCCAACCCTAGATTGGTGAAATGAGAGCCATCAAAATTTGAGGACCAGTTTACCCATATGTTGGGTGAATCTGATGTACCAAAGTTTGAGAACAATTCTGCTTATGAGAGATGCCATGGTAAATGAGATTCAGTAGCTATTCTAATGAGAGAATATTTATAAAGGAAGATAAGTAAGTGACTCTAATACAACACTGTGTATGCTAATACATGCCCCATGAAAACACAGGCAAGGGGACAGGTAATTCTTTTTATGCACTACAGATAACTTCTGCTCCACCCACTACTTTATACCCGGAGGCCAGTGATGGACAAGCTAAGCTGATGCCCAACCAACAGCCCTGTATGTAGACTCAATGCTGCCTTTGTATATTTTCTCCAACAGCTTTATGCCCATGATGGGGAGAAGAGCAGAGCAAGGTGTGGGAGAAATCCCAGGATAGTGCTCCGTGACAATCCTCCCCTCTGCCCCTTACTAGCAGTGTGACCTTGGGCTACTAATGTGACCTTGCTGAACCCTTGTTCACCCTTGCCACTTGGGGATAATAACACAGCTGTAGAGTTCTCTAAGTAGCTGTGAAATGACACATGGACAGCACCAAGTAGAGTACCTGCCTGGCTTGTGGAAATGCACAATAAATGGCAGCTGCTATTACCAGCTTTTTCTGACCCACTCAAGATTTCTTCCCTTTGCCTTATACAATTCTTGATCCCAAAATATACAGGGAAACTACAGTTCTCTGGGCTAAGCTTCTCCCATGTGGGGACAGATGAACTCTGCCTCTGCCTTCTATGATGACCCTTAAATCAAAGGAGCAGCTAGCCCTTCTCCCTCTAAGACAGGTGCTGGGAGTCAAGGTATGGATGCCTCCTGAATAACTGGGGCCTATGACAGTGCCCCTCACTTTCTTATTCTCTGACTTGCTCTTTGTTGGCTAAAAGGCCGAGTGTGATGACAAAAAGTTCAAGTGTGAACACTACATTTATGTTTACATGTGTGTATATGTGTATTTGTCTTTATTGCCATGTTTTGGGGCAAGGTTGTACCCTTGAGTTTCCAAATCTAGAAGAAAAGGTACAACATTTTGTTCACTATTACCAGTTTCAAAATCATTTGATATATCTATAAAATTTCTTTTCAGGCTGGGTGCGGTGGCTCACACCTGTAATCCCAGCACTTTGGGAGGCCAAGGCAGGCGGATCACAAGGTCAGGAGTTCGAGACCAACCTGGCCAATATGGTGAAACCCTGTCTCTACTAAAAAGTACAAAAATTAGCCGGGCCTGGTGGAGGGCACCTGTAATCCCAGCTACTTGGGAGGCTGAGGCAGGAGAATCGCTTGAACCCGGGAGGCGGAGGTTGTAGTGAGTCAAGATCATGACACTGCAGTCCAGCCTGGGCAACAGAGCGAGACTCCATCTCAAAAAAAAAAAAAAAATTCTTTTCAACATTTAGAATCAAAATTCCTATTAATGTGTGTATAATAACAGTTAATATTTATTAAAAATTGACTGCATCCCAAGGTTATTGAAAGTTATTTGCACATATTAAAAAAGTATTCAACCCTATGCAGTTGATGAGGTAGATAATATTATTATCCCTAATTTATAGTTGAGAAAATTGAGCCACAGAAGGAAGGGATCAAGTCAGTTTTTTATTGTTCTATCTTTAAATGATATAATTTATATAAAGCACCTGTGTGCACATATACATAAAATATAGAATGGAAGTTACCCAAAATAATGATTAAAAATTAATAACCAAAGATTATCAAGAATTTGAAATTTATTTATACACAGTGTTCAACAATATCATGTTTTTGTGGCATATACTGTACTTCAGGATTCCCATTTTACATGTGAAGAAGTTGAGGATCTGTGGTGCTCTTATTTGCCTGAGGACATAGGAGCAAAGGGGAGTTTGCACTGGTAACTTCCATGGAGGGCCCTTCTTATATCCCATTGCCTATGAAATGCCAGGAGTGGGCTGGGATGGCAGCACTCTAGTCAGGAGTGGAAACTGTTCATGCCTAATTACTGGAAGGAGGCCTGAATAATAGGCATGGACAGGCAGGCAGGTGGATGTGGTGGTGAAAGCTTTGCATCTTGATTACCTCTGTTTTCTCAGTTATTGAGGAAGCACATCATGTGCTGAGGGAGAAGATTGGGGAGGAGGTGTCAGAGGTTTGAGAGAAAGAAGGTATGAAAAGGTGATCTGGAGAAAGGGAGAGTGAATGAACGAGGAAAATGTGGTTTGATCACTGGGCAGTATTCAAGAGCCCACTTGAGGTTAGCGGTCAGGGATTTTAAATGAAAGTAATCAGTGTGGTGGCCAACTGCATTCATCTGTGCAAACGCAGAAATGGAGCCACAGGGTCATTGAGTTTAACCAGTGTTGGAGTGTTTCAGACAAGTATGATGAAGTGATAGAGGAGCGTGGGAGTTGAGGTTACATGAAAGGGAATGATTACAATAATGAATGACATAATTTAATGTGAAGAAAGAAGGAAGAACATACATGAGGTGGGTGAAGGTCGGGAAAACAGTGGTAGAATGAATAAATTCTAAGCATCCAGGAGGTAGAAAGTTGTTGTGGCATTAGAAACAATAAGTTGGGAAAGTAGGAGATGATGCTTAGATATTGGGATTCTTGAAATTGAGACCAGGGAGGGGTTGCAGATATTGGTTACCTAGGACATGACCATGGGAAAAGGAGGGTAGAGATAGGATCATTAGAGGAGAAAGGTCAAAGAGCTGAGTGACTTGATCTTGGTGAATATTTAAGTTACCAAAAATTATGGAGAAGTGTTGGGAGAGGACAGTGATCCAGGATCTGAAATGAGGAGGGAAGATGGGGGCAGAGCAGTATAGGTATGACTGTAGCAAGGAGGGAAGTGGATAGGGCACTCTCATGGCATGAATTAATGAACTTATCCAAGGTCACAGAGATAGTAAGTGATAGAGCCAGGTTTTAAACCTACTCAGTCTGGCTCCTGCACTTACACGAACTACTCTTCTAATTACTGACAAGTGTGTTATTTTTCTGTATAAAAAATTATAAATAAGTTTGTTTTCTACTAATAGACATTAAATAGTACAGTCATATCAATATTTAATTTTTCTTTGCATGAGATTTATATGGTAAACAATAATATGAGTTTGAGGCCAAGCATGGTGGCTCACAGCTGTAATCCCAGCACTTTGGAGAGCACAGGCAGGAGGATTGCTTGAGTCTAGGAATTAGAGGCTACAGTGAACTATAATTGCACCAGTGCATTTTGGCATGGGTGACAGAGTGAGATCCTGTCTCTAAAAAAATTAAAAATTAAAAAAAAGTAGTAGTTCATTTAGCAACTGTAGGCACTCTTCTATCACCATTTTATTTTATTCATTGAAACACTTCCACACTGGTTAAACTCAACAACCCTGTGGCTCCATATCTGTGTTTGCACAAATGACTGCAGCTGGCCACCACACTGATCGGTCTCATTTAATATCCCTGACCGCTAACCTCATGTGGGCTCTGAATACTGCTGGCTGATCAACATGTAATAACTCGAGGCACCATTTTATCTGCATTTTACAGATGTAAGTACAGTCATGTACCACATAATGACATTTTAGTCAACAATGGACCACATGTACAACAGTGTTCCCATGAAATTGTAAAACTATATTTTTACTGTACCTTTTCTATGTTTAGATGATAAATATTTACCATTGTATTATAATTACCTATAGTATTCAGTATAGTAACATATTGTACAAGTTCATAGCCTAGGAGCAATAGGTTATACTATATAGCCTAGGTGTCTAGTAGGCTATACTATCTAGGTTTGTGTAAATGTGCTATAATTACACAATGACAAAATCACTTAATGATGCATTTCTCAGAATGTATCCTCATCATTGAGCAACTCATGATTGTACTGAGGTTAGGGAAATTAAAGGACTTATCTGAGGTCATATAATTCAATGATTGCCTCATCCAGGGCTTAAATTCAGCTCTGTCTAACCCTCAACCTCATTTGCAACACAGTGGAGCTCTTTCTTGAGCACCTGCTATGTAATGATACTACTGTGCGCACTGTGGGTATAGTAGTCATGATGTCAAGGTCCTTTATATCTGGTGAGCAGAAAATAGTCACTATATATAAAGGAAAGTGCAGGGTGCCATGAGAGAATATAACAAGGAAATATAACCTAGTCTAGGAGTGCCAGGGAAGGCCTATTTTAGGAAGTCATTTTTAAGTTAGACTTTAAGAATAGTATAAGTTGTCCAAGTAAATAGCAGTTGAGGGACAGGGGATATGTCGGGGGTGGTATTCCAGGTAGAGAAACAACATCTGCAAAGGCCTCAAGGCCCTATAGCATCCTTTGTAAACTTTAGGCATCATTATTCATCATTATTCTTACTAACTTCTGATAAAGCCACAGGTTTACCAGATAATCTAGGGATTGGTCATTCCAAGTACTTATTTTTCCCAGAACTAGTAATGATTGTGAAGATAGTGACATGTAATAATCTCCCCATCTTATCATTAGGATAAATTGAGGCATGTGATGGTTCAGCCAATTGCATAGCAGAAAAATTCATTTTTGCCATTTTTCTCTTCACCCTTCTCCTGTATATATTGCAAACTGCCTTTCTCCAGAAGCACTTTTAAAATGAGCTTCTATTCTCTCTGTTTCACTACACCCTTCTTGCAATTTATTTACCTAGTTTAGAAAAGGAATATTTGTTTAAATGTTCTCACATTACATATAAATATAATATCCCATACTGGGACCCCGAAGTGCTGTGAGTAGCTGGTCAGAAACTTTGGAAACCATGCTTCTACCAGAAACTCAGCTGAATGTGGGCCAGAAGCAGGCTTGAAAGGATGTGCTTTCATTTAACTGTGGACAAATATTTCCATTTGTAAAATGTTCCTTTTATGACAGGTAGAATAATATGTAAGTCCGGAAAAAGCTCATAGTTTCTTAAAGCCCTTAATGAAATGCCCTACTCATCACTGCTTCTGAATGAAATATCCCATCTATGCTGGACTATATCAAAGAGAATACACACACACACACACACACACACACACACCCATACCCACATTCATATATACACAGATACATATATACATACATATATTCTCTCTCACTCTGCTTATCTCCCTACTTTCCTTCTTTCTTGCTTTCTTTTATCTATCTATCTGTCTGTCTGTCTGTCTATCTATCTATCTATCTACCTACCTACCTACCTACCTACCTACCTACCTATCTCTATTTCTTCTCCCTTTCCCTGGATGGCAAGTCTTATACAAGGAATCCTATCACCAGACATGCTGGCCAACAGCTTCTGAGCTCTGTTTCCAAGTGCCACAGTTAGGTGGAAAGCTGGGACTAGCACTTAATCAAAAAGTGAATTTAAAGGACCCTTGTTAAGGCAAGAGTAGTCCCTTGCTGCACTGAGGTAGCCCATATGAAGGGAGCATCCAGTCAGGCTGGTCACGCAGGGTCTTTACTCACTCACTAGGTTACAGAGTGAAAGAAATGCCCAAGCTATCAGCATGAAGGACAAGCATCAAGTCAAATCAAGGCCACAGCCAACCTCTGGCCCAACACATCACCTAGACTAAGGGAAAAATCCCTGCAAAAGTGGATATGTCCTAAAGGGGAGGAGAGAGAATTGGGAGAGAAACCAAAAGCTTGAAAATTGCCAGTGCTTAGAGAAGACTCTGAATAGACTGTGGGTATTGTGTGAGACAGGAGGAAGAAAGAAAAGGCAAATAAAAGATTACCACTAGTTCTCAGCATACGCGTTTCCATGTGTGCCTGCTGGCTGCTGTGCATCCGTTACAATGGGCTCCTCTGTGGCACAGGCTATGTTCCTGCATGGGCATGGGTCTGCGGTGCTTCCTGTGATGTGCCTGAATGGAAGCCACCTGTAGCTGCCCACATGGGACGACAATCTTCAGGGTCTTTATTTGTTAGAATGAAGATCTAAACAAACAAACAAACAAACAAAAATGCTCTATTCTGACTAAAAAGATGTGAGTGGTTTGCCCTGCATTGAGAGAATATTGGAGACCACATATCAAAGTGGATACAAGAGACTGAAAGTTCCTTCCGATGGCAGGGTTCAACCTCCTGCCCCACATCTGACCTGACACCATCCATGGGCTCCTCGATGGCCTAGTGCCCTTTCCACAAAATGAATATTGGCACAGTCTGCTCAATAATGCTGCTCACTTCTAATTGAGGCAACACTCTTACCATTACAAGCAGACAGAAGCTGAGGCTTGCCACTCACTCTCCTTTCTAGCTCCAGCCCAGAAAACCAGATAGGAGTTGCTGTCTCTTTAGAAGCCTCTGCTTACCCGGCCGAGAGATTGGTCCAGGTTGCTCATCTGACTCAAAATATGTCAGGCAGTTCTCCCACAGATTATTTTTTTTCCTAATGAGGAGACAAAGTGTTTCCTCTGTGGCCCATACGGCTAGGGGCCATCTCCACCATGTGTCTTAGCTGTTTGGAATGAAGTCCATAGTCTGAGAAACAGAGCAAAGGGAGGCGAGAGACACATAGAAGGGCCTTTAGACCCTGCTTACAGGCATCTCAGAGGCAACTTCCATTTAAACCTGGGTACAAGATTTCATGATAGGCTTTTTTTGGCGGGGAGGCGGGGGGGTTTCTTACTTTCACTTGCACTCAAAAAGCCCAAATACAGAGGCCTTTCCTCTTTCAGTGGGTCTCAAGTAAGTCCGTTTCAAAGCGTTATGAGTGCTTTTACGTCCAGCTCTTCATTACTTTGCCCCGCCTTTTCCTGTATGGCCATCTATGGCTTTCTACCTGTGTGCACCAAGCTCCCCTGCCAGACCCTCCACTGTCATTCCATGCACTGCCAACACCAGCCTTCCCTGCACCCAGGATGGCAACTCTACCACCAGCCATTACCACTTAGCTTATTTCCTAAAAAGCCCTTCCTCTTCCCTTTTAACATTCTCAGTGGTTTGTCTGGGTCTATATGTGTTTCTTCACAAAGACCTTAGATTCCTTTGAGGGCAGGAATCTCTTTATCCCAATTCCTGTTGCCTAATATCACAGTTCACACACAATAGGCCTCCACAAATATTTGCTAAATAAATCAAGTAAGATTTCTCATCTCTCTGACAGATCATTCCGGACTAGAGGGAAGAAATTAGGTAAATTCCCCTTTATTCCTTTGCTGGTGCAATTTTGCTACTCGCTGACTTCTCTTGCCATTTCACAATATGCACTTCCCTGCTCTTTGTGTTTAATGTCAATGCTGTAGAGTGAGTTGCCCAGTGAAGTGACCACTGGGTGGGAAGTGGGAGGTGGGAGGTGGGGTGTCGGGGCTTTGGCCTTTCCATACTCATGTTGCCTCCTCTCCAGCCTATGTGAAGACATCTATAATCTGAGTTAAAGCCTGGCGTTGGCATTGCATTTGCACCTTAGGGCAAGACACATCTTCCTCTATTGAAATTTGGGAAACACTCCTTATAGTATTTATATTTGATGCATGTAATTGATCAATTTAACTTATTTAACAAATGATTCTATGTGTGGCACTCACTAAATGCCACGCACTGTTCTAGGCACTTTAATTACATTAGCTAGTTCCTCCTCATAACAACTTTGTCAAATAAATACAGTTATTACCATCTGCCTCATTTTACAGATGAGGATATGGGGTTACAGAATGATGAAGGAACTTGCCCAAAGTCACACAGTGATTGGTGGCTAAGCTGGCATTTGAAATAGGCAGGCTAACTCCAGAATCCATGTCCTGAAACCACTGTGCCCTGCTGCCTTTAAATGTGATCAGGATGGGGTCTACACTACACTCCTGCCTCTAAATGTGATCAGGATGGGGTCTACACTACACTCCTGCCTCTAAATGTGATCAGGGTGGGGTCTACACTGCACTCCTGCCTCTAAATGTGATCAGGGTGGGGTCTACGCTGCACTCCTCTACATCCTTCCAATTTGAGTTGATTTTCTTAATTTTCAGGCCCCTCAAGAGCAGGAGGTCTCCTTGACCTAAACTACTTAGCAACAGTGGATGTGTGCTTAATAAATATGTCCAAGCTCATTGCTTCCTTAACTTTGGCTTTGGCTTGAATACAGATTTATTTGTGTCATTCTGCATAGCTAATTGTTCACACAGTATTTAATGCCAGTCATTTGGCTCCTGAAAATATATTTTCAAACAACCTAGAAACTATGCCAACAATTAACTATAATTACACATTGTATCAGTTTTGAGTGCTAGAAATGGCTGGAAGGCAAAATGTATGTTATTTAAAATGTTAAACTGACAGTAAATAAAATATGATCCTACCCAAAATAGAGATAAATAAAATTGCACGTCCCTCTTTTTTTACTGCCCTTTCTAGGTGTCTGGGATTATAGGGAATATTTTTTTCTCATGATTTCTAGACTTTTTCTTGAATTAACAGATATTTTTAGCTGTGCATAAACCACCTTTTTCTGTTCAGCAAAAAAGAATCAGATTCAAACCCTACTCTGTGGGTTCACCTACAATGATGAACAAACATAAAAAACACCTGGGGAGGGGCCTTTTATTTGATGCAAGAGTTATTCACAGTACATTGTTTGGATACTTTATGGAGCCAATTCTTGCCTCTAGGTATTTCCAAATTAAATCCCAGGAATAATGCATTTATGAATAGTAAGCTTAAATAAGGAACACATTCATCCTAGCCACTTCCTTATATAGTTCCAATGGCTTTCCCTAGCAACAAATAAAGACTCTGGGTAATTAATTTGTTAGCTTGTTGGGTTAAGTTGGTGATTTCCAACACTATCAATATTTTGTAACAAATATTTTTAACCCCTTTTATTATGTGTAAATAAAATTTATAAATAATAAAACCTGTATCTACAAAATTTTAACAAATATAGTGTCTCAATATTAATTAAGGGAGAAATAAGAAAAATTTATAATGATATAACTGTTAATATTTAATAATTATATCTTCCTATGCTAATTACAATAAATATTTTAATGCTCCATTACAATAAAATAAATAATAAATTTTATAGACATTTGTACCTAGTACAGATTCACCATAATATAATATATAATATAATATGCAATACTGTATTATGATATGCGTGAGAGCAATACAGACTGATACACATGTGCTGTATTGGTGATTCAAAGTGATTATACAATGTGTAACCTCCGCTCAAATTATAAAGTAGTTATGGACCTAGAAAATTCACTGTGTATTGAAACTGTACTTTGTGCTTATGTGTCAATGGAATTAGCATCTATGCTCAAACCATTAGAAGCAGGTTTTCAAAACTTAAATAAATGTCTTGCATGACATTCAAAAGCTTGTAGGACATGGGGAAATTTTTGTTCTGCAGAACTGTCCTGAGCAATGCACTATTTTAGCCATCCTAGCCCCACCTTCTAAAGGGCAATAATGACCTTCAGTCATTGTGTCATTGAAGAACAACTGCCATACATTTATCAAAATGCCCTCTATGGGGTGATACCCTCTGCATTGAAAACCACTAGATTAACTCCTAGTATTAGAATTAGTCCCAAATAATAATTATAATTTATTCTCCTGACTTTTTGTAGTCCTTGAAAACAAAAGGAATGTCTACAGTAAAATTGTCAATAATTGGGTTCATTATGAGACTGTAAGTTGCACAAGTGTAAGGGCTAAATCCACCTAGTGTGTGCAATAGCTCAGTACTCACAAGATCTGGTCTTTGCTAAGTCTTGCTTTAATAATTAAATAATGGGCTTAGAGATCTGGGTTAGTGAAAAGATATACACTATTTAAAAGAAATAGTCTTGTTACTTTCTAATACATGTGACAATACCTAGATGTTCACTAGAAGGAATTACAGTTAAGAAATATTTGCAAACACGATTTCAATTGTTTCTGTTTGAGTGAGTGACATTAAAACGTTTGAAGATGTCTGAAACCTATCAAAGACCCAGAATCCTCTTGTCATTTTGAATAAGAAAAGAAAACATGTTGAATATCCTATATGAGCTGCAGTCTTTGGCCTAAGAGGTCTGCTTAATCTTCACAATGGTCTGTTAGGTAGCTATCATTTATTGACCCTATAGGAAATTAGGACTGGCAAGCAAATTATCGGTCCATGGTCAGACAGTTGATTCAAATGTGAGAATGAGGTTTGAATCCAGAACTGTCTGATTCCCAAGAAATCACGCTGCTCTTCTTAAGGGAGCCCAAGCTAGGTTTCTGTGAATCTATATCTAAAGGACCATGAATTATGAATATGTGACATCTATCTTCATATAGTTTTACTCTATATGTAGTTCCAATTGTCATGGCTATTAAATTCCATTTTCCTAGTAGTTCAGTGATTTTTACATTTATCGTGTTCTTCGTCAGGTCCCAGGATTCAAGGTCATGTGTGAGCTCATATTAGTGAGCTTCTTGAGGGCAGAGGCTATGCCCTGGATGGCTGGGTGTCTACCACCTAGCACTGTGCCTGATACGAAGTGGGTGTTCAGTGAGTATTTGTTGAGTTGAATTTAATTGAATGATGTTTCTTCTTTTAGGCCATGGCCTTACACAATATTTCAGCGAGGCTTTGACCTGGTTTTGGGAGAGCAGCCCTCTGATAAAATATTTAGGTAAGTGATTGTCTAGGGACTTGCTTATGTACGTCTGCAAACCCTGTGTTCCGCTTCCCCCGAACTGACTTTCCTAGTTGGTAAAGTATAAAATAGGAAACACCTTGAGTTGTCACGACCACCTGCTAACAAAAGTGTTTGCCCCCAGTCATGCCCAGGGACAATATGGAGGACTTGGAGGTCAGACAGATTCTGTTTGGGCCCTGGCTTCCTTCTTTGCCAGCTCTGGGAACCTCACTAATTTACTCAACCTCTTGAAGCCACCAGACTCTGCATTTGTTAAATGGGGCTATATTACATGCCTGGCTGGGTTATTGTGAGGGATATATGAGATAATGCAGGGAAAGTCCCTGGCACAGAAACTGGCACAGAGTAGGCAATTAATGTCAGTTTCTGCCTCTCCATTTTGCATCTAATTTGCACCTTCCTCATAGAGTCTTAAGTTGTTCAAAATGAATCTCTCCCGCCCCTGCCTTCCCCTTTTCTAAACTCTACCTCATTATTATTTTCTTTTACCTACTACTTTGCTGATCAAATTGGATGCTTCTACTCCCTCCCAAATTTCTACCTACATACCTGGGAATAGCACGTATTAGAAAGGCCCACAGCAGAGGAATAATTTGAGTGCCAGCCAGGAAGGATTCAATTATCATAAAGTTTAATTCATATTAGGCCTTAGCTGAAACAGTTTATTTCCAAAATAAGATCTTACCATCCATTCATTTTGTCAATCTATCATTCACTTAACATACATTTGCTGAGTTCCTTCTAAGTGCTTGGCTTGACAGTATGGGCGTGAATACATGTCCCTCCTTGAGTAAGTCCTCTAGTAGAGGAAGTGAGTAGTCCTGCATAAGCGGCTGATGAATTCAGCTACTGCATGCCTTTTCTGGACAAATGGTGAGCAGCGTAGGACAAATGGAAGACTTGTATCCATACAGTTTGCTGAGTCTCACTTCTTCACTGCCACCTTTCCAAGCCCCTTCCTAGACCATCCCTGTCAGCCATTCCTGGCTTAGGTGTTAATTTTTGCTCCTGCATTTGCCTCCTAGAGCTCACTCTTTTGCAAAGCTTCTACTGCTCCTCCTGTAGCTCGGGGTGGACTCAGCTTAGCCATAGCAGTGTTCTATTAGGCGTGCTCCTACCTAGAGTGCAGATTCACAGAACCACTTCCTCAAAGGACTTTCCCTTGTCCTTTTCTCTCCTGAGTGTCTGTCCCAGGGAAGCTAATGGCGTTGGCTACAGGCCGCTTTTGAGGATTTGTGCTGCAAGAGATGTCAGCTCCATTCCTTGGACTGTGACATGGGCATTAAACTTTCCAACAAGGATTTATCATTCGGCTGACTTTTTCTCTTTTTCCTATTGCTGGTCTTCCAGGACTTCAAAGCGTGATAAAGATAAGGCAGATGAGGAGCCTAGTGGAATCTGGCTGATTGACATGGATAAGTTCCCCATTCCCTAAAAGTCAGAAACTAACAGTTTGAAAAACAAGGGCCTTAATAAAATTGCTATTCAAGCAAAACCTGCACAAAAACTGTTTCTATCCCCACAAGCACCATTTATGTTCTTTTCAAAGTTGCTGGCTGCCAACCGGATGTTTTATCCAAGCACTATAGTGGGGGCCAGTTGTGTGGTTTGACCCATGAGGTCAGATATCTCAGGAGCCAGTGGGTTAATCAATAAGTGATTAAGAATTTTTATCCCTAACATGGAAATAACTAGCCTCTCAAATGAAAGCAATGGGTCACAATCTGTTTATTTTAGGTACCAGGAACTTTAATAGAAACCACTCTGGCATCTGAGTAAACCACCTACCAACGACCACTCTAAAAAATTCTATGACCTGGTCAATGACTGTAATTGGCTACTTATTTGCTACTATGCTCACTCATGATTTAGTGTCCTGTTGAATTCCAAGCTCCTGAACATCTCTCTGGACTCTGAAATAGAATTTAAATTCCTCCATTTAAATCTTTTTACTATTGAATGCCAACATACAATTTCCTCTAAATGAGCCACTCTTCTTCTAGAGAACCTTTTGTTCTTAGTTGAATCTGTTTTCTAAGTGATCCAATATCTGCAATAAATTGAATATCTCCCACTCTGCTCATTTGCTCATACCCTTTCCTCTAGCAAGAATGCACATTTTTCTCGTAATATAAATGCTACCAGTTTTTATCGTCCAAATCAAGTCTCCACCAAACTCAGCATCTATTGAACACCTACTATTTCAAGGTACTGTTTCAGATGCTACACATATAACCAAACAAATATGACCAAGATAGTCTCTGACTTCAAGCATTTACAGTCTCATCCAAAAAGCAGTCTCCAACCCTGGCTGTCTATGAGAGTCCCCAATGTGCTTTAAAAATGACCGATGATCATACCCAGAGCAAACTAATTAATTCATAAGTTCTGGAAGGTGTGGCGAGGGCATGAGTGTTTTTTAAAAGCATCATGGTGATTCTAACCTGAAGCCAGGTTGAAGAATGTTGCTCTAAAATGTCTCCAATTCACTGTACCAATCCGCAATGACTTTACCCCTGCAAATGCCTATAATATACTGATTTTAATATGTATTTGTCAATTATTTTGTTTAATATTTATTTTTCAACTGCCTATTTTTCCCCAATGAAATGATGTTCTTCTTGAGGGAAGGAGTGGTGTCTTATATCACTTTAAATATTTAACATCCAACATACAATTTTGAACACAGCAGGCCTTCAATAGATATATGTAGATAATCATTTCAGGCATTTCCTAAAAACTTGAACCCAGAGTAAGGAAAGACCTTGATGTTCAACCTAACCTTGATAATCTGCAATCCCAAATAACTTGGGAAGGGCCAAAGCTAGACTCAAAGGATCTAAGAGGACCCTGAACCTACTGACTGAATCTTCCCACCAAACCCATTCCAGTGTCCAAGAAGTCCTTTCCACTGTGGCTAGGATCACTCCTTTCCACTAGACTGTGGGGGTAGGGATTGGTACAGACCAAATTGATCCCACAGAGACCTTCCCTCAAAGTGAGTGCCTGCATCCTTTGGAATAATTCCTTGTCCTGGAATAGCCTGCTCTGAGGAAGCGTGGAGATGCCAGGTCAAGAGCAATTGATCCGTTTCCTCACATTCCATTTAATGGCAAGCCATGGTGAGACCACAGCCTTGTTCTGTGAGAGCACTCTCTGGTGAGTGTTTGCCTCTGGACAGGAATTTCTAGCTCTAGTTGAACACAGGGCTGTGTGCAGGACTCAGTGCACAGCTGAGCCATCAACTGCACTGGTCAGCACCAGCTGTCTCCAGAGAAGGCCCGAGTTGGGAAAGCATTCTAGATGCTCACCCAGCTTCTCTTGGGTAGCTTTTTGAAGTTGTTCCTGCCAAATCTGCATGAATGAGGGACAGATGAGATTTTAGGACACAGCTTTTCTCTGACAGTTTGTTCTATATTTGGTTTTTGGAGTTACTCAGTAGATTTTGCAGATGAAAGAAAACTTTAGAATTCCATAGGCCTGAGCCAGCATGAACTAGAAAGCTGCTGGGATCCATACCTGAGAATCAGACCAATCCCAATTTTCCCATTTACAGAGGGTGACCTTGGAGAGGTTACTAGCCTTAAAAATTAGTTGATACATCGGTAAAATGGGGCCAGATGACCAGCTTCAGAGGACTGTTGTAAGGATAAATGAGGCCACGCTACAGAGCACCTGCCCCTTTGCAGTTCTCTGCAAAGGTTAGTCTCACCCAACACCTGACTTTGCTTCCCCTACAGGGTTTCACCTTGATCTTACCAGAGGCTGCTTTTCTTATTAACATGGTCCAGTGCAGTGTCTCAGGAGCTGCTCTGCACATAGGAGGTTTCTCACAATATCAAATTCATTTCCACCTTAACCTTTAAATCCGTTTAAACCCAGAGTTTAACCTATAGCCTGCTCTACATGGAGGATAATCTTCACCTTTGCTTCCACCTTTAAATTTGAACATTGAGATTATGTTCCCCAGAAACTTGTGCAAACTAAAGAACCTAATGAAATATCGTTATTTATCGGTCAATAAATATTTATTGAGTGACGTCTTTGGGGCAGAAATTGTGTGAGGCAGTGGGGATACAAAAATGACAAGAACTGTCCTCTGCCATCCAAGAGAGCACATTCTTCTGAGTGGTGATGGATACCTGAAGAGACAGGCACAACTCATCATTTCAGGAGCAACAAGGGGCTCTGAGTCAGGTGCACAGGCTCAGCCCCTTGTTCAGCCTGAGGGTAGAGGGTGAAGGCCCTGGGGAGCTTTCTGGAAGGGGTAGGATCTTACCTGAGTCTGCAAATGATTAGAAGTCAGGCAAAGAAGAGAGGGAAGAAAATCCAGAAAGAAGGACTATTAGGAGCAAAAGCAAAGAGGTGAGAAAATCGGGACAACTTTAGGAACTATGGTCAGGTCTCATTGTAAGGGCAGAGGGTGACCCAGGGTTTGGTGAAAAAAGAAGCAGAAGAAGCCATCAGCTATCAGGGATGACCTCTTTGGAGGCTGGGACTTTATTCTGTAGGTACAGGGTGCCATAAACAGTTTAAGTTGGTGGAAGATGTGATTTGCTTTTCTCTTAGAAATATTAATGTATTCAGAAGAGGAAGAGAAAACTGTGAGATGGATGGGCATGGAGCCTCGTCTTTCAAAAGAAAAATTAACCATCAGAAATGTATCAGAACTGCCAACGGCTTCCTAAAATCAGTTACATAAATTGTAAACCACAGGTCACAGATTTGTTGCTCTGCATCAATGCAGATATTGTAATTTTGAAATCAAAATAGAAAACAAAATTTTATTTCTATGTTCAATAAGCTGCCTCCTCCTTGGTACCATTCAAACTACTTGTAGACATTCTCTCTAAAATGGTATAATAGCGGAGGTGCCCCCACTCCAGCCTGCCTGTTATAATGATGTTTCTAACTCAAGGATGTCCATTATGAAATGCAAAGTGAAATTATACAAATTCTTGGAGGTTGTTTTCTTCAACCTACATTATCCTTAAGTCCCGGATTCCAGGTACCTTGAGGCAATCAGCCCTGAATGGGCTCCTTAATCTTACCAGATGAAGTGTGTAACTGTGTGTTTGTGTTTGTGAGTGTGTGTGTGTATGTGTGTGTGAGTGAAGGGGCTGTCATGCTTCCAATTTTGCTAACTGCTTCACAGAAGAATGAAGTGATGATCTTCTATTGTCCCCTAAGTAACAAGCTTTCCTCCCCTGGTGCAGGCACCTCCCTGCACAGACCTACTGCTTGATACTCCTGTGAGTGGGGAGAATTGAGTGACTCTTTCAGAGTCAGAAGCATCTCTGACATTTCAATGCTGCTTAATGCAGAGGTTCACCAACTGGTCAGAGAAGTAGGTGCCCAAGAGTCAGGGTGGAAATGGGAGAAAATCCCCCATATCCTGGCCACTTCCCTCCTACCAGTGGCTCTGCCTGGCCCCTGGAAATCCCCTGCGTTAAGCTGGCACATGTCCCACACCTCTCCAGCTGCTCTAGGGCCCAGGACTCTCTTTCAGGGTGTAGGCAGAAATCATGTGGCTTGGCTGCTCTCTAACTCAGGAGCCCTAGTCAATGGGTCTGCTCTGTGGCCAGCTTACTGGAGAGGGCTACATTTTTTTTTTTTAAATAAAAGATCTGAAGTCATCAATCTGGTTTCCTAGAATTTCAGGCAACCTGGGGAGGGGAGAGGGTTGTGTATGGGAAGAGAAAGGAGCAGGATTCTGAAATGGTGCTGTACGAGCAGCATGCTAATGGAGCCAGCGCTTGGTTCTGTTTAATTGTAAGCATCCTTCCATTGTTCCTCCCTGCACATTAAGTGGGGAGGGGATGCCAGACTGCCACAGCCTCCTCATATCCCATCCACACTGGCTTTCATCCCACAGACTATTTTTGACTATGAACACAGAGCATTTGAATGCCTTTGAAATGAAATGAATGAATAAATAAACAAATAATCTCTCATGGTTTTCTTAAGCTCTCCCTTGAAATGCCGATTGATTCTTTTATTCCTTTTAGTCCTTGTTGTAAGAATAAAAAAAAAATCTTCCCTGTATCCCAAGGGTTAGCACCTTTAGCCAATGGTGTGGGTAGGAGTGCAGAGAATAAATCTGGGCCTGTTTTGTTCATTTGTTCATCTGCTCTTCTCTCCTCCCTGGAGGCTCTTGGCTTCAGTCATTTCTGTTCCCATCACACAGAAGCTGTAAAGGGGTGCTTTCTTTCTTTATTTTCTTTGTTAGGGTTCCTCCAGTCACAGAGAGATGCCATTGCCACCACTGTGGGTGTGCAGCCATGGGATGGGGACGGTGGGAGGTTGGCATCTCTCTTCAATTAAAATGCTTCCAATTATATCTGACTCAAGACAGGGGAAGCCCAGCTTCAAATCCGAAGAAAGCTGGAACTTGCTTTTTATGACTTGATAAAAACTACTTCTAACAACTACTGAGTAGGCACCATAATCAGTTCTCCAGCTGCCTGGCCATGTGAGCAAGGGTTGGCCTCTCTGCCTCCTTAGAACTTAGTCATTGCACCCATAAAAAGGCAGTCTTTCTGAAAAGGACTACAAAGGGTGAGAAGAAAGCACTGGTAATGGAATGCTAGATCCCCCAGTGGTGAGTGGTTATGCCCCCAGTCATGACCACCTGGCACTGGGTGTCCCTGCAGATTCACCTACACTCTTGGGGAGGGCATGTGGTTGCCCCTCAGCAAGAGCTTTGTGATTCCACCAGCCGAACTGGCCATCAATCCATCAGCAAAGTGCAAGACGGACATGACTGTGATGGAGGATGCTGTGGAGGTCAGGTGAGTCTGGCTTCAGGACTGAGGCCTGCAATTGGCTTGGGAAGCAGAATGAGAAACTACCTGTAGGTTTTAGGTGCTGGGGAAGGAGTCCCAACAAGCTAAAAGGAAAAATTGGCAGGCAGCCTGCAAATTCCCCCTATGTTGTGCCAGGGTCTGCTTTTTATCTGGGTCAATATTGCACATCCCAAGGCTCATTCACTGGAAGAAGACATAAAATTAGAGTTTGTAAGCACTTCTCACATACACTAAGGACTGACAAGCAATAAAATGTTAATTTCCTTGCCTGAGTTTAGACCTCTTTCTTTGACCAGGCGTTACAGCCTTGGCTCATTTCCTAGATACGGAGAATGCCCATCGTTTGTTAGTTCAAGGCTTGGAGTATAGTTGATCTTCAATTTTTATAAGACAGAGTGAGACACAATTCAGTTGACTAGATAGGAGCATGGAATGTAATGCCACTTGTTGCATCTGGAATCTCCTTGACTCCTCCCTGCTTCCCACTCTTTCTCCCCACAGAGAGGAGCTGATGACTTCATCCTCCTTCGACAGCCTGGAGGTTCTCTTAGATTCCTTTGGGCCGGTGCGCGACTGCAGCAAAGATAACGGGGGCTGCAGTAAGAATTTCCGCTGTATTTCAGATCGCAAGCTGGACTCCACTGGTTGCGTGGTAGGTCTGCCCTGCAAGCTAGTAGTTTCTGTTTGAGGATGGGGAGGAAAGGCACGGGGGAAGACACAATACAGATACATAGGGAAAAATGTGCTGTGATCCCCAGTTGTAAACACCATTTAGTGTAAATTAGGGATTTTCTCTTGATAAGGATGAGAAGGTAATCATGAATCAGTTAGTCGAGAAGTTGTTATGGAGTACCTACTATGTGCACTATAACTATTCAAGAAAAAATTAGTTGATAAGAACTAAATAATTGCTTAATTGTATGACATTGATTCTAAATGTAATAGAAAATTTTAGGAGAAACCTACCTAAAGCTAGAGTGATGAAAGAAGTAAGTTATGCCAGGAATGGTAGTGAAAAAATAAAAATTAAAAAAAAAACTTTGTCCCCTCTGTGACCACAGCAATGAGCACCTGCTTCTTCAAAGCTGGGCTCCTAAAGTACTTCGTTATCAGCCCTATGGACTCTGTTTATGGTGGCTGACTCACACCTGTAATCCCAGTGCTTTGGGAGGCCGAGATGAGAGAGTCACTTGCAGCCAGGAGTTTGAGACCAGCCTGGGCAACATAGTGAGACCCTCGTCTCTACAAAAAAAAAATGGAATAAATTTGCTGGGCATGGCAGTGTATGCTGATAGTCTTACCTACTCTGGAGGCTGAGGCAGAAGGATTCCTTGAGCCCAGGAGTTCAAGGCTGCAATGAGCTATGATCTTGCCACTGCACTTCAACCTGGGCAACAGAGTGAGACCCTGTCTCTTAAAAAAAATGTGATACTATTAACTAGTAAGACAATTTGGGCTACAGTAGATTGAGCTATCTCCCACATCATGGATGTGAAGACTGAACTGCGCCATGCAGGGAAATGGAGGCAGGAGCAGATGAAGCCTTTAGCTGCTGGCTCCTTTGTGTGGGCCATTCTTATACTCATAGCACTATTGTCTGTTTCCATCCCTCCCTTCTTCGAAGGCAGAATGATGTAGTCCTCAAGAGAGGAGAGGGAATGGGTCAGGGGAGGCAGGGAGGAAAGCCATTCAGATTGACAGCAGAGGAGAGGAAGAGATGATTCACTGGTAGCTCTACTGGATTGGCGGTTGGAGCAGGAGCTTCCAGCTCTGGGGAGGATATGGTGCCCCATCTCTCTTTCCAGTCTGACAGCTGTGCTTTGTGAGAGGACCCAGAGCAGAGACAAGCTGTGAGGATGCTGCGCTGATGCCATCTTTCCTCTCCCCTCTTCCCCATCACTGAGCACCTGTTCTGTTCAGGGAGCTGCTCTCAATCAAAGACGGATATGTGCCTGGTACAGGGTGGAGTGCTCCCAGCCCTAAGGCCTCCCCAGACTTTTACCTATGAGGCAGCAGTTGACAGGAGGCTGATTCATCTGAGAAGGAAGAGAAAATGAAGAAAAAGAAAGGGAGAGAGAGAGAGCACTGAGGGGCAAGTAGGAGGAGAACCTGTGGGTCCATGATAAGGAGGGGAAAGAAGAACAGGAAGGTCTGTCAGGAAAATGCAAAGAACAGTGCTCTTTAGGTCACGTCTCCCAAAGGCAGCCAAGGGGGAAGTTGATGTCCCACAGTGCCACCCTCCCTTTGGCTGGTCCATTCTCAAATGTCTTAAGCAATGTGCTCCCAGCTGGGATCCTCAGGAGACAATTTCACTATCTAATGGAGCTCCCAGCTGAGACACTTTTAAAAAAAGCTATTCAGCTTATATTTCTTCATCCAGATTTGAGCCTTTCATTTCTTATTACTGTCTGGCGTCATTCTAAGTGCTGAAACACTGTGTGTTCATATGTGCACCTCCTTCCCTACTCTCTGTAGCCACTGCAGTATGGGTTTGAGCATGCACATGCATTAGCAGACAAACACAGGGTTAGGCTCTCCCTCTTTTGCCACTTCTGTGTCCCTTCCTGAGCCCCTCAGGGTCTGCCTGTCAGATGCCTTCTGTTGGTGATCCTAGCCCCTTTTACTTGGCACGTAGCTATGCTGATGGATTTTTGTACTTTTAACACTGGTCTGTGAGACAGAGCTAGCAGGAATAGTTCTGATGAATATGCATTTGCAATAAGGCTGCTGCATTTTAGAATTGGAGCCACTGCAGAAAGTCACCCAGTTATACCAGTACTTGGTATTAGCATAACACTTTGAAGCCACTGGACCACGTGGCTTCTGGAGAAGGAGGGGCAGGCGGATTGGCAGACACACTCGATTTCCTTTTTCTCATTGGCTGGTGAAGCATAGGCTTCCTGAGGCAGGAGGATGGATGGGTGAGAGCTGATTCCCATCATGACACTTGTGACTCCACTGAGAAGGTCAGAAACTTGACCTTGAGCCTGACCCATCTCCAGTGAGCATCGGTGCTGTCCTAAAGCTCTGATATATCAGCAGAGTGGTCCCTTGTCATCTGGAAGTGGACCAGGGACAAATGTATCAGCTGAACCACCTGCAGTTTGCAGAGCATTGGCCCGCCTTCCTCCTCTCCACGTAAAGTTTACCTTTAGTCCTCTGGGTGCTGAACTGAAAGGCTTCCCAAGAAAGGCCTATTTTTATGAAAGGAGAGAGATAAGAAACTCAGAACACGCTGACTCTTAAGGAACCCAAGGAAGGAGAAGAGATGTAGGCAGAGGCAGAGCATATACCCTTATATTTTCCTGGCTGAATTCAAACCTGACAGGTGGGATTCTTGTTTGGTCCGCATAGGCTGCTCAACCTTCATTCTTTCTAGGAAGCAGGACATGTTTCTCAGTTATGCATGGACTCCCACAGGGTTAATTGCTACACAGTTAATTGCCCTATTGTTCATATAGTCTCTGAGGACAGGAAACAAATATCTGTGAAAGGCACAGACCTGTACAAACCACAGTCACACCATTCCAAGCCAGACGGCCCTCCAGTAGCCACGGATTGCTGAAATTTCATGAGGGTTCCAAGCATCATGGTCAGCTACCCACTGCTGATGACCAGCTCTTAATCATTGTTCTTAGTGTGCAAGGTAAGAGCTGTGTTCCTTACTGGTGATATACAAGAGCAGCAGTTTTCTGGTCTATTGAGTGAGCCCTATAGGGTCTTTCAAGAGTACTTATAATCTTAGTGCCTCTGTAACAAACTACCACAGATGTAGTGGCTATAAGTTACACATATTTATTGACTTACAACTCTATAGATGAGAATTCAACATGGTTCCCACTGGGCTAAAATCAAAATGCCACCAGGACTGCAATTCTTTCTGGAGGCTCTAGGGGGAATCCATTCCCTTGCCTTTTGCAGATTCTAGAGTCCACCCAGATTTCTTGGCACATGACTCTTCCCCATATTTAAAGCCAGCAACAGTGCATTTTTCTGACCATTTTTCTGTAGCACATCCCCCTCTCTCTCCAATTCTGCCTCCTCTTTCTGCTTTCAAGGACTCTTGTGATTACATTGAGCCCACCTAGATAATCCAGGATAATGTCTCCATTTCAAGATCCTTAATTTAATCACATCTGCAAAGTCGCTTTTGCCATGTGAGGTGATATCTTCACAGGTTTCTAGGATTATGCCAGGGACATCATTGGAGGGAGCAGCCATGGGAGATGGCAGTGGGGATTGGAGCAGGCTTGGCTGGCAGGACTTCAGCCTCCCTGCTCTGAGCTTTAGCCAGGATATCTTCACCCTTATCAAGTCTATCTATTGAGGTTTCATATAAAATTTTGTTTGAATCTTTGAAAATGATTTCTAATGCAATGAAAAAGAGGAAAACCCATGCTCTAATGCTCCTTCTTTAACTTCACACTCATTCTGAAAGTGGCCAAAAAATGCCTTAGCTTTGTAAGACGTAAGAATGTACACAGGTGAGCAGCCTGTGCCATGGAAGGGGAGAAATCGGGTGCCCACTTTCTCATGTATTGAACACACGACCTTCCTTGCCAGAGCATTATGCTCTAATGAGCTTTGAATTACCCAGTGACCCTGCCGCCCTTCCCTCCACATGCTATCTACAATGGTTTCCCATGAAATGTGTCATTTCACCTCTACTGGAGCACAGATGTGCGGAGACCATCACAGATTACCATCTCTCTCTCTGTAGGACAGTAAGCAGAAGAGTGTGCCTCAGAGGCTTCCAGAGAAATGGAGGCAGGAAGCTATCACTGCTGAAATATAAATTTGACTCCATCAAACTTTTCCCCTTGGGAGAAGTCCTGCATGGCTTGAGCCTGCATGTCAGAGCCCATCAAAAAGTTTGGGAATCATTATTTGTAAAAGAAGTGAGGTTGCCATTTAGTAAAAGAGAACCCATTTCTAATAGGAATTATAGTTGCATGTCTTATGAATCATCTAAGGTAAGGTGAGGCAGGATCAGCTGCAAGAATCTATCCCTTTTCTCCCAGAGGCCCTGAATATGTTCATGTATTTATCTCTCATACTCATCTCCCAACAGAGCACCCACTTCATAATCTGGAACGGAAGTATGCATCTTAGTGAGTCTTCCTGAGATTTGACCAGCCTCCTAAGTAATTAATCAACTAAAAATCACTGGTAGGAAAAGAGGGGAAAGATGACAAAGAAAAGGAGTTGAATGGGAAAAATCATTTTAATCTCATTAGCCAATTATGCCTTATACCACTAATAAGTCAAGAAGCCATGAGCATCTCACGAAAGGTGATTAACCTTGTGTATTTTAGGGGTCACTGAAATATGAGCTCATTTGCTCAACCTTTTTGTTAGGGGAGGGCTGTTGCCATAATAAATGGAGTTTTCTTCTTAAGCCTGTAGTTTATAAAGTCCCTAGGAATGCTAAATATAACCTATGCAAAGAAGGGTTAATATATGACCTTGGGGGTCTCTCCTGATCAAACAGTTCTCTTTCAAGGAATAAGTGGAGGCATTGTCCAGAGCCAGGAGAAAAGAATATCCAGCCCTTGCAAACAGAAAATGCATGCTTCTCCTGGAGGCAGGATTTCTTTCTGAGAACAGGACTCTGGCAACAAACACTTCTAGGATGAAGGGCATGGTTTGGAGACTCTGGTTTCTTTGTACTTAGCTATAGATTTTGAGGGAACCCAGAATGTGGATGCAACAGCAGAAAGAAGATTCAGGCAAAAAACAAAACAAATTTATACCTTAGGAAACTCCTTAAAGAATGTGTGTTCGGGTTCCCAAAGGTTAAGAAGAAAATTATTTTGGGTTTTAGCCTTTTTTTTTTCTGGAAATCTTTCTAAAATGTTTTACTCTGAACTGCAGCCTAAGCAAGTTCCAGTGCAGTAGGGATAATTGCATCTTTTTCAGTGATTGAGGATCTTGACTCGCCATCAAGGTCGTCACTCTGGACACTTTATAATGTTTTGTCCTAAAATATTTACACTCAGTATTTTGGTACTTCATGTGTGTGTATGCATGCATGTGCGTGTGTGTGTGTGTGTGTTTGTGTGTTTGAAAAGAGAGAGAGAAAAAAAAGAAAGAAAGAAAATACTAGGCTGAATCTACAAATCCATAATTGACCCCAGAACACACTCTGGGAATTCCTTAAAGCAATCACCAAATCTACAGGATTGCTTTGCTTTGTTGACACATTGACTTTGTTTCTTTAGGGATTCTCATGAATCCAGATTTTATCATACTAGAGAAGCAGCATGGCGGAGTAGATGGAAAACACACATGCTTTCAGGACAGACAATCTAGGCCCGAAGTCTGATCATGCCATTTTCCACCACTGGGACCCTAGACAAGTTACCTCATCTTTCTGAGTCTAATTTTCCTCATCTTTAAATTGTAGAAGATGAAATGTACCTGTGTTATTGGGTTGAAGATAACATATGTAGACCATTCTACACAAAGAATTGCTTAATTTCTGATAGCTATTAATACTATTTTTGGCTTTATTGATAAGTAAAAAAATAAAAAACCTGGACAAGACAGCTAACTGTCTTTTCTGCAAGTTGCCTAAGAGAGTATGAATTTCAGCTGGTCCAATTTGGGATAGCAGTGGTCATCTAGACGTTAAAGCCAGGCAAGATGTGGTTTTGGAATTCTGAAACAAAGCCTGCTCATGTTTCATTCAACAAAGTCTTTGTCAAAAATCATGCTTGAAGGAGAACTCTGAAAAAAGCGGGTGGTTGGAAAGATGGAAACTACTGGCTAGTGACTGAGGTAGCTAGGTGGTACAAGGGCTGAAACCATATGAGGTGGGAATAAAAGAAGGACTGACTTTATCTGCTTAATGGCTTCTAGCAAGCTGTCTAGAAGGAGGGAAAAATAAACCAAACTCATGGCAACCAGTGCAGCCCATTCAATTCCAATCAAACTTCCATGTCTTCCAGGTTTCTATCCTGCATCCATGCCTGGGCAGCCGCACAGTGCTGAAGCCAGCTCCCTTCTGGTGGCACATCTGGCCTAACAGCTGGGTGGCCAAGGAATATGATTAGTGGGAGGCTAGCAAAACATGGGGGGCAATCCTCAGCTGCCTCATTTGCTTGTTTACCATCATCTGGAACAGCTGGGTTTGCACAGCACGAGGCAGCCCTTGGAAACTTCTTTAAATGCTGTCACCTTCCAGCACTCCAGCTGCCTTCATGGGGAGAAAGGGAGATGGACCAGGCTGGGAGCCTGGCAGGCCCACAGGGGGCCATTTGTTTGGGAAGTTACAGAATTAGTGTTAGCAAACAGTGCATATCCTGCCTGGTGATGATCTTCAACTAAGAAAGAGGAGGAAGGAGAGGTGAGTTTTCAGAGGCACACCTGCAGCAGCTGTGGGCTACTAAGACAAGGTGCTTGGCAGCAAAGAGAAAGTGCAAACCAGGCAGTAGGGAGGGAGGGGAGATGTTTAACACTGTGTTTCATTGAGTTTAGAAAGTTTTGCTTTAGTTTGGTGTTGGTTTTGGAGGAGTGTGTTAACTTGTTGGCGATATGTATACAGCATAGTCATTAAAAGCCCCAGCATTGGAGTCAGATCTGGACAGACCCCCAGTTCTGCCCGACTCCTGCTGCTTGACCTTGTGCAAGTTATTTACCTGCTTCCAGCCTATTAGAAAGGATTAGCTCTAATGCAAATGTACAGAATCTGTTGCACAAGCAGAAGGTGCAGGATGGGGAAAAAAAGTCATTGACTTTGAAACAGAGCCCAGTGCAGTGAGAAGAGTTTGTGAATTAACTGGCAATGTTAATGGTGTCCTTACCTCTAAATAGGGATAATATAGGGTATTGTGAGATAAAATACCTAAAGTACTTAAGCATAGTGCCAAGCTCCTCATAAGTGTTCAGTAAACGGTGACTACTGTGTAAACGGTTAAGTGTGGTGTGTGCTAATGATGAAGCAGCTAAGTTACGGACTCCACAGCCAACCTACAAAGGGTTCAAGCATGGTTCTGCCAGGAGCAGCTGTGTGACTTTAAGAAAGTGAAACTCTCTGTGCCTCAGTTGCCTCATATGCAAAATGGGGATGATCATACTGCTTACCTCCTGGGGGTGTTGTGAGGATCACATGAGTTAGTGAGCACCTTAGACCACGGCCTGGCATATAATAGGTGATGGGTAAGTGCTGTAATTGCTCACCAAGTCCTTTTGTCTTCTCCTGGGAAAAGACATCCCTTCTTAGATATTCTCTTTGCTATAATTCTTGGGGAGTATATTACTGAGGACAAGGTAGTGCTGAAAAGCTAAATATTTTGCATTAAAAGCATCCAGCCAAATCCAAGTGCAGCACCTGTGGGTGACCATATAGTAGGTACCCTTGTGTCTTAGGTGTCTTCCAAAGAGCATCCCTGACACAGGGAGGTGATGACACAGCTACTCCCACTATGAGAGCAACCCCCCTCTAAGCTTACAGGGAATGTTCACTTCCTCCTTCAGGCTGGAAGCCCTGGCTCAGTCCATTCCCCCCAACACTGCTATTTGGTACCATTGTTGACAAAGGGCTTTAGACACTTAAAAAACTCATAGTACCACCAAGGCCAAAGAGCAGCACTTCCTTCCTGTAGCCCAGTGGAATCTTTGCAAATGCATTTTCATTCTGGCCCATCACTTCCACTCTCCTGCCAGCCAGAGGCCCATTTGGGAGGCCAGTACACCTCGGCTGTGTCTTGCTACAGTGCTCTCTTCCAGCCTTTTTGGAGGAAGTGTCTTTAATGCAAATGTGTGTGATCAGTGTCTAGAGAGAAGAAGAAAGACGTCAAAAAAGGTCACTTGTTTTTAAAAGAAGTCTGCTGTGGTAGGAAATTCATGGATTACTTGCGAATGTTAATAGTTTCAAGGCTGAGTGCTACAAATTGGTGTCAGTGGTTACACTCAGTTCCCAGAGAACTCAGTTCCCCGATTCACCCACGTATGTGGATGTTTTCTGATTGTGCCAGTGCCCATCTGGACTCAGTCCCATGAAGGACAGCTCTGGCTGCTATGACCGCCACATCGGGGTGGACTGTTCCGACGGCTTCAACGGCGGCTGTGAGCAGCTGTGCCTCCAGCAGATGGCGCCCTTCCCGGACGACCCCACCTTGTATAACATCCTCATGTTCTGTGGGTGAGTTGAGCTGCCAGCGAGGCCACCTGGCGTCCATCTGTCCCAGGACGCAGGACTTTCAATGCTAAATCCAGGAAATGTGAGTGAATAGGTCACCCTAGGCCATCCCTTAGTCTCTGAGGAAAGAGCCTCTAGGACTTGGGGGGGAACATTTTTAAAGTCGAGGGGGAACATTTTAAAGTTGTGTGGGACCTAAGTCTAGTCCAGCCCCTATAGATGGGGAAACTGAGTCTGGGGAATTTACCTGCAAGGGGAAGTTAACTACATGGTTTACTTAAATCATTCTCCAATTAAACCAGCATTTTCCAAGTTGTGTTTTGAAAGGCTATGTTAATTAAGTGTTTTGTGACAAAAGGTTTTTATTGTTTAAAACTCGGGAAAGAGTGTGCAAAACTAGTCAATTCTCAAAAAAGGGGGGTGGTCTTTGGACAAATGGAAACTTTTCTAAATTCTGCCCCCAAAGTCCCAGCACTGTGTGCAGCCACTCCTCCTGAGGCACAGTGATTCCTCCGTGTGAAGAGCCCTTTCTTGCAGGCAGGCTCTCCCACCCACCTCAGTTCATCTCTTCTCAGGATCACTCTGTGAGGGAGCAGGGCAAGCAATGCAAACCCATTTTACAGATGGAAAAACTAATGCACAGTGAGGTTAAGTGACTCCCTCAAAGCTGGGAAGATGGTGAGTGAGAAGATTACGACTGGATTCAGGCCCTCCCTGATTTTTCAAAAGTTCTGTGGTTCTCTGGAAATTTAAATTTATACTGCTGACTGGAATTATATTTAAAGACATTTTATGCTATATTTATAAAGTAAACAAAGATTCAGCTATTCTTCTACAGCCATAGTTAGCTTGTCTATCCTTCCCCCACTCTCCATTCTCCCCCCTCTCCCTCCCCTCCCCTCTCTCTTCCGACCTGCTAAGGACAGAACTTACTTTATGCCACAAACTGTGCCGACCACTGAGCTGCAAAGATAAATAACATATAGTTCTTGCCCTCAAGGATCTCACAGTCTGATAGGCTTGCAATGATAATCAATGTTTATAGTCATAAAACTAGGCTGGATTGTTGCCCAAAGCCAGTGCCTGCTGAATAATCATGTAATGTTATTTTATTGTGTTTCATTTTATTTCTTTGTAATTGAACCATTTTCACATTCAGTTTCTTGTAAACTCTCATACCATAAATGGAAGCTTGCTCTATATCTTAATATTCTCTGTAATGTTATCATTAGGGTTGACCCATTTCAATTAATAGAGGTCAATTCAGCCAAAGTTATATAAATGTATTTATTTAATAAACATATATTTGAGCACCTACTTTGCACAGAGAACCCTGGGTGTCAGGTGTTGGAAAAAGAACAGGATACCCGACCTGATCTTTCCCCTCAAAGGAGTTTACAGTGGGACACATGGTCAGGAGAATGAGGAAGATGAGGCAGTGTGAAAGGGGAAGCTGTCCAGATGTTCAAGGTGGACTGAGAGGGAACCAGCCAGCTTCAGAATTCTTCCTAGAAACACTGTGCTATTGCTCAAGGAAGGAACCACTTCACTATCTTGTCCCAGACCTAAGCTGGTGTCATGGAATCCTCTGGGAATCTTGAGTCACATCTATTTCCTGGACTAATGTAGTAGGACCTGGACTGGATTTCTTTCCTGTTTCAATAAGAATCAGACACACGTGTGTTTAGCACTATCTAAGGTACTATATATAGCGTGCCGAAGAAGTCCTTGATTTGAGATTCTTATATAAAGACCAAATCACATACATTTATAATTAAAGAGCTCTAATCACACCTGTTCACACAAATATATAAATGGTAAATGGAAAAAGCAGTTAAAGGTGCATGAACATGGGCCTCATTTGCACCTCTACTTCTACAAATAGTAATATTTAATGAACACTAGCTATGTGTTAGGCACTGCATAAGCTCATTACATGCAGTCTCTCAATCTTCTCAACAACCCAGTGAAGCAGCTACTTTTTTCCCATTTCTACAGTTTTGGAAACTGAAGCTCAGAGAGGTTAATCAGCTGGCCCAAGGTTTCCATGTAAAGGACAAAGTCACTGCTATTACAATATTGCTTCTCGCTATATTATTCCTTGTTCCTCTACATAAGACAGAGTTCTTTATCTTATTATAACAGTGACTGTGGATAGGAATAAATGATGTGCTTTAATATCATGAGCATCTTTAAATTCTAAATTTGGTTTATGCCCAATGAGAGACCCAGATTAAATCAATATTCTTTTTTAATGACAGCCTTATGAGAAAAGTTCTTACTTTAGCTAAAAAATGTAAATTCTTCTCACTATAACTACAAATAAGGTCCAATTAATGACTTATGAGTTGCTGACCCATATTTACTAACATTGATGTTGCTTTTCCATCCTAATGAGGAGGATGCCAAGGAAGCAGTTGTTGGTTAATGGTGCACATGGCATTCACACTGTGTGCCCTAGGGTCTATTTAGTTCAGGAAGGCTACTCCTAATGGAGGAGGAGTTTTTATGGGTTGATATTGTGTTTGGATACATTCAAACAGTACAGTGCCAGGAGATGATAAATCTTTCTAATTTCTTAGTTGACTTATCACAGGACCAGATTAGAAAGTTATTAATTTCTTAAGCATGGTGTCATTCCTTTTGCTGCCTTATTACCCTTCAAACAAATGCAGGGTCTGACCATGTAGATGGTTCTTAAGAAAAGCTCTAGAATATCTTGGATTTAAATGTGCTAACTCATTTGCAAGCTTATCTTCAGTGATTCTTACCCTGACCTATTTGGGTAACTGTACAGTTATTAGAGGAGAGGCTACTCTAAAGTTCTGACAGCACTTCTCTGCACAGCAAAGGTGAGAGATTTAGTCTGATCACATGATGAAAGGAGCCTCAGTTTACAGGCTTAAAAAAACAATGAGTCAAAATCAAATTGGAATATAACTTGGAAATCTAATCTTTGGTGATCCAACATGCTGTCAAAGGCATTTCCTCCCAATATACGGGGTTGACTTGCCTGCATGGGTCATTGATGGAATAACTTCTTATATTGAGCTCTCCTCTGTGCTAGGTGCATCGAGGACTACAAGCTTGGTGTGGATGGACGCTCTTGCCAACTCATCACGGAGACCTGTCCAGAGGGAAGTGACTGTGGGGAAAGCAGGGAGCTTCCCATGAACCAGACCCTCTTTGGGGAGATGTTCTTTGGTTACAACAACCATTCCAAGGAAGTGGCTGCCGGACAGGTGCTGAAAGGAACATTCAGGTAAACCTCATATACATAGAACTGATTGTTCAAGACTGTTGGTGGACTTTCTCTAAAGAGTTTGCACTAGCATAAAGCTTTATATGTTGGAGCAGGGTAAATATGATATGTCTAAAGGGATAGACTACATTCTTACCCTTGGTCTTCTCCAAGTCTACATTCCTTCTTCCAGAATCCAAGAACCATGCTTAGTTTGGATTAACAGTAAAGTGTTAAATGAGATTTTACTTTGCCCAGGCAGGGACTGGAAGATTTTGCATGGAAGCCCACACGAAAATGCTCAAGCTCCATTTCCCTATGAATGGAAGCATCAGTGTGTGAGTCAGTCTAGAACAGCAGTCTTCACAGTGTCATCCAAGGATACCTAAGGGTCCCAGGAACCCTCTTAGGGCATATCCAAGGTCCTGCCTTTTCCAACTACAGAAAAGCTGAATTTTCTTCCCAAACAAGATATTACCATAAATTGAATTCAGATATGAGAATCCAGCTATCTTCAATTGTTAGATATTTTTTAAATTTGCAAAAAATATAAAATATTACTTCTCTCATGTTTTATAAAATATGTTAATATTGAATGAATTCATTGTTTTTACGTGAATTAATAAATTTTTAAAATTTCTATTTTAACTTCTAATATTGTACATATTGATAGACATAATTGGGCCTTTTTATATAAATATAATAAAGCTACTTGGGGCCTTCAATTATTTTTAAGAGTGTAAAGGAGTCCTGAGAATAAAATGTTTCAAACCATTGATTTAGAATATTTCTAGGTGGTTCTCCATTCAATGCCTGTCCCTGTTCTGCCTTGGACTATTTAAATACATCTTCTTAGAACCCATGGGAAAATATTTTCTGGGAGATGATGATGAGGAAGAGGAGGAAGAGGAGGAGGATGTCAGTATTATGATATGGACCAGCAGTTGACAGCAACCTGGGCCTAGACCCTCATGAGCAAACTGATAGTCAATTTTCAAGACAGTTTTTGGAATCAGCTGCTTTTTCTGTTGTAGACAGGAGACATTACTAACATTTCCCCTTTTAGCCTGGGAATTGGTTTGCCAAAGGCAAGAAGTGAGGTGTCATCACTAATCTAGTGGTGGCTGAAGTCTTCACTGTAGTCTAGAAATGAGACTGCCTCTGCCTAGATCTTGTCGAGAGGAGGTCAGGAAGTAGGGACTGAGTTGGGAAAGAGGAAAGCATAGTCTTTACCCTTTTGGTAGATCTTTTCAGCTGGTTTATTTCCCATTTCCGCAGCCCTCACCCCACCAATCATACCCATTACGTCTTACTCCGACATGTATTTACAGTGGGGTTCAGGTGAGGGGAACTTCTTGGTTCAGAAAGAATTTTACATTGGGAGGCCATTTACTGTGGCTCACGCCTATAATCTCAGCACTTTGGGAGGCCAAGGTGGTGGGTGGTTCGCTTGAGCTCAGGAGTTTGAGACCAGTCTTGGCAACATGGTGAAACCCCATCTCTACAAAAAATACAAAAAATTAGCCAGGTGTGGTGGCACATGCCTGTAGTTTCAGTTACCTGGGAGGCTGAGGTGGGAGGATCACCTGAGCCCAGGAGGTCAAGGCTGTAGTGAGCTATGATTGTGCCACTGCACTCCAACCTGGGTGACAGAGTGAGACAATGTCCCAACAAAAATAATAATTTTACATTGTGGGTTGAAATTAGCCGGGCGTGGTGGCACATGCCTGTAATCCCAGCACTCAGGAGGCTGAGGCAGGAGAATTGCTTGAACCCTGGAGGCAGAGGTTGCGGTGAGCTGAGATCCTGCCATTGCACTCCAGCCTGGGCAACAAGAGTGAAACTCCGTCTCAAAAAAAAAAAAAAATGCTCAGTAAGGAGTCAGGTTCACCTGAACACTCAGAAATGAAGGTCTACCCTCTTTCTAGGCAAAACAACTTTGCTCGTGGTTTAGACCAGCAACTGCCAGATGGTCTTGTGGTGGCCACTGTGCCCCTGGAGAATCAATGCCTAGAGGAGATCTCGGAGCCCACCCCTGACCCTGACTTCCTGACTGGTGAGTGTGCCTTCTCAACCTTATTCAACTGGCACAAACAGGCAGCTCCCTGCAGTTTCATAAAATTAAGATTTGACCTCACTTATTTTGGTTTCTAAGCCAGTGATTTCCTTCATACACAATAAAAGCTCAGCCATAAAACTGAATGCTAGTAGGATTATTTTTCAATAAAATTGTTGATATTATCATATAATCTCCTTCAAAGTGGTCCTAATAGTGTATTTTCTTGTTAGTTTCACAGAGATGCATTGAAAACAAATAAGATAATGGTTGCTTAGAGTTCTTGGGGGATTAGAGGAAGTGACCAGGTCACAGAGGCAGAGAGAGAAGCTAGATTGCTACTCTCACCTAAATATCCATCATTGCTACTGTTGGGTTTCCTGGCAAGTATTTACCAAGCATCACGAGGAAATAGAAAATGACAGTTTTGTTGTCACATGACCCTGGGTTTGCATCTCTGCTACTTTCTAGCTGTGTGCCATTAGACAATAGAGTCTCATGTGGCCTCATGGTCCCCCATCATAAGATGGGGATAATAATGCCTGCCCCTCAGTATTGTTTTGAGCCCAGCAGTATTCTTCCTTCAGACTCATTGTGGAACAAACACACAGATTAATTAGAAGAGGCAGGAATCTCTGGGTATGCTTGCCTGTGTCTCTGAAGACCCCCAGCTGGCACCTCCCGGACCAAGGAAGAGACTTCAAGGTGTCCCATGGACTAATGAGAGGCGGCTGACTGAGATTTGGCAACACTTGCTAGAAGACTAGACATGAGTTCAATTCCACTGATTGCTTTGTACGTTTCTCTGTTACACTTCTCCCTATTCATTCTGTCTTCCTTATTCAATACCTTTGTAGACCCAGAAAGTCTGAGACAGGTCTCAGTTAATTTAGAAAGTTCATTTTGCCAAGGTTGAGGACGTGCACCTGTGACACAGCCTCAGGAAGTCCTGACAACAATGTGCCCAAGGTGGTAAGGGCACAGCTTGGTTTTACGCATTTTAAGGAGACATGAGACATCAATCTATATATATATATATATATATATATATATACATATATATATATATACACACACACAAAGTACATTGGTTTGGTCTGGGAAAGGTGGGACAACTGGAAGCAAAGGCAGGAAGACTCTAAGAGGTGAGGGGGCTTCCAGGTCACAGATAGGTGAGAAACAAATGGTTGCATTCTTTTGAGTTTCTGATTAGCCTTTCCAAAGGAGGCAATCAGATATGCAATTATCTCAGTGAGCAGTGGGGTGACTTTGAATAGAATGGGAGGCAGGTTTGCCCTAAGCAGTTCCCAGCTTGACTTTTCCCTTTCGCTTAGTGATTTGGGGGGCCCAAGATATTTTCCTTTCACACCTTCCTCTCCTTTTTCCCTCCTTTTCTGAAGAATGAGTTCAGCTAAGGGTAGGTCTCTTCCAGACATCAAGTTATGTTAAAAATGTGAGTTTAGACCTGAATGGGAAGAGATGTAGGTCTGTCTGATATAATATAGCATAGTGATTAACAGCCTCAGCTCTGGAGCCTGGCAGCAGGGCTTAGCTCCTCACTGGCTGTGTGATCTAGACACATTACTTAACTTCTCTGTGCCTCAATTTCTTGTACCTGTAAAAATGGGCATTCTAATACTATCTTCCTCATAGGATTGATATGAGGAATAAATAAATTCATATTTGTAAAGTTTTTAGAACAGTTCCTGACCCATAGTGGGATCTATGTGTGTTGAATAAATAAATATTTAAAAGAAAAAGGAAAATAGTATGAAAACTATGAAGTAATATCTACCTTATAGAAAAGAAAGAGCAAGAGAAAAAACAATTAAATATATTCTGGACCAGCAATAAATCTCTTCAAAATCAGTTGCCCTATGAAATATTACATGCACACGCGCACATGCACACATACACACACCTGAAGAAATTAACTTGCAGCTTCCGGACATATCCCTAAAGCCTGCATCTCTGGCATTAGGGAATCTAGTTTCCTTGTTGCCACACCATTTGGGCAGACACATTCCACATGTGTGTGTAAAATGCCTTGAAGACGTGCGAGGTGGCACATACAAATAGCGTAGGTACCACACCAGTAATAAGATACGTGGCTCTGTTTAAAGATCTGCAGGACACCTCTCTCACAATATAACTTATGGTGGAGAGAAGAGATTTTACTTCAGTTATGAGATAGCCAGAAAAGTCCTGGATGTTACCTGAAGCTTTTGGGGAGGAGAGGGTGGATAAAGCTGAGAAACATCAGAAAAACATGTGGTTGACTCCCCTTCTGTGGGAACAAGGAAAGATCCAAACCTGGTGCTCATTCACGATAGAAAGTACTTCCTGCACATGCCATTGGACCTCCTAATTTGGCCCATTGGAGGCAAAAGGAATAGAAGGATGCCCAGATGGGACACTTTTATTTTGATGATCCCGAGGCAGTCAAATTTAAGCTTCAGATGACTTTAGCCCTAAAATCCTCTAAGCTAAAACTATGGGAATCTTGACCTGGCTACTTTTCTACCTTGCGTTTGTTTTTAACCTATTTTTGTTAAGAAGTGGTACCAGTTAAGCCAAGGTCACATATTTCCTTTGATGTAAGCAGGGATTGGGTTTGTTTTAAAGCTGAGAATAACTGGAGGAATCTATTAAAGAGATACTTGGCCAAATCTTCCCCATGTTATCTCTAGTTCTGGGAACATTTTAATTATATCTTTCCTAGACTTACATAGGGAATCTTATATCATTTCACTGTATCTACTATTATAGGTCATAATTCCCATAAATTTAGCTCAGAGGATTTTAGAGCTAAAGTGATCTTAAGAATCTTCTATATCATCATTTCCAAGCATTTGTTTTTATTTGTTGTTTTTCTTATGAAAAGTCAGAGCTCCATTCATAAACAGGTTCTGCCTTCAAAGATGTTTGGAAAGAGTCTCCTCCTCTCAGCAATAGACAACACCTCGACATTAGAGAAGTTTCCTAGAAGCCCTGCAGTAAAGAAATCCTTTTCACTTTAAGCCAGCAATTCCCGAGTCTATTTAACTAGAGAATCATTTTCACACATAACACCTATTTCTATCTTGCAGAATTATCAGTTTGAAGAACACACTGGAAAATACTGAACTACATGTCTTATCTTGCTGCTGGCTTCCCTCTTCATCAAAATAACAGGACTTTTTGGTGTTATATGTTGTATGGAAATAAACAAAGACCAAGCAAATAAGAACAGGCAAAGGCTATTTATTTGGAGGTTTGCTATAGCCGTCATCACTTGTATTTTGGCAGAGACTCAAAGGCAGGCAGAGGAGTGGAAAAGCTTTAGAGAGAAAAAAGGAAAGGCTTCAAGTATGCCCATATTGGAGGCTGTCGGTTGAGAAAGTTGTAGGTGGCTTAACTAGAAGTGAGCATCCTATGTGATTAGTTAGGGGTGCATATTGTACTTTCTCTGGTTGGACTTAAGTGGAACTGGGAAAAAAATAGGGAAGTTGTCAGCTATTAATCAAGTCCGGGTTGTTTGGTGTCAATTGTTATAGTGGTTATTTTTTGGCTTCTTGGGCTGTTTGTTATGGATAGTGGTCTGACTTCCTATAAGTCTGACTTACAGATAGTAGACTGGCTTCCTAGGCTGGTTACTCTAGATAATGGGTTGGTTTTCTGAGCTGGTTGCTGCGGATTGTGAGTCAGAGTTCTATTTTTATGTATAATCTGGCCATTGTCCATTTGTATATTCAGTCTTTCAGCTGAGAAAGAGAAGGAAGTCCAGAGGAGGTAGAGGAGGCTGCTGGCTGCATTCATAGGCCTGTTGGGTGACACAGTCATTAAATCTGTGTGAAGGTTTAGACCTCTGGGCTCTTCAGAATTTTTTAAAGTTCATCCAAAGGGGATGGACTCTTGGCTTCAGAACTTTGGGGCAATATACATATATCCCTGACATTTCAGATAAAATAACAAGAAAAAGCTAGTGTCCTCCCTCCATCCTTCCCTCCTTCCTTCCTTCCCTTCCTCCGTCCCTCCCTCCCTCCCTCCCTTCCTTCCTTCTTTCCTTCCTTCCTTTCTTCTGTCCTTCCTTCCTTCCTTCCTTCTTCCTCATTCTTTCTTTTTCTTGCTTTGAATATTGCCCGTAAAGTCTGTTCAGTCATTCTTTTTTCAAGCATAGGTAGGAAAAATTAATGTTTTTTCTTGAAAAAACATAGTCAGAGATACTGCTTGAAAAAAGTCATTCAGCAGAAATGTGTCCCAAAATAATAAAAATTTTTTAAAAAATTGAACCTGACTGCCTGTCAAGGGCACCTTGAGAAAGTATGTCATATGGCTCACCTAGAAAATATATATCTTTTAAAATACCCCTTTCTTTTTAACTAATGGAATTATTATCTGTACGCAGGCATGGAAAAACACTTCCAAGCATTAACAGTTATGTAAGTGTTCCCTGACTATGGTGTGGCATAAATGCATCCAGGAGAAATGTTGATCAGCTAAGTAATGGAGTTCGGTTGTTTGGCCCATTCTGGATGGATATGGAACACTGTTATCCCTCCCCTCTTCCCCACCCAACATCTGTGCTTGTTTCTTTATTTTATCTTCCCTCTGTTGTTCTGGACTTAAAAGCCGAGGAAGTTATAACAAAAGCACCAATTAAGAAATGCCAAGTTTACGCAGTTAGGTATGATGAGAGAGAGGTAGGGAGGGTGAAGATGATAACATTGTGGAGGCCATGTATGTGTATGATACTATGATACTTTCTCTTTTCTCAAAGAACTTTCTTTTTTTTTTTTTGAGATGGTGTCCTGCTCTGTCACCCATGCTGGAGTGCAATGGCGTGAGCTCAGCCCACTGCAACCTCCGCCCCCTGGGTTCAAGCAATTTTTCTGCCTCAGCCTCCCTAGTAGCTGGGACTACAGGCACCCAGCTGTTTTTTGTTTTTTGTTTTTTTTTAAGTAAAGATGGGGTTTCACCATGTTGGCCAGGCTGGTCCCAAACTCCTGACCTCAAGTGATCTGCCTGCCTCGGCCTCCCAAAGTACTGGGATTATAGGCATGAGCCACCACGCCCAGCTTTCTCAAAGAACTTTTATGCCCATAATTTTATTTTGTTCTCACAACCTGCCTATAAGGCAGATAGGATGAATACTATTATTTACACTTTTCATATATGAAAACACAAGTAAATGAGTGGCCTCCCTAAAGTCATATGACTGGTAGGAATCCAAACTGAAAAGAAAGCAAGAGATCATCTCACCTAAAACTCTCACCTTACAGATGAAACAACTGGGAACTGAAAGATCCCTGAGCCAGGTAGCCAGAGAGGATAGTTAGGTTGCGAGAACAAGAAGTTATGGGTATGAAAGTGACTGTCATTTTGAAACTGCCTACTGCAGCAACACAGCCAGCCTTAGAGCTCAGGCTTTGTGATTCCTTTCCTGTTTCTTTTTCCCCTAGGAAATCATTCAATTAAAGGTGGCTTTGCCTAATAATTTGAAAAATTTTTATTTAGTGGGCTTGTTATTTTTTTATAAATAAACTTTTCAAACTAAAAGCAAAGCTGTTGAGCTGACCTAACTAGACAATACTTGTTATTAAATAGTTCTACATAGATGCACATCTTATGCTCTAATAAAATATACCTTTAAAGCATGTGACTGAAGTCTTAAACTTGTAAAGTTAGAATTCCATTTGTATGCTTTTGAAGTTAACGTAGAAGTTAAAAGCCAAAGTATGTAATAGTATGACTGTTGGTAGTCACAAAGATTAATGCCCTGAAAGAATATTTGAAAGAAAAGAATACTAAAAACCTTCTCTTAGTTTCAGGTAGCTTACCTTTGATTGCCTAAGATAAAATTTAAGCAATTGATTCACTAAGCACCTTTCCTGACCTTTTTTCTTTTTGCCTTACCAAAAATTATTCCCATATGATTCACACAGAAATGAAAATTTGGCAATTACTCACCTAATTTGATCAGGGTTGACAAGCAGCTAATTAATCCTACCTACTCTTCATCCAGTTTAAGCATTAAATTAGTTGATTTAGCCTGAAAGAAACATGGGTCGAAATGGCAGGATAATTCACTACATATGTATTATTGCCATTATATTTGTAGACATGTGCACACACCACACATTCTATGCATAATATATATAAATTTACTATATATTGCCCTTATATTTGTATATATATAAATATGTACACACATATGCAATTGTGTGTATATATTCCTATAACTTACACATATAGCAAAGATTAAGCATAGAAATAAAGCTAAAATTGGTTTTCTAAACTTAGCAAGGCAATTTTTTTTCCTATGGCCTAATTATTTTGTTTCGGTAGCATTTATATTTATAGTAATGGCTAGAATTCAAACAGGGTGACACTCTTTCTTCAAGGTACTCAAGGAAGAATAGCCCATTAATAACATCACTAAGAGGCTGTAAGTTTGTGTTTATTGAGAGTGACCTTGGACAACTAACTTAACTTCTCAGAGCCTCAGTTTTTCCATTAGTAAGAAGGAGACAGCACACGACTATCACAATGTCTGGCACAGAGATGGCACTCAATATTTGGCTGTTCCTGCCCCTTAATGATTTAGTCACCCTGATACTGTTCCTTCTGGTAAAGAAGAAATAAGCATTATCTGCCTGAGAGAAATTGAAACTTAAATACTGAACACAAATCAGTTAAATGAGACAGAAAAATCAATGTTATCAGGTATGTGGGCTGAGTCAATTACTGCAACCATTAAAGAGAGTAAAAATCAGGTGTATTACAGTAAGCCTAGAGTTTAATATAAATTTGCTATGGGGATATTATAGCAGAATGAGTAAGAACTGCCGCCTGGCCTCAGACTCATCTGGAGCCCCATCCTGGCTTACCTGGTGTCTTAGGGACCTTATCTTTTTTTGAAGTACTTTTACGCCCCCAATTTTATTTGTTCTCACAACCTGCCTGTAAAGTAGATAGGATGAATACCATTATCCCCACTTTTCAGATATCAAAATGCGAACAAATGAGTTGCATGGCCCAAAACCATACAGCTGGTAGAAATCCGAATTGAAAAGGAAGCAAGGGGTCATCTCAGTTAAGCCTCTCGCTTTACAGACAAAATGACTGGGCACCAAAAACCTATTTGCCAGGTAGCCAGAGAGAGTGTAGTCAGGTTTTGAGAACCAGAAGTTATTGTGTGTGAAAGTGACTATCATTCTGAAACTACTTACTACAGTAACATAGCCAGCCTTAGAGCCTCGATTTTCTCATTTATAAAATTCAAATAATAACAACTGTCCCATGAGGATCAAATGGCTTAATATATGTATGCAAAGTGCTTAGCAAAATGCCTGGCATGGAGTAAGGGTTCAATAAATGATAACTGTTGTTACTATGGTTCCAGAAATTCTCTTCATCAAAGAACATTTAATCATTTTCTCACAATTACAACACTTCGCCTCATAGAGGTGGGTCATGCTTTTTGATTTGGAACTTATGAATCAGTATCAGAACTCAGCTTACATCTCTTCTGTCCTTAGGGATGGTGAACTTCAGTGAAGTGTCTGGGTACCCTGTGCTGCAGCACTGGAAGGTCCGGTCTGTGATGTACCACATCAAACTCAACCAAGTGGCCATCTCTCAGGGTGAGCACTGCTGCAGGCTATCCTGCCCACCTTCCCTGGAACTTAGAAGTCCTTTCCAAGGGGAGAAGCCTTTGGTCCCACTGTCGAAGATGCAGCCTAAAATGTAGCTATTGCATGAGATGTGTGAGCTATTTACTCAGATTTATCCAGAAGAGCAGATGGCTAGAATCGAATTCTTTTCTAAGTAGAGATTACATTGCATGTGTTATCTTGGACTACAGAAGAGAGGGAAAGGGCAAGACTGGAGCCATTGAAGGTATAATTTTTCCTGGGCTCATCCAGTATGTGGAGAGGATACATAAAAGCAGATTTTTTACAAATTGAGAGAATTAAGCATTCCAAATGCAAAGAGCATAATTTAGAGACTCCATACAATGAACTAAAAAAAGAGAGCAAGAAAGAGGGGGGACGGAAAACCAGAAAGCAGCTTAACGCTCCTAAACAGCAAGTGAGTGAAATAAAGAGACTGAGAGATTGAGAGAAAGAGAGAGAGAGAGAGAGAGAAAGAGAGAGAGAGAAATAGATATTAGCCCTCTCTTTATAGCTAGTAAGTTAAGCAGCAGTGAGTTCTAAACTTACTTAGGGTTTCAGAGTCAGCAATAGGGAGGTAGAGCCTTAGGGCCAATGGGAGGAAGATAAATGGTAGAGGACAAATAGAAAAGTTATGAAGTTAAGTGAGACAGAAACTCACAAAGGGTAAAGTTTTGTGCATAAAGATAATGCATTGAGGATATAGCACATTTTCATAGGACACAGGGGACCCAGAACTTTTTCTTTTTTAACACAAAAGAGTTCTTGGCAAGAAGTGATTAGGATGGGGACCTCACTGACAGAAACTCTTCTGGTGCAGCACATCTAGAAAGAACTAAGCTACTTTTCATTCTAGGAAAATACGATATTAGAGACTTTACTCCATTTACATAGTCAATGTGCACCCAGCACAGATGCTGTGCATATCAGGAGTTAACAATCAAATATCGCTGGTGCCACATGCCGTCCAAAGTCACACAATGGTGTCGCTGTGATGTGGATCTCAGCACCTGAGGTCTCAAGCTGAGCTAGACTTTACTTTGCCTTAATAGGAGACAGGTACGTAGAAAAGGAGACCGTGAAAAGCTAGCTAGATCCAAAAGGTATTGGATTTGGAAAATTTACCATAGGCCATCTTTCAGACAGATATACAGTAATTCTCTTAAAGAGAGACAGCAAATCCAAGAAGATTTGCCTGCAGGGTTGGGGGAGAGGAGGCCAACAAGTTTTCTCTTCCATTTGTCATTTCCCAGTCCTTTTATTTTAGAATTTCTGCAATAAAATAGGAGTGTATTAGTGACTTTTCTTTCCTTTCTTCTGTCATTGTCTTCTTATTGCCCATGTCTACGTCTGAAGGCAGTATTTTGCAATTGCCTTTTTTGATCACTACCCACAGTTAGAATACATTTTGTATCGTGACCTTGCGCGTACACATACTCCCACATGCACACAACAGAAGTTTCATGAAGCGATACTTATCTTCACGATGTGAAATGTTCTCGGCTGGTATTTGTGTTTCTGTTTTAGACTATGCTAATTGTTTCTGCTTTTTTCAAATGCTATTATTTGAACTCACTAAATTGATTTAATGTCATGACCTGTGATTTAAAAAAAAAAAAACACATTGATTTAAAGGGGACAGGAGTAGAGGTTTGGCAATGTTTTGCTTAACTTGGCACAAAGTTAATACAACCAACTGGCTTAAAAGATACTCACTTAGGAACTGAAATGTCTCATTTAGCTAAATGGAAACATTCACCAGACACTTCTAGCTAGCTCTCCCACATCACTTTGAGCCACACAGGCACTTCCATGTTTGGGACTGAATTGCCTGGGAATCCGTATACCCAAAATCTGAGCCCTCATTCTTACCCTTGGGTGATGCCTCTCCATAGCCCTCAGCAATGCTCTCCACTCGCTGGATGGGGCTACATCTCGTGCAGATTTTGTGGCGCTGTTGGACCAGTTCGGCAACCATTACATCCAGGAAGCTATCTACGGCTTTGAGGAGTCCTGTTCTATCTGGTACCCAAACAAGCAGGTCCAGCGGCGACTCTGGCTGGAGTATGAAGACATCAGTAAAGGTGAGTGGCATGCTTGTTGGCAAATTCCATACCTCATGCCAGTACTGGCTACCTGCATACAATCTATAAGACCCATTTTAAGGAGTCTGTAGTAACGACTCAATCAGATTTTCCCCTAATGCTCTGTGCCCATCTGTAACATTTCCAAGGTTTGGTTGCAAAAACCAAATCTCAAAATCAAAATGTTTAGGGAATTTTAGATGCAGAATGGGGTCAACACTGTAAGCTTACTATGTTAGTTATCACAGACAGAGTCCTCTAAAGGTTCTTGCCAGCCACCATCCATTTTGCTACCCTAGGGAGGACAAAGTATCAGACTGCTTGTATAAAGTAGGAGAGAAGCAGCAGTGAGCGTGGTTCAGTCTCCAGGAGTCACACCCAACTCTGCCTGGAATCCCTTTATAGCAGCTACATACATAGTAAACCCCTTCTTGCTTCATCCTGCCCTCTGCATAGGCTCATTTTTCCGACTGATTTGTGTTATGAGGGAATCTCTATTGGCCAAGTGTTTATATAGCTCTGAATAACAGCCTCACAAATAAATCTTTGTCTACTGTCTTGACAGCAAGTTAGTATTCAGTTCAAGTAAGTATAAGAAATTGGAATTTTTTATACCTTCTTGATTCACCCTCTGGTATAGCAGGCATAGTGGCCAGTATATTTGTATCTGATCAACCAAGACTGCTTTAGAATTGCCATTCATGGAATTTCTCTTGAGTTTATCCACATGGCATTCTGATGAGGCCAAGTTGTAGATATGGGACTTGCTAAAGGGCAAGTGATGAATTAGCACAATAAAAACTCAAGAAATGGGCCATCTTAAGACTTAATGACCAAGGAAGGTCTCCTCTGAGACAAGGGACCTCTGTTGTCAGCAGGACTGCCACAGGGGCAAGTATGTCTCTGTGACTGAGGTGCTGTTGGTTCTCTGAGCTCCACACAAATTCCTGTTTTGCCTTGCTGAAGAGGTAGCAGAGCTATGATGGCCTCTCCTCTGGCTGGGCACTTTCTCCCAGAAGAAACAAGAGATTTGTGTCTGGGCTACAGTGGCTGCAGTCCTTCATTCCCCTCAAGGCTTGATTCCTGTGAACTCAGAAACAAAACCACAGGCTTCTGCTATCTCTTCAAACTTTAGGATCTTAACATTGTTCTGATTCCAATTTGCCAAGAGAGCAATGTAATATAAGCAAATGTAGATACTACCAGTTCCAGCTGGCAAAGCTTTCTTATGTTTTCATGCCAGAGCCTGAGGACTGAACCAGAGGGCTGAATCCTCTTCTATTTCTGTTTGCCAGTGGTTCAAGGATTGCCAGGGTCTCAGATTTCTGGGAGATAAAAGTCTGACCCTACCAAGAGCTCCTAGTTCTAGGCCTTGCCTCTCTCCCAAGCAATGCAGTGTCCTTAAGGTTAAATACTGAATCCAAGAGGGAATTCTGTCCACGGTCTTGGCATTATGCCCTACTTATCTTGATTGCAAGCCTTTCTTGCCAATCAGGGGCTAGTTTTGCCACAGTCTAAGTGTTGACTTTGGTTCTCTGAAATATGGTCTATATTAAGCTCCTTGCTTGTTACTAATCTTAAAAGGCATTCAAACATTTTAGTAGGTCTACGTCAATCTCTATTTACCACGTTAATTCCTAAAACTTACCTCTAAGTTATAGGGTTTATGTGTTCTCCTCTTTAGTCTGGTTCTTTAAATATATTTCTCCTCCTTAGTTATCAATTTCCTTTCATTCCAAAATGCAGCAAAAGGGAATGTCACTGATAAAGAATGATACGTGCGTAAGACAAAGGGAGATATTCTTCTGTCCTGCTCTCTGAGAGGGCTGATACAGAACGGAACTTTACCCTAGGAATGACAAGTGTGCTGCAAGGGCTATACCTTCTGTGACATGCAAGGGACACTATTTTTGGATTTGAGTCCTTTGATTATATGTTATTGCCTACTCTGACTTGAAAACCCTTCTAGTAAAATGAGTTTCTCTGTTTCTTATTTCTGTACCTATGACTAGATACCTAAAATTACGTATGGATTGAATAGGAAAGGAAGTTTACCAGTGTGAAATGAAATGGAAAAAGCACAGGACTTAAGGATGGAAGTCTAGAGTCATCCAGGTGATATTGCTTTAGTCAATCACTTATCTGGACCTCATCTGTAATGCCCTCTCTAGTTCTCCAGCCCCGACAGTTTAGGAATCCTTATGAATCTTCCTTTACATAGGATGTATTCTCAGGTTAGGTATTTGGTAAAAGTCTCCCCTTCTCTCTACAAAGTCATAGAATTCTCATGAGTAGGTTCTTTGCCTTATTCAACTTTAAATTCCAAGAGCCACAGAGCCAAGCACATGGTAAGCACTCAAGGTGTTTGCTGTTGCTGTTGCTTTGTTGTCACGGACAGTGGTGATGGTGGTAGTAATGGTGTAAAAGTTCCCCTGAGGTGGTGACTTCCATGTGGGTTTTATTGCAGATATGTAACTTGCTTTAGTTATGCCTGACTGAGGAAAATTCAGAGATGAGTGTTTTGGGCCAGATCTTCAGAAGGCAGCCTCCCATTTAACAGGCACTTATTTATCATGCTAACACTATGTGGTTTGCCATACCAACATTGAGGATCATCTTGCTCAAGGTAAGTCTGATGAAGCCTTTTTATTTATTTATTTATTTGTTTATTTATTTATTTTTTCAAAGACAGAGTTTTGCTCTTGTTACCCAGGCTGTAGTGCAATGGCGTGATCTCGGCTCACCGCAACCTCCGCCTCCTAGGTTCAAGAGATTCTTCTGCCTCAGCCTCCAGAGTAGCTGGGATTACAGGCATGCACCACTATGCCTGGCCAATTTTTGTATTTAAGTAGAGACGGGGTTTCTCCGTGTTGATCAGACTGGTCTCGAACTCCCGACCTCAGGTGATCTGCCCACCTCAGCCTCCCAAAGTGCTGGGATTACAGGCGTGAGCCACCGTGCCCAGCTTCTTTCTTAGTTTGTTTTTACAGAGCAAGTAAAACATTTCAGAAATGAAATTTTCAACCTCCCCGTCCCCATGTCTAACCTTATTCATATCTTCTCCCATCGTTCTTTGCCCACATGCCTCAGAAAAGGTCGTGAGGTTCTTCGTTTCCAGACTAACTTCTCCACCTGCGTGCCGGCGCCCATCCCTCCCTGCTTCCTCTAGACCTCACTCCTTCATTACCCTCCTCCATTTTAATCTTCACAACCTCTTCAGTCACTGAACTCTCTCTTCTCCAAACTTGTATCTTCCTAAAAAATAATCCTTTTATAAACACACGCCCCTCTTTACCGCTGTACCTTTTCAATGTATTAGCACCTCATTTCTTACAAGGGTAGTTTATACCTCTTTTCTCTACTTCCTCACCTCCAGTTCACTCTTCAAATTATCACTTTCAGCTGTTTTACTCTACAAAAACAGCGCTGGAGAAGGAAGCCTACCCTACAGCTTCTTAATTAGAGATTCCCTGATGTCAATCCTGTGACCATCCCATGTATCTCAGCAGAAGACTGTGTCCCTCTTTACCAGGGCAGCTTTCTTGAAAATCCTCTCTTCTCTTGATGCCCCAGATGTAATTCTGTCCAGATTCTTTTCATAAATCTTTAGCCTTTATTTCTCATTCTTTTTTGCCCATACTCCTCTAAAGAAACCATGTACATCTTGGTCATTTCATGGGGTTTTGTCCTTAGTGAGTCTCTCCCTCCTACTGCTGGGCGCTGTCCTTTTGCAGCTACCTCTGCTGTTGCTCCTAATTCTCTCCTTTTTTCTGAGGCTTGAAACCTCCTTTGCTCTTGAGTGTTTAGCATTTCTACCAGGAAATTCTCCAGGCACCTCAATGATGGATGCTTTCTTTTCTCTTCCCTGTAAGTACTACACTGTGGTAGATTTGTGAACTCCATTGATGGGTCACAGTGTGGAGTGAGGATTCCTTCTTGATCCTCCTCTTTACTCTCCACATTCAACCATTACAAAGTCCTTTTCACCACCTAAGTATGTCTTCAACAGGGTCTCCTCTTCTCCATTTCTTCAAGGTTTTCAAAAACTATTGCAATCGTTCCCTCGTGTGTATCTCTTCCTCTTCCGTTTCCTGCCACTCCACTCCATTCTACAACTCACCATCTGTTATCCTTTTGTTTTTTTGAGACGGAGTCTTGCTCTGTTGCCCAGGCTGGAGTGCAGTGGTGCGATCTTGGCTCACTGCAAGCTCCACCTCCTGGGTTCACGCCATTCTCCTGCCTCAGCCTCCTGAGTAGCTGGGACTACAGGCACCTGCCACCACGCCTGGCTAATTTTTTGTATTTTTAGTAGAGATGGGGTTTCACCGTGTTAGCCAGGATGGTCTTGATCTCTTGACCTCATGATCCACCTGCCTCGGCCTCCCAAAGTGCTGGGATTACTGGCGTGAGCCACCGTGCCCGGTCTGTTATCATTTTTAAATGCTATCTAATGACATCACTCCTCAGCTTTAAATCCTTCAGTAACTCCTTTCTGCCTTCTCAGCACGAACAGCTGACTGCACTCCCTGTATTAGTTTTCTGTGGCTGCTGTAACAAATTACCACACACTTGGTGGCTTAAAAAAGCACATATTTATGTTTCTTAGAGTTCTGGGGCCAGAAGTCCAAACTCAGTTTCTCTGGACTAAAGTCAAGGAATCACCCGGTCCTTCTTTAAGCTCTAGGGAAGAATCCCTTGCCTTGTCCTTTCCAGCTTCTAGAGGCCACTTGCATTCCTTAGCAAGCGGCCTCTTCCTCCATCTTTAGAGTGCATCACTCCAGTCTCTGAGCCACATAGCCTTCTCTATGACTTTGACTCCTCCTGCATCCCTTTTATAAACACCCTTTTGATTGCATTGGGTCCACCCAGATAATTCAAGATAATCTCCCCATTTCAAGAACTTTAATTCAATCACATTTGCAAGCTCTCCTTTGCCATTCACAGGTTCTAGAGATTAGGACTATGGGAGCCATTTTTCAGCCTACCACCCCCTCTCACCTCTCCAGCCACTGCATCACTGACTGCTACCTACCCCAAGTACCCTCCACTCTGATGACATAAGGTTATCTTCTGTCAATCCAAAACCTTTTCATTTGCTTCTGTACAGTTTAGGTCCCTAGAGACTTCCTTCCTGCTTAAGTCCAAGGTCAGAGATTTGCTCTCTAAAGTCTCCACCACTACTCTGTCTTACTCAGAAATTTTCTCTCTTGAATGCTTCTCTTGTCCTCCACTTGAAACTCTCTTGTCCCTTTGTGTCTGTTCTGTTGCCTAATTCCTGGAGGCATCTATCTCTCTTTCCAGGCCCTGACGATCAACACATTAGTCTTCCTGGCTATGATTTATGTTTCTTGCTTGCATTTTTGCATTGCCTCCTAAAGGTCTATAAATTGCTAGACCTTAAATAATTAAATAATACCCTGCCAAGTGTCAGGCCCCAACATGGGTCCAGGACTAAGACTTCCCTAGTTTGAAAGAGGGCATCAAGGTTTTTCACACTTCCAAGCCTTGGGGCATGTGATTCTCAATCTATCTAAATTGCCCTCCATTCTACCATCTCCTCCTTCCTACTCTGCAAGAGCTAGCTCCAACATCACTCCCACCAAGCCTCCCCTGACACTCAGACAGGGTTCTCTGCTGCCTATTTTATGCTCTCACAGCTCTTTATATGGATCCTTTGGCAGCACTCTCCACATTTCCCTGGATTGTCATTTCCCTGCATAACTGTCTTCCATAATAATAGACTTGACAGTATTTACCATATTTCTCTTCTTTTTTTAATTTCAAAAGTTTATTTAAAGTAATCAAAATGCAGAAAACAGAATAAAATGAAAAGTAAATCTTCTTCCCACTCTTATTTCCCAGTAATCCTGTTCCACTCCCTAGAGGCAATCAGGCAACCACTGCTACCAGTTTATTGTCTATCCATCCAGAGATAGTCTATTCCTAGCCAATGGAAGTGAACAAAGCAAGCTTTAGAAGAATAGATATTCTAGGGTCTAGTCTTTCTGTAAAATTATAAATACATATATATTTAATTATTTTATCCTTTCTCTCAAAATATAGATATTTATATGTAATATATATTATATATGTATATGAGTTTGTGCATATATATAATATACACATACATACAAACATGCATATTTATAGAGAAACATGTACATGTAATCTCAAAATAAATTATCTGTTTGCTCCAAGATTAGAGATATGGATGAGGGACTTTTATTTTTTGGACTGAAAACTTCCAAATTGCTTTTCCCACAAGCATCTGCCACTGTTATAATAAAACTCTTTTAAAAGATTGAAAAGAATATTCTGAAAAGTTTATGTTATCCTGAGTTAACTGTATCACTGAGGTAACTGATAACAAAGGAAAACATACTTTTTATCTGCAGAAAGCTGAGCTTTGGACCAAAGTCTGGGAGGAATTACAAAGTGATATGACCACGTCTTGTTAATCTTTGAGTCTTCATCCCTGACACAGTGCCTGGCATGTAATTAACATCCACATTTTGTTAAAGGAATGGATCCTTTATATTTTCTTACTTCAGAAGAAGCCAGTAAAAAGATATAGATCTGTATATCCCAGAGAAATAACCAAGAAAAAAGGAAACTGATTTTAAATTAGAACTTTCAGGGGTTTAATTGTAACCCTCACCTGATGCACTAAGCACAGTACATTTTTTTTCTTTTTCTTTTCTTTATACTTCATTCAGGAGTGGATTTCCTTGGGTCTTTCTTCCCTTCCTTTTCCAATATCACTTTCATTGTTGCTTTAGATCTGACCTTTGCCAACGCCTTTTCTTGCTATTACTTTTGGTGCATATCAGCGGGGTTATCTGGGTGGACAAATTGTAATAAGCAAGCTCTTCCTTTCCACTGCACATTCTCGTTCGTAATCCACATTTTTTTTCTACATAATCCACCTTTTTTGTCCTGGCCAGTTGCTTCCTTCCCATCAGGAAAGCTGAGAAGAATGACTTGCTGTCCCTCTGAGGCACAAGCTGAGAGTTCATCCTCTAAGGTGACGCTCAGGCTCTAAGCAGCGGTAAATCAGAGTCAAAGAAAGGAGTAAACCACCTACATGGCATTGTATTTCCAGCAGACAAGATGTCATGTCTTCCACGTTTTTATGTGGATAAAGCCCAGGAAGACTAAATTGGTTCCTCTCCCAGGATAGTAAACAGACCTCTGCTTTGGCTGAACCAAAAACAACAGCTGAATCAGCAATCAGCCTTCTAATCCTGCTCTGTGAATGCGGACAGCCTAGACCTGTCCTTGTGTATTTCAGGCTGATGTAGTTCTTAGGCTAACTTGCTTCATTGTAACATATGGCATAAAAATGACACAAATTTATAGAAATCCAATGAAGAGTCAACAAATTTCTATACGGCTTTATGTTTTACAACCCCAAGGTTGCAAACTAGCTCCAAAGGATCTTTCTATATGCATTTACAACAACAAAGTTAGCACTCAAGTAGAAAAGCAATTATGGCATACAGTTATTTTCTCTAAATGATTAATTCATTCATTCATTCAACAAATGTTCGCTGAGGGCCTGTTACATGCAAAGCCCTGTAGTGAGCAGAGAGGGGATTTAGAGAAGGCAGCTGTTCCACAACATTCACAGGCAGACAGGCCTGATGAAGGTGCTGCCACAGCGAAGCCCACTGGTGTCATAGACAGAGCCTCCCTAAGACACTCTAAAGCTTTCCTAAACATATGTGTGAGGATTTAATTTGAGTCTTCTCCAGGTCCCTAGGCTCTGATGCAATGAGTCCAGAGTAAACTAGATATGTAGGTTGAGGGAGAAAGTTACTAAGAATACTACTACCAAATAGCTACCTTTTTTTTTTTTTTTTTGAGCAGGCACTTTGCTAAGCATGTTATATCGCCTTTTTCATTTAATCTTCAAACATACATATCATTTAAGTCTTACCCTCCCCATTTTATAGATAACGAAATAATAATAATGAGAGCTTAAATGATGTGCATGTGGTCACAGAAATAGTAAGTAATAGAGTCAGGATTAAAAAGAATGCCTTGGCTGGGTGCGGTGGCTCACACCTGTAATCCCAGCACTCTGGGAGGCCAAGGCGGACAGATCAGGAGGTCAGAAGATCGAGACCATCCTGGCTAACACGGTGAAACCCCGTCTCTACTAAAAAATACAAAAAAATTAGCTGGGCGTGGTGCCGGGCACCTGTAGTCCCAGCTACTCGGGAGGCTGAGGCAAGAGAATGGCATGAACCCGGGAGGCAGAGCTTACAGTGAGCCGAGATTGTGCCACTGCAGTCCAGCCTGGGTGACAGAGCGAGACTCCTCAAAAAAAAAAAAAAGAATGCCTTTACCTACTGAGATGAACTAGAAATCACTTCTTGCCTTTTAGCCTGCCAATTGCACAAGAACAGATCAAAGTAGAAAAGTTCGTGGACAAAATGAGGTAGAATAAGAAATAATTGAAGCCAGGAAACTGGTCTAAGGTAAACCCACCACGGACCAGAAATCAACCCTGGGTAGATTTCATGGTGATCCACTGCCATTAACTCTTAGTTTTTTGTATTTTTGAGTGTTGTGGGATTTATTTTGGCCATGATCCATAATGATGACACAGTTGTTGGAATAGTTTTTGTCTCTTATCCAACAGTGCTTCTTAAAATGTAATACGCATATGTATCACCTAAGATCTTGTTAAAATGGAGATTCTAATTCAGTAAGTCTGGGTGGGGCCTGAAATTCTGCGTTTCTGACAAGCTCCCAGATGATGCCAAAGCTGTTAGTTCCAAGACCACATTTTGTATAACAAGTCTATATATTTATCTTGAAGACCTGAAGGCTGTGTGTTCTCTTACTGTCTTTTCTCATCCTGTCTAATACAGAAACTTCGACACTGGAGCCATGGCACGGTGGTCTCCGGGGTTATGTCCTGATGTCAACTCCACAGAGTAGTGTCAGGCAGGAGGCCTATCCTGCGTGGTTTTCACTTTGGACCAAGGCTTTTCTTTGATTAGGCCATTGATCACTAGGCTTGTGTGCAGAAAATAGTTTATGTGCAGAATTGAAGAACTGAACTATCTAAAGCCCTCAGGCACTGGAAGGAATTGGAAACATACCAAAAATCAGTATTAAAGGCAATAAGCTGACTTTTTTATTTAATAGCTTTGTACTACTCTAGGCAACATTTTCCTAATCTTACTATCTCAGGAAAGCTCTGTCTAGGTTGCTTAAAACAGTATTCAGATGAGGACCTCATTTTTCCCTCTAGAAAGTTTTTGAAGAGTTTTGCATCCTAACCTGGATAGTATTTTGGTTGATGGGAAAATTCTAGTGCTGATGAAAGCTCCTTTCATATAATTATGAGCCTGACAATAGTAACATATTGTCTCTACCATACAATTTAGTAGTTAATTTTATCATATTCTGGACTATTCCCAACTACTCCAGATATGTAAACTTTGTCTTCAGAACTTGATTGATTGCTTCCTGGGATGGGCTGTTCATTTATTTAACACCTTCTATATCTAGTCATTGGACTAGGCTCTGGGGATATGATAATGAATGATGCAAAAAATTTTCCTGCTTTTCTGGAGCTCATATCCTAGTGAGAAGAGAGAGAAAATGTCAAGTAACAAATAAATGAAGGCAATAATTTATGATACTGATAGATGCTTTGAGGAAACTGAAGCCAGTTGATGTACCAGAGGTTGACTGAAGGATTGAAGTAAATCCAGATGGCCAGCACAGAGAAGGCCTCAGTGACGGTGATTTTGAGCTGAGACTTGAAAGATAAGGAGCTGATCATGCAGAGATGGGAAACAGAACAATCCAGGCAGATGAAATAGCAAACACAAAACCCTGACAATTGTTTTCTGAATTCCCATAGCTCCTAGAATAATGTAGGACCTATAGGAGATAATTGCTAAATATCAGAATGATAACCAACATGACTGTGGAAAAAAGAGAAGCCTAGATCCCTGGATGGGGTATGTAGAGAAGAAATTCTATTTATGGCCAAGCTAAAATGGGGCCAATTTGTTTAGCGCATTTTCTTTTATCCAACATGTAGCTCAATGTGCAACTGGGCTGGCCATGGAAATTCAGACCCAGGAGAAGTAAGCATATGGCTAGAGGCTAAATAGTATAAGACATATATTTACCAGGCATTTTATCTTGATTAAGTTATAGGCTCCAGTCCACCACTAATTATCTCTGCAGGAAATGTGTTGAGGAAAAAAAAATCACAAGATAAAGGATAAGGGAAGGGAAGATTCTACATCAGATGTGAGAATCTGAACTTGACATCATTGGAGTTTTCACATCTTTTGGGATGAGTACTTCATGTCCTAAGCAATAAAATGTCTATACAGTAGTCCCCTTTATTTGCAGGGAATCTTTTCCAAGACCCCAGTGGATGCCTGGAACCTTGAATAGTACTGAACCCTACATATACTAGGTTTTTTTTTTCTGTACCTACATACCTATGACAAAGTTTAATTTATAAATCGGTAGGAGATTAACAACAGTAACTGATAATAAAATAGGATAATTATACTGTAATAAAAGTTAGATGAATGTGGTTTCTCTCTCTCAAAATGTCTTATTGTACTTATTTCTGGACTGGAGTTGACTATAATTAGCTGAAGTGGCAGAAAACAAAACTGATGATGATGGGGGCCTGCTGTATTGCCCATTCTACTCTAAGGCAACATGTTGAGGGAAAGAATACTGGATTGGGATCTGGGAGAACTGGGTTCTTTGTTTCAATTGAGCCAGTAGCCAGTCAGCTGACCTAGGGTAAATTGTTAACCCTCTTCAAAATAATTTTCTTATCTGTATAATAATGAACTTAGATTATACTTAGAGTTTCTTCTAGTTCTAATGTTCTGTGACTCTATAAACTCGGCAAATGATTTCTACTTCTGATAAGGGAATGCAACCACTTAATAATGCCTGACTCAAGGTTAAATAGGTTAACTTGGTTGATATTGCAATGGAAGTAGTTGAATGTAGTTGTTTGTAGCAAGGGTTTAGTATTAGACAGAATTGCATCAAAATTTTTATTAGATGTGGTTCTTGAGAAATTTACTTAATGGCTGTGAACCTCAGTTTCCATGTCTGTAAAATGGGGCTAGCAATACTTATATTAAAAGGTTGTACCAGGATTGGATACAAGGTTTATACATAAAGCGCAATATCTAGTATTTTTTAAGTGTTCAGTGCATTGGGACTCATATTATTATTACTACATTACTATTATTATTAGCATTATTTGAATGAAATTTGAAGCTCATCTCCCTATTTTTGAACAAAACAGCAATGATAAAAATTTAAAAAGGATGTTAGTAAAACTTGCCCTGGGTAAAATTCACTGTTTGTACAACACTGATGTATATTTCAGAAGTCACAAATCGTCTACTAACTTGTGGTTAGTGGAACAGCAGGGTCAAACCTCCATTCCAAAAATTAGGATCAGGATCACCTCCTTTGCCAACCATGTTCAGACCTTGTCGTAGACAGTTTTATTGGAAAAGATCAGGAAACAAATACCACTTCTCCCACCCATGTGAGAATTTTTTTTTTTTTTTTTTTTTTTTTGCAGTGGGGGCTGGAGTGGACACTGTAAGAATGTGCTGTCTGTGGAAAAGAATCCCAGGCTGGCCTCAAACTCCTGGCCTCAGGATCCTCCCATCTCAGCCTCCCTGGGGAAGCTTTTTGATAAGCAGCCTGGGGGTTACTCCCTTTTAAGTGCAAAGGAGCTGTCAGGCACATCCTCCAGAGGTGGGAAAAATAAAAGTGCCCAGCTGTGTCAGCTTCCCTGTGACCTACGATTCAAAGTCTGCACGGCTGGTTCCACAGGCTGCATACAAATGCAGGTGCAGATAACTCTGATTCCTCACAAGGGGGACTCTGGCTCCATTAACAACCCAGTTTCAACAGAAGTGCAAATGGGGGCTGAGAGATAACATTAGTAGTTTTGTGTTTTTGTTAGGCTTGTTTATTGTCCTGATTTTCATGAACAATCCTGCTTTAGAGAAACACTTTTATATTCTCCGGGGCATAAGGGGGTCAACAATTGTTGAAAGGTCGGGGCCATGTTCACAAATCTCTGAATTCTCTTCCTACTCCTACCCCATCTTCTGCAATGCATTTTACCATGTACAGCATCTAGCAAGCAGTCAGTTAATATTTTTTGAATAAACGAGTGAATGTCATATTTTTTCTCTTCTTCTTCCCTTTCCTAGAAATGATAGCATATTGTTTAAGAGAGTGTCTCCCCAAACACCCTCCCCTGCAACCTCCTGGCACCAGCTCACCCTTTTATCATGCTGAAGGCAGTCTTGTTCCAGCTTCTCATCCCTCCTTTCATATCTCCATGTTTGCTGTTTTGTATGTGTGAGGTGAGGTTGGGGTTGGGAGATAGATAATGTGATGTCTGGGAATTTGGCATTAAAAGAACAGGCTGGACATAAAAACCAAGTGATTAAACACAAGGTGAGACCAGAATTAATTATTAGGACCTGGGTTAGATGCATTTGTGTACCTCCAATTAGTGATTGTTATTGTAAGTTTCCAGCTACCAGTTAATGTTGTAGGAGTCAACAATAGTCTTTCTTTTACTACCTTTTTTGTATTTTCCTTTCTTTTACAAAGTGAGTAGGAAAGTTTTCTTTGCAGAAGGTGAGGGAGTATGTATTAGGTATAACATGCAACCTGTGTTTAAACTGAAACAAAAGGCACAAAAATACTTTGACCTAAACCAACAAATAATGGAACCCCTTTCATCTAAGCTCTTGTTCATTTGGCCACTAGCCATTTTCTTTCCGTTTCTAGTTTACATTCCTCTGTTGTCAGAGACAAGGTTTCCCTGAATCTCATGGAACTCTTTGAAAGTTGGTTCAATTAATAGAAGATATAAGTTAAAGGAAAAATACAAATATATAAGAAAAATCTAATGTTAAGGAAATCAGCAAGAAATGAATCAGGTAAGTAACTCATTTTTTGAAAATGAGGGCAGTGACATCATTTTCAAATGTGGCCCTAATGGCCATCTACTCTACGAAATGAAGGTGATTAACGCTACACTAGTCAAAGGTCCCAGAATACGTCATTTCAGTCTCTGTTACTGATAAGTAGACAGTTTTCCAATCTGATTAACTTCTCTCTCTTGGAAATTTCCAGATAAACTTTGTCTTTATTGTTGACATATTGCTGTCTGCAGAGTCACTGGTACATAGGCCTCAATTAGCAGCACCTTGAGGGAAATCTATGAATTCCTTTGCAATAATGATGTATATGCATTCATTCAAAAAGGTGTATTGAGTGCTTATTATATATAGATCAGGCACAGTGTTAGGTACTAGGAATGCAGTGGTTAATAAAAGAAGACTTGCAACCCACTGTGGAATTTTAGATGTTGAGGGCAAAGCTGACAGCTGGCAAGCCAGTGTCCATAGGACAGTGTGGCTGAGCCCTCAGCGGAACCCATGGGAGAAGCAGGAAAAACTGTTGTAAGACTCAGAACACACTCCCCACATTCATAGTTCATCCCATTTCTTGGGAAGTTTTTCCGGGGCAAGATTTGGTTTTCAAGTACCAAAGTGCCTATACCAAAGGCAGCTGCCCTCAGAGGGACCCCGAAAGGCACTGTAAGGGGAAACAAGTGGGGAGGTATGGGGAACTTTGAATGAAAGAACTTGCAACATAAAGCATTTCTGGGGAGAGGATTTGGCCAGCTAGATTAGGCCATCCCCGGGTCATGTGGGATGCCTGGACCACTCCCTTGCAGTTTTGTGAAGGGTTGTTCATAGATTGCTAGAGGTCCATTGGCTGCCCACTGAGGCTGGAGCAAGGACAGTACCTGTCTAAACAGAGTTCATACCCTGGGGCTGAGAAAGCAGTCACCCTTATCTCCTCCTAAAGCCCACCATAATTAGAAAGCAGGAGATGGTTCCACTAAGTCATAACCATACAAAGCCCATCAGCGTGTTTAAGTCTGGCAAGGGAGAGCACCATTCCACTCATTTAGAATTAAATACTACAAAAGCCCTCAGTTTAGAGCAATTGCAAAAACTAAGCAGGTTCAAGCGAGCCTTAAAGTGTTTTTGCTTTTGCCTATTAAAAAGAAAGAAAGAAAAAGAAAAGTAGAAAGAAGCATTTCTCCAGCTCAATTTCTCGATAAATCTGCCAGTTAAAATATGTGCTTTGTAGGTGAAATGTGAGAGCCAGTACCAGGGGAAACCAGCATAATAGGGTAAAACCACAGCTGGCACTCCCCTGACATTCTTCTCTGTCCTTGGGGTTTTTCTTCAGTCAGGTTTATTCCGCAGAGGCGGCTTATAAAGTCACTCTTTATATGTGCCTCCATTGCCCATGCAGGCTGCCCTGGTCCCTCCTGTCAGTTTATTATAAACCTAGTCGATTACTGTGGTAATTGGTTCTATATATATTGATGTGTTTGGGGGGCATTTTCAGCTTTTTGTATTTTTATTTGGTCTGTTTTACTTCTTCCCTTAGAGAGCAGGGACTCTGTCTCTACTTGTTTACAACTCCCTCTGGGTATTGTGTGATAGATTCTGCTCACAGTGGGTTCATATTCAACACTGACCATGGTAAGGTGGATGAGGAGAATCAGGAAATTCCAGCTCCCAACCTTTACTGGTCTTTGAATTCTTTTACACGGTAGAGTAGAAAAAAGAAGTGTGATTCCTTCAAAATTCCCACACCACTCTTTCTTCGGGGGTAATTAATATGTTGGGATCTGTATTGAGCACGTGTCCTGCATTCTTTAGGCTGGTAGAGATCATTAATGATCTACAGTTAAACATAAAGGCAGAATGAAACTGAAGAAAATCTCTTTTGTAATTCAATAAGTTATTCTTTCTTAAAATGCTTATACTTATTTATTAGTCATTTAGTGAACATGTACTGAGTATCTAATGTGTGCAGGTTTGGGGCAAACAACACCGCATGAGAGGCATAATCCCTGCTTTGTTAGAGTAGGTGTGAAGGAGACAGAATATTAAAAAGAAAATAAAGAATCCACAAAATATTATGAGTGTTGGATGGGCTATGAGGGTAATGAATAGGATGCTAGGATGGGTAACAGGGGCAGTGGCCCCCTTTAAAGAGGGTGGTCAGTAAAACTTGGCTGAGTAGCACTTATGCCAAGATGTGGATGGTGAGCCAGAGGACAGGTGTCTCAGGAAGAGGAAATGGCCAGTGTAGAAACCTGTGGTGGAGAAGGCTGGTGGGGTTGGGGCAGGACAAGTGAGGGAACAGGGGCCTGGCTGGAGGCTGGGAAGGCTGAGATTGGCCATGCAGGGCCACACAGACCCCAGCTAGGCTACTGAGTAGGAAGCCACCAAGAGGAATGCACCACTTAGATTTTTGTTCTTTGAATCCCTCCTGCACTGGATGGAAAATGGCTTCAGGGGAAGCCAGAGTGGACACAGGGACACCATTTATTGACTAAAGCAGTAATCTGGGCAATGGAAAGGAAAGGACACAGAGAAGAAAGAACAGATCTAGGTTTGTTTAGGGGATAGAGAAACTTGGCAATAGAGTGGGGCTTGGGGAGGGAAGAGCAGAGGAAGAGGAACCAAAGAGTTCCTAGATATTTGCTTGAGTAGTTGATGATGTAGAAGTGCCAGTTACTATAATAATTTCAGAGCCAATGAGATGGAACATGTTGCCGGGGGGTGAGCAGTAAAGAGCTTCATGTAGGCCTGTCAATTTTGAGCTACCATAGAGATATCTAAGGGGAAAAGTGAAGGAGGCCATTGGATTTGCAAGTCTGGAGCTCAGAGGAGAAGTCAGAGCTGGAGATGCAAATCTGTGAGTTCTGGTGAATTCAACTAGTACCTAAATCCCTGGGGATAGATGAGCTTACCTAAGGAGGAAGACAGAGAAGAGAAGTAGGCTCAGGACCTAGCCCTGAGTTGTTCCCACTGTAAGAAGTAAGACAGAGGAAAGGTTGGGGTAGGGGGTGCCGCAAAGAAGACTACGAAGAAACAGTCAGGAATTAGGAGGATCACAGGAGGGCTGCAATGACAAAAGGAGTGAGTAGCTGTGTGTTGTGTGGCTGAGAGGCAGAGTGAGATTAGTAGGTCAAGCCTACTAATTATTGCCAAGTTCACTTAGAGAATAATAAAGTACTATAACTGCAAAAGCTCTGAGAAATAATGATGATGGAAATAGATATGCAGGAGTTTAAAATTATTAGTATTTTTGACATATACTGTTTTTCTCGCCACCCTGTGAAGTGAGAAGGTAGGTTACAATTTGTGACTGTGTTTGGTGAAGGCACGTGGTGAGTTGTGCCCAGTCCTGAAGGGCACCTTGCAGAACACAGCTTTGTCCCTTGAGGTGTCTCCAAGGTGAGTGTGCTGTCCCAGATGTGAGGATGCTGGCAGTAGGACCAGTCTGCACACAGGACATCTGTCCACAGACCCTGTGTCCTTGCACTGCGGCCCTCTCTCTCACCTGCTGGTAGCCCAGCACCCCTTACTCTACAGGGCAGAACTGAAACTGGAACCCAAGGCTTCATAATTCATCATCCTTCCCTCCCAAAGCAATGCATTTGTTTTCCCTTCTGCTAAAAACCAGGAGAACTCCAGAGGCTTGTCCCACTGCCCGGGCATGTCTTTGGCTTCTGGATCTGCCCACACTGCTGCCCCAGGATAAGCACGTCTTCCCACGGGGGTGCCAGATGAAGCATGGTCATCCACAGAACAGTTTTATTATTACTAGTCAATATTAACATGACAGCAAACGAAAGAAAATCCTTACTCTGCCCAGTTCTCACCGTGCCACCCCACCCTGGGAAGCGTTCCATTCCACACATACCTACAGCTACGTGTGATTGAGTGCCAGGCCCTATGGAAAGCATTAGGAATACATTGATGAATAAGAACTATGCCTGCCCTCAAGTTGTTCATCAAGTCTCTGGGAAGAGTCTAGGAAACCAGAAATTACAATGAGGTATGACAGGGGCTACCAGAGACCTGAGGAAAGGAAGCACCAAAGAGGAGGCTCCAGATCTGGATGGGGCAGGACTGAAGAGAACCTTCCTAGCAGGAGTGCTACCGCACTGAATGAAGGAGGGTGAGGGAACCTCAGGCTGACTCTGGGAAAAAGGAGTTCTAAAAAGGAAAAAAGCACAACCCTGGGTTGTGAGAAAGTGCTGTCCACCTGGCTAATGTGGGGTAAGTAGGGGAAGTGAGGCTGGAGAGAGGCTGGTTGTGGGCGGGGCGGGGAGGCAGAGGTTCAAAGGGCCAGCCTGCCATGCCCTCTTGCCTGATTTTACCTTCAAGTCCCTTGAGAGCTACTAAAGGATTTCAGCAGGAAAAGACATCTTCTGATTGTGCTTTAGAAACATACATGTAATGACAGCGTGGAGGATGCTTGGGAGATGTGAAAATGAGAGGGAAGTGTACCAGTCAGGAAAATTTTGGAGTAAACCAGGTGGGAGCTGCTGAGGGTCTGGATGAAGAGGGAAGAAATGTCTAGTGGAAAGTTGATATGACGTTAATTTAGGAAATACTGCCAATAGGTGACTCTTTGGATGTGGAGGGTGAGGGTGTGTTGAGCCATAGCAGTGCACACTCGTGGAAATCTCCTAGGGAGACATACATGGAAAACCTGTGGGCTCTGCGGGGACCCCCCTCAATGATGGCAAAGTAAGAATGTAGAGATCTTTCACCCAGACATTAAACTGGCTGACTTGGATTACTGAGCAGCAGAATTACTGCCTTTTTTGACAGTACAATTTGTTTCTGGATGCTGACATGTCTGGGGATGCCAAAGGCAGCACTCACCTTTCTGGGGTGTCTACCCCCAACTCTGGAGCTGCAGGCACACCTACCTTCCTGAGATATAAGGGAGGAATGGGGAACCTACATACTCATCTGCATCCTTATCTCACAAATAACCTGTGTTTGACCATGACCCCAAGGAGAAGCACCTCAATCCTAGCCCCAGCCGTTATTCGAACACAACCTTGAATCCAGATGGACTCAGTCATCTGACCTAGCACAAGAGAAAGGGTCAATGGTGAGTCTTTTCTAACTCCAGTTTTCAGATTCACTGTAGTAAAGATCCCAGTGATTTTTCCATTGAAAGCCATTTGGGTGGAGATAAACCAGGGACATGGGTGAAAGACTGAGAATGGGCAAGTTTCGGGTTTGTAAAACATTCTAATACCTCCCTGCAGTAGCTAGCAGTCATGTTTGATTCTTGCCATTCCAAGCATATGTTTTCTTGTTATCTTTTAATTGGTTTTAATTCTAAATTTAACACTAAACGGTCTATGATGGTAGTGACTGCAAGCACTAGCCTGGTGCATGTCAATTCCAGGGACATGTGAGACATCGGGACCTTATCGTGCCCTCCCTCTCCTCCCCGCATCACACCGCCTGCATTAAGAAGCTGGAGATTGCTCATTGTACCCTTTCCTGCCTGTGTTTTCATGTTTATAGATGTTGGGTTCTGGGGAACAAAGGGAGAGGAGTAATCTAAAATCCGAATGATACCACCGGAAGCTGTGTACGACAGCAGGTGAATGCCAATAGATTGGAAGCTGGTGTCAGCAGGCCCAGGATGCATGATATCCTGCATCCAGGAAAGGATTTCAGAAACTGTTGAAAACAACTGTGAAAAATCCAATAATCAAGTGTTCTGGAGGTTGCTGGGAAAGTCTGCTTTTGAAGATCTTGTACATCTGTAATGTGGAAGGAGGCTTGATGCAAGGAGGGGAGGAGGGTTTGGTAGTTAGATACTCAGTGCTTGCCTGATCATCAAACAGATGACTTAAAGCCTCCAAGCCTTAGTTTCTTCATCTGCAAAACAAGTTAATGAGAATATTGTAAGGACTAAGAGTCATAAGGCGGGTAGAACACCTGGCCCATGGTAGGTCCTCAGTAATGTAACTATTAGGGTATTTCCCAAAGTGGGCTCGGTAGCACGCTAATTCAATGAAATGATCTGCAAGAAGTGATTTTTATGTTCAAATTATTTTTGACCAACACTGTATGCTATATTTTTTCCTTGGGTACTTGTAATAAATATTAGAATTTTAATGGTTTTCAACGGTTGACAGGAAACCTGCTAATTTTAACTTAGATTTTCCCATTACATCAGAGCATGAAAATTTTTTTGTCTATTTGTGATTTTGAGTAATGATACTAAAGGACCCTAAAAGACAAAAGTTCTACAAACCTACTTAGAAAGATTCTGAGTTTTTATTATTATGCATCTTCTAATAAGAGGAAAGTTTTCTCTTTAACCTCCTCTATCCATATCTGGCACCAAATCCTTTCATTTCTTCTAAAATACCCCCTGGATTGTCCCTCATTCTCTGTACACGGTTGCTACCCCAGTCTGACTCCCAGACCTCCAAGGTCGCATTGTTGTTACAGCCTTTTGGCTATTTTTCCCTCCGGTCTACGATTCATTCAAATTTTCATTTGTTGTAAGTCATTTCACTGCCTGACTCAGTTTAACTCGGTTTAGTGCCATTCCTGTGTAGCTTCTGACCAAGGCAAGGCACTGCTTGCTTCCTAACTTGCTTCAGGCTCAAAATTCCTGGACTGGTTCTTCAGGACCCCATGCGGTATGACCCTAGCCTATTTATGTAAATTAATGCTTATTCTTTATCCAGTTAAAACCTCCATAACACAGAGTTAAGCTTTGTAATGACCTCTGTGGCCACCTTCACCTCTGTTTCTTTGACCTTATTGTCTCTGCCCTGAATAATTTACACTGTTTCTAACTACCTAGTCAGCGAAGCCTGCCCATTCTTCAGAACATATTCCTCCATGAGGCCTTTGGCGACTCCCCTGGGCCTCACTCATGTCCTCTCTCCTCCAAAGTCCTGTGACACTTATAGTCTCTACCATAGAATTTAGGACTGATTGACTACCCTGGAGTCAGACAGATCTGAATATAAGCTCCAACTTTTCTACTGATAATTCTGTGACCTTGGACAAAGTAATAAACCTCTCTGTTGCCCGGTTTTGTCATCTCTGAAATAGGAACTATTTTAGCACCAACCACTGAGATTCATATAGAGAACTGACAATGTTGAATTTCACCCTTCCCCATGAGACTTAGATAAGACTCATGATGCCCCCCTTGTTTACCTAAAATATAGCCAGATACACTCTTCAAATTCCCGTTGTTTGCCTTATAAGTCATTAGCTAAATTGTTTGTCTCTTCTAATCAATCACAACAAAATGCTTGTGAACCAAATGTTGGTTAAACTTTTCTTCTTCCCCCAAGCCCTTGAGCTTCGGCTCACCCTTAGCCTGAGCTGTGTATAGTGACTACTGAATGTAGGCTGGTTTCAGGTAAAACATTCTCTTATCTACTTTCCAATCATGATGCTTCTCCACACCAGATTCTTTGTAGCCTTGTTCACTTCTGTCTATAAAAGTTAAAAACTCTTTTTGTTCAACTCTAGAGATGCTTGCAGACTTTATCAGAGCATTCTTCCAAATTCAATGGCTTCCCTACCCTGCCCCAGCAATAATCGCTTAGAATAAAATTCTTCTAAATCCAAGTTTGTTTTTTATTTGACAGAATACATGCAAAGTGTTTAGCAGAGTGCCAGGGCATAGAAAATGTTTTAATAGTGAGCAGCTGTTATTATTACTATTATCACATGTTTGTTAGTCTTGTATCCCACATAGATTGTAAATCCTACCTTTACAGCTCCCACAGTACCTAGCCCAATGCTGGGCACATGCATTCATGGACGTGCACTGACTGATGAACCTATCAATAGCATCAGAAAGCCAACAACCCAATGTGATCCTACATTTGTGAAAAAACCCACAGACAGTATAAAGGACATTTTAGCTGTGTTTAGAGAAAGAAGAGGACCAAAGAAGAATTGAAATCACCACCTCCTGTAATCTTAATAGGTAATGGAGAGAACATGGCAACCCCTGTCTTCCTTCCATTCTCTCTGACACATAAAATTACCTTTAAACAAGAAGAAAGCAAGGAAGCCAAGTAAGAGAGAATTGTTGCTTAAATCAGTGAGAGAAGGAAAGAGAGAAATGGGCAACTTTGATAGAATTTGATCTTCCAGCAGGGGAGAGCAAGATCTTCAAGCATACCTGTTACCTGCAGGGGTGGGCACGACCTTCCGTGGGATCATGGATGGTGGAGAGAAGTTGGAACAAATGCTAGAAGGCTGTTCTTTTTTCTTCAAATATGGGGGAATATTATATTCTGAAAAGTAGAGCTTATTAACATTATATCTTTCCTGTGCTTGACTTGTGAAAACAGAGAATGTAGTAATCGCAGAGATCTAAAATGAGCTTGCTATGAGAAAGCCATGATAGCAAGCCTCATATTCTTTGTTAAAACTACTTTTAGATTTTTAAATTCCTTTGGCTAAAGAAAACCTACTCATTCCACCATCCCCCTGTGTTCCTTACCATTATGGGAGGTAGTATAGCTTAGTGGTTAAAAGAAAGGCCTTTGAAATCTGTATGACCTAAGTTCTCTAAACTTCATCTTGGATATCTAGAAAATGGAAATGAGTATACCTGCCTCAAAGAGCAGGTCTAAGAATTCAATGAGAATGGGTATACTAAAGCATTTATTTTTAATGAACAGTCAGGGGTCAGCAAATTATGACCTGCAGGCAAATCTGGTCTGCTACCTGTTTTTATATGGCCCTCAAGCTAAGAATGGGTTCTACCTTTTTAAATGATTGAAAGATAAAACTAAGAAAGAAAAACAATATTATGTGCCATGAACATCATAAATAAATTTTACCATCCATAAATAATGTTTTATTGAAGCAGAGCCATGTGCATTTGTTTACATAATACCCATAGCTGTGTTTGCACTACAAAGGCACAGTTGAGTAGTTGCAACAGAGACTGCATGGCCAAAAATATTTCCTATCTGATTCTTTACAGAAAAAGTTTGCTGACTTCCACCATAGATGGTAGCTCTTGTTATTAAAGATGCCTGTATCCTTGAGCCTATCCCAAAAGCTTCCTTCTCAATGATTCTTCCCTTGCATACGTCTCCTGATATAATCTGGTCCTTATTTGATATTTTATTAAAGAGCACCATCATTTGTCACATAACAACATTTTGGTCAATGCAAGCCCACGTATATGACAGTGGTCCCATAAGATCGTAATGTAGCTGAAAAATTTCTGCCACTGAGTGATGTAGCCATTGTAATGTTACAGCATCATGCGTCACTCTCATGTCTGTGGTAATGTTGGTGTAAACAAAACTACTGCGCTGCCAGTCGTATAAAAGTCTAACACACACAATTATGTACAGTACGTAATACCTGATAATAAATGGCAGTTACTGGTTTACATATTTCTGATACTATGCTTTTTATCATTATTTTAGAGTGTACTCATTTTTTAAAGGTTAACTGTAAGACAGCTTCAGGCAGGTCTTCCAGGAGGTAGTTCAGAAGATGGCATTGTTATTTCAGGAGATGACAGCTCCAAGCATCTTACTGCCCCTAGAGACCTGCCAGTGGGACAAGATATGGAGGTGGAAAACAATGCTAATGTATGTGTTTGTGTCTTCGTTTTTAACAAAAAAGTTTACAAAGTAAAAAAAATAAAAAAATAAAAATTTAAAAAATAGAGAAAAGCATATACAATAGTGTATAAAGAAAAAATATTTTCATATGGCTGTGCAATTTGTGTTTTAAGCTCAGTGTTATTACAAAAGAGTGAACACATTTAAAATATTAAAAAGTTTATGAAGTAAAAAACTTATAGTAAGCTAAAGTTAATTTATTATTGCAGAAAGAAAAACAAAAGTAAATTTAGTGTAGCCTAAGTGTCCAGTGTTTCTAAAGTCTGCAGGAGTGTACTGTAATGCCCTAGGCCTTCACATTCACTCACCACTCACCCACTGACTCACCCAGGGCAGCTTCCAGTCCTGGAAGCTCCAATCACGGTAAGTGCCCTTTACAGGTGGACCATTTTTTATCTTTTTATACCATGTTATTACAGTACCTTTTCTATGTTTAGACATACAAATACTTACATGTGTTACAATTGCCTACAGAATTCAGTACAGTAGCATGTTGTACAGGTTTATAGCCTAGGAACAATATGCTACACCAGTGATCCCCCACCTTTTTGGCACCAGGGACGGGTTTTATAGAAGACAATTTTTCCATGGACAGGTCAGAGGGGATGGTTTGGGGATGATTCAAGAGCATTACATTTATCATTAGATTCCCATAAGAAGCACACAACTAGATCCCTTGCATGTGCAGTTCACAATAGAGTTGCATTTCTATGAGAATCTAATGCCACCGCTGATGTGACAGGAGGTGGAGCTCAGGTGTTCATGCTCTCTCACCCACCGCTCACTTCCTGCTGTGCAGCTCGGTTCCTAACAGTCCATGGACTGGTACCAGTCATGGCCTGGGGGTTGGGGACCCCTGTGCTACACCATATACCTAGGTGTGTGGCAGGCTATACCATCTAGGTTTGTGTGAAGACACTCTGTGATGTACGCATTGATGATGAACTCACTTAATGATGCATTTATCAGAATGTGTCCCTGTCATTAAGCAATGTGTGACTGTGCTTATATTCTGAGTGTCTGTCTTATCTCTTCAACAAGATATTACATCCATTGAATGTAGAGATTACACATAATTCATATTGGCATATTTGGAAGACCAGCATCGTATCTTGTGAGTGGACATTCAATAACTTTGTATTTGCTCTACCCAATTGAGTGGGGTTTGTTAGGGTCTTCTGACTTTTCACTGCTGTCAACAAACTTTTTGATGGAAACAAAGCCCTGGGAGACTGAGGACGGAAGCACAAGAAAGGCCTAAAAAGATGTGCACTCAAAAACAGAAATAATAGTAACAAGCTTGAGATAGGTGCTTACCAGGATACGTGCAAAATTCCAGCATTGGTTGCTTCTTGATAACATTCGCTTCTTACTGCTTCTGAAAATAAAATGTTAGATGCAACTCAGAAATTTGGAAATATAGCAGTGAATTTTCTTATCAACCATTTAGAAGGGTTTTGTTCTCTCAGTTTTCACAACGCCATTTAATTTCCTGGAATTGGGGGTGTTTTGTTGGGGGATGGTTGCATGCACAAACATACATGCAGAGGCAGGCATTCCATTGTGTGGTTTGTTTGACTCTAGACTAGGCTTTAGTAGGCTTGTTACTGTAGGAATGAAAAATTAAATACAAAATCCTATATCGCTACAAGCCTTGGAAATAGAGTTCATGACATAATGTAGCTGAGTGGCTTATTTTCTGTATTTTTCTGTGGGTTTGTGATTCCAGACTTAGACAGTGGAAAGATACGCCCAGGGTCTTACTGATACCTAGGAGGGATAGGCTTTTTCTCTTCTCTGTGAAAATTAAAAAGAATCTAGAAATCTTGGCACTCAGTACTAACAGCTAAGTATCATAAATAGTTATTCAAGATTTAGGATGGAGGTCTTCAGAGGCTGTCATTTATATACCATTCACCCCATGCGAGCACCATCCAACTAGTGTTACATTTCAGGGAGAAATCTTTTGTAACAAAAAAGGTTGGCTTGGGGGACCAAAATTTAATTCTGTTCTGCTAGTTTTGCATTTTTATTTGAAGGAGCTAAAGCTCAGGATGATCAGCAGCATCTTTTTTACCCATTTTCCCCTTAATATAAATTAAAGGATCACCCAACTCCTAGAGAGAATGGTTGCCAGCCTTGAGGGTCCCTTTGGAACCACAGGCATCATGTCATTCTAAACAAGCATGCCTGCAACAATGAGAATGTCTGAGATGCCACCATTATGCAAAATAGCCACATCTTCTGATAGATCTCATGCATCAAAACTTTACATGGAAGCCCATTGTCACCAACTAGTTATGCATTTAACATCATCTTTTCCTTCCCTCTTTCTCAACCTGTGAGGCTGTCGGGGACTGTGTGGCTCCAGGCCTGAAGCAGAGTTCATGTGGGCCCATAGTCTGCTCCCTCCTGCCAGCACAGGCACCCAACTCGATGCTGTCAGAGACCTGGACTGGGTGAAGACTTCTTCAGCCACATTTTGGGGGGCAAGTGGTGGAGACTTTCCTAATCCTACTTTCACCCTCTGGGCTTGGCTTTGGTTCACCACCACTGTAGGAGACTTCTGGCCCCTTTATTATGCAGGAATTGGCCTCACTGGCCAATGGAGCCTTGGTGGGCTCCATTCTTGCAGACGTGAAGCCTACAAATTTAGCCTTTATTTACTACTAAATGTTCTTGTTCAGTGTCTAGTGTATAGAGATTCTTGTTTTCTTTCTGAGCATTGCTATTTTTTTTTAATTAATCACACGTTTATACCTTCTGGTTGCCAAGACTGTACTAGGTGATAAGGATAAAATGGTGAAGAATGGCTCCTACCATCAAAAGCTTACATACCAGAAGCCATGCTAAGGGCCTGGCATGTATTATCCCATTTAACCTTCAGAATAACAGTGTGAGATGAGTTCTGTTATTAACCCATTCTACAGATATGGCAACTGAAGGCCAAAGAGATTAAGCATCTTATGATGTCTCAGAGCTTTGAATGTGAACCCAAGGCTGACTGCCTTGTGCCATGAGATAAGGAATTCCAGGTGAAGACATCTTTGCCAGCTGAGGGGTTGGCCTGGGATATGATATGCTATAGCCTCTGCCTTGGCTGCTTACTCAGACATGACGGGGCTGCTGCATCTCTCTCCTGCCTTCTCCTTTCTTTCTAGGGCCAGATGTGGGTCTGCTTTCCTGATATCACCTGCTGTCCAAACTCAGGAGTCTCAGAGACTTGGTCTTCTTATAGACCATGTCCTTATTTGCCAGTGGGTGTGTGAGCCTCTGCTGGCACATTGGCTGAGCAGGGCCAGGTCTGTATGTCTGCCTGGCTGTCTGTTTGCTGCTATGGCTGCTGCTGTTGCTCCTTAGTCAACCTTCATCCAGTAATTTCTTTAATTAAAAAGCTAACTCTGTGTGTGTGTGTGTGTGTGTGTGTGTGTTGCATAAGAGAGTTAGATATTAAAGGAAGTCCTGGTGGCAGAAGCTTTAGAGGGCAAAGTAACAAGGTAGCCATCTTTATTGGTGATCGTAACTGCCAAGTGGGCCCTCCTATGATCATAACAGCTTCCACCTTCCTCAGTAGGGGCCTGTAAAGGGACCACGCAGTTATGCTGTTTTAGGTTTGTAATTGTTTTAATATCTACTGTTGTTAAAAGTGCAGGAAGGTGACCTAAAACCACAGCACCTTCTTTTGGACATAATGATAAAGTTTTCTTCATGGCAGTGGAATGGGATGAGTTGATACTGTAATCTCTTAACTCATACATGCCTTTCCAGCCATTGTCTGGAGGACAGCATTAGATCTGGCTTCTCTGTCTGCCCCTCCCTGTGTTCTGTGTTGTAGGGGTTCATCCCATTGAATGGGGCTGTCTACAGGGGTGTTGCCTTCTTCTCTAACTTCTCCAGGAAGTCCCTTCTTGACAAGAAGGTGAACTTGCATGATTATGTAGATCTATTCTTTGGTCAAGTATATAAAAGTTTTCTGACTTGCATTATTTCCCCCTAAAGCAGGACTGACTGAACAGTGCTTTTTGTCTAGAAAAATTCAAGAAGCAAAGTGCTTGTGAAGTAATACTTTTGGTTACTTGTAGGACAGTTCAGACGAACGTCAGTAGTTTTCAAATCAGGCCACTTGTACCCTGGGGATTTGAGTAGATGCTGGAATAGCTGCATCAACAATGGAGTTGTTTCTTTTTACCAAACAGTAATGATATTAAATGCCTAAGGAGTATATTCCCCCCTTTATCTGTCTTACATATTGGGGTTATTTATAAGATTTATAAAAAGCGTTCTGACCATATTTAATAAATTACCTTTGTCCAGGGTGGTGGATCTCAACATGTTATCTGAAGATGGCCTAAGTCAGAATCACTTGGAGTGCCTGATAAAATGCAGATTCTCCAGCTCCATGGATTTAGGGAAATACTGAGCAGATCAGGTCATACAATAATAGAACTTTAACATTTGCCTGTTAAAAGGAAAATAGAACTCATTCTCTGGAATGTTCCCTCTGCTCTGGCATCCCTGGCAAGTGATTGACTGGTTTCTATATGAATGCTTCTACATGAATACTTGTGCTAGTCAAGGGTTCACCATCTCTAAGGCATCTCTCCTAATTTATACCAGCTATAAACTATCACAAAAATTATCCTGAAAGAAATCACACATCTTCCTTTAGCCTACCTCCCCCACCAAAGTAGAATATTTTTTTCTTTTTTTTTTTTTTTTTGAGAGAGAGTCTCACTCTGTCACCCAGGCTGGAGCGTAGTGGCACAACTGCAACCTCCGCCTCTCAGGTTCAAGTGACTCTCCTGCCTCAGCCTCCTGAATAGCTGGGATTATAGGCACACACCACCACGCCTGGCTAATTTTCATATTTTTTGTAGAGATGGGGTTTTACCTTGTCGGCCAGGCTGGTCTTGAACTCCTGACCTCAAACGATCTGCCCACCTCAGCCTCCTAAAGTGCTAGGATTACAGGCATGAACCACGAGGCCCATCGCAAAGTAGATTTTAATACTTCCTCCTGTGTAAGCAAAATCCCCTGTCCCATGCCACTAATAACACCTCTTATCATATCATTGTCTACTCTTCTGTCTGCCCCACGCCTTGCAAACTGGAAAATGAGCATTATTTCTTATTTATCAGAGTACTTTCCTTATGGAGCACTGAGCACTGTTTCTGACACATGTTGGCACTCAGTGAAAACCTGTGGCTCAGTAAACTCTTCTCATCATTTCTCTCTTTGGATCCTAATTCTGCTCTCTGAAAATACACAGAATTCATGTGGTCCTGTCTCCATGTGACAACCCTTCAAATATTTAAAGAGACAGCTGCTAAGTCTGTCTCCAAGTCTCCTTGTATCCATTCTAAACTCCCCCAGTTCCTTCAACCATTGTTCATATAGCACTGGCTCCAGATGCCCTACAATCCTCACTGCCAGAGTCACTCTCAGCTTGAGGCACCCAGAGGTAAACCAACTGCTGGTATATGGCTTGCCACAGCACCATTTCTCTGTGTCACCTTAGTCACCAGGCTCTTTTAATTCAATCTGAGATCCATCCCTCGGCCTAGTGGCCATGGCCCTCACATCACTGGTCTCTTCCTTTTGTCCCCTTTGTTTCCTCCCATGTCCAGCTGTCTGTACCATTTGCGAATGGTACTGCAACCCAGTCAGAGCCACATGAATCTCCCTCACCAACCAGTTTGGGTTGCAGCTCTGGGTGAAACCACATCTCGTAATGAAAGCTTCATTAAGGCTGGGAGAGGCAGCTGCAGAGACCAGAGTATTTTAAAACAGAGGGCACAGGTCACCGAGAGGTGAAAAGAGCCTGATCCACTCAGCACATTTTAAAACTCAAGAGATGAGGACTAAGCGGTGAGAGAACCGTGCAGAATCCCAAATCGCCACCAAGAGCCATGTCTATTTGGGCCTGTGGCTCCAGCAGGCAGGGAAGCAGCATAAATTTCAGTGAGGCAAAGCTAAATGGTAACAGACTTTAAGTTCTGTCAGATATAGTTAATTTGCAGAATAAATTGGTCAGGGCAGCAAGAGGATTTAACATCCAAATCCATTTTAAAAACAGAAGCCAGATGAGTGTCCAGAGGAAAATGGAGACTCTTACAACATTCCCTTGCCGGTTGGAGTAGTATTATTATTGAATAATATTTTTATTAAAAATTTCTAGACCATTTGGTAGTTAAAGATATTTATGAGCCAGCCTTTGCAGCATCTCAGCAAGGCATTGAATTTTCCGCTATGGTGCTGCCTAAGCTGTGAGAGACACCCGCCTGCATAGACTCATATCAGGCACCCTCACACAGACACAGGTCATGTTGTAACATTCAGCTGAGTGTTTGTACTGTGGAGCTGGGGCAAGTAATGGCAGTTTGTCAGTTTTACCCTTTGTAGAACTATCCAGGTGTTCCCTGCCCTGTGCTCTTCTTGTCCAGATTTGAAGGTAGGAAGAAAAGAGAGATGTTGAGGCAGGAGCTGGATCTTATAGGGAAGGAGAGGTGGAGAACAGATAAGCACGCAGGGGTGCTCTGAGAGGTAAATGGAGTCATAAAGAGAGCATTGCTGGGCTGATGGTTCTGCCCAAACTCAAGGGACTCATGTGCACTCCCTATTGGAGAAATAAATGCCGCAGGGTAGATAGAGAAAAGCAGCACTAATTCCACTCTGTAGCTCAGTGGGGCCTTCAACATCAGCCGAGGTCCAGGCTGATGCTGGGCGCCCCTTCCTCAGCACGCTCTCTGCCTCGGTCTTGCTCTGCCACAGTTGCCGTGTCCTGGGCTATTCCTGAGAGCTTTCCAGGCTCCTTCTTTGGGAGGACCAGGAAAGATGGGAAGCATTTGCTCCTGAGTGGTCTGGGGATGCACACTTGGCTTCTCAGCTCAGCCTCCCAAGCAGGAACAAGGCTGGGGGCGCGGAGGAAGCCTTAATCTCCAGACAAGTGCACGGGAGGCTCTTTCCTGGCAGCGTGCTGAGCATGCCCACTCATTCACGTTGTCTTTCTGCTAATGGAGATTTGGAAATAGCAAATCCCGCAGGTGTTCCTCATTTTCGCCTCTCTCTCAGTGTCGTCCTCTCCCCGCACTCCCTCTCCCCATGCTGCTCTGTCTGTGGCGACACAGCAGGGATAATCCAGCACAGATCTCCACATCCCGGAGCTGTGACTCCGAATCTCTATGTCAGGTTTATTTTGACTTTGACAAGAAGCTGCACACAGCTGCTGCTCGGCAGCAGGACAGCAGGACGCCGATGGAGCCGGGAACTTCTTTTCACTTCCCACTGCCCTTAAGCCCTGGGAGGAAGCTGAGGGGATGGACTGCAAGCCCCTACATGGCCAATAAGTGAGTCCTCACAGGCTGTGGGTCAGGGAAGGGCTCTCCCGCCAGTGCCACAATGTTAAAGGCTATGGACACTGTCGTGGCTGGAACAGTGTCCTTCCAAATTCATGCCTGCCCGGAACCTCAGAATGTGACCTGTTTTTGCAAATGTAATTACATTAAGATGAGGTGACCCTAGACTACCTTCAACGACTAGTGTCTTTATAAGAGAAATGAGGGGGAGATTTGGACACAGACACACAGAAAAGAAAGCCGCGTGATAACTGAGGCCAAGATTAGTGTGAGGCAGCTATAAGCCAAGGAGTGCCAAGGACAGCTGGGAGCCACCAGAAGCTGGGAAGACACAAAGAAGGATATTTCCCTAGAGTTTTCAAAGGGGGCATGGCCCTGACCACACCTTGATTTTGAACTTGAAGACTCCAGAACTGGAAGGGAATGCATGCTGTTGTTTTAAGTGCCTCAATTGCTGACGGTTTGTTATAGCAGCCCTAGGAAACTAAGAGGAAGGGATTTGATAAGAACAAGAGCCTTGGTGATTAGCTCTGAGTCACAAGAAAGGCATCTGGTGAATCAAAAAGGAGGAGTGTAGGAGGCAAATGAAAAAACGGAATCAAGTACACTTAAAATTGCCATACGAAAGGTTTCAAAATGTAGGTATAAGATAATGCACACACAAATTTACTACAATTCAGCTGAGACAGAGGGAGCTCCTGCAGAGTACCGAGTGCTAGGCTCTAAGGACATGCAGAGGGGTACATCCTCACTTCGCCCTGGGAGTGAGTGGGACAGAGGCCATAAAGCCAAGCACTGGCACAGCGAGGTCCGGGCTCCTCTGGACTCAGGCACAAAGTACCAGTAGAATTAGTTCTGCAAGGAATGATGGGAGCAGAGTAGCTCTCAAAAAATATATGGGAAGAAATGGGGAGAGAGAGAGAGAGAGAGAAGGAAACACTTTATAGGGTGTGCAAAGGTGGAGGCAGCTATGGTGTCAGCTTGGTCTCCCATACTCCCCCACGTATATGTGCTTAGCAGATGCTTTAGGAAAATCCCATGGAGGTGCCTTACATTCCCAGCCTTGCCTATGGTGAGTTGTCATGAGGCTTTGGGTTGTCATTTGAGGAATTTTAGGCTAAATCCCCTTTGCTTCTCTCCATCCTGATGTATTTCTTGAATGCTTCCAAGTGTAAAGCACTGGGTGAGAACCATGGCAACTCAAGCATAAGGCAGCTTCTTGCCCACTGGGAACTAACAGTCTAGCTGATTAGAAGACTTCCTTTGAGGAGTGAAAGCTTTAGGGCTTCCCAGCAGTTCTTGGATTTAATTCTTGTTCCTCTTAAGATGCATGGGCTGTGTAGAGCTGGATCTCAGGAATCCTTACAGAGGTGTCTGCCTCGCTGAGCAATTTGTTCTTTATTTTTTACACTAAGTTTGTGATTCATAAAGGGATGCAATTGGGGTCACAGCTAAGTTTCAAAGGCTGTTTTTGTGTTTTATTAATCTCTTAGAAAATTCTACTATCCCATCATTTCTTTGACCCAACCTCTCATTCCAAATGGAACTGACCATTACTGAGCAGAAAGAAGCATACGGGAGGCTGTTTAGTCAATTCGTTATTAAATTCACTGTTCCATGCCAATGCTGACTAACACCTTTTGGCAAAGGCAAACCACGGCATCTACACCAAAACCTCAGTTTAACATAAACCTAATTAGCCGGGAACCTCAACCAGACCGTTATTTGTTTGACAACATGCCTATTAAGAGGGAAAATCTTCAGAAAATACCACCGTATGTTATCGATCAATTTTTAAAAAGCTGTTCGGGGTATAGATACCATTTTTCCTACAGCTTCCAAATCCGCATAGTCATAATTGATGAATAAAACCATCACCTGGAGGCTCCCTGGGGAAAGGTTTAATGCTGTTTGGTAGGCAACGCTTCATGAGGCAGGCAGGAAATTGGAAAACTGCATTTTTAGAAAAGAAAAACGTCAACAGGGATTGGAGGGAACGTAAGCATTTTCTGGGTAAGTATCAATTAAACAAAAAATTCATTTTTCCGAAAGACATCTTTTCTCGAACATTCCAGTTAATGACATTTTGCGGAGGTGCCCTGTGGGTATCTGATGGCTGCTAATTATCTCAGTGGACCTTACAGTACCTATAGATACTGCTCTTGAGGGACCGGCTGCAGGGCATGATTATGACAAAGACTTCTTGCTAGTTCCAGAAACTTCTTGAACAATTACCAAAGAACAGGGTCTGAAGCATATAGTAACCTTAATTTTGGAACAAAAAGTACTGGTACATTCTGACAAAAGATTTGTTTTCAACTTGTGCAAATTCATTTGTGAGAAGGGACAAGAACATAAACCCTTTGGATTCGGGACTATTTCTGGATGTGTTGGACAGTTGTGAACCACTAGTTTTTCCATTATTTAATCCCAAAGAAAGGTGTGTTTACTCTGAGTTGATGAGTAGCTGAATGTGAGGCTGGAGACTGGGAAGGGCTCCTTGTGTGCAGACTGAGACTGGGCAGCATAGCAAAACTGCAGAAGACGCAGGGTTTCATGCTCCATCACATGACCATCCTTGGGTTCAGATTGGCACTCTCTTGCTACCACAGCCACTGCCTTTTTTGCTGGTGATGGAGAGCATATATGCCAAATCCCAGTATGACTGCAAGTACTTTTCCTCCCGGAGCTACATCCAACTGCTCCCACAGGGAGAAGTTTACCTTTCACCCCAGCTGCTCTTTGGTACCCGTGGTTTCACTGACCCAGGACACCAGATATACCCTTTTGCCACTTTGTGACATTATTGGCTACAAGTTTCCCAGATTTTCTCACCATATTGAACCACACTGTCTGCCCTTCAGCACAAGACCTGGCTGCTCCCTTTCTTAAGCTTAAGTGCTCACATCCCAAGGGAATTAATGATCTTTGAGATGTGTTTGTATGTTTTAGAAAATTTGCAAAATGAACTTTTTGCAGTCTTTCCCCAAATCTCTGCAACTAGGTTATCTTTGAAGAATTCCTATTTGCACCCAAAAGTAGTAGAACCCACTCTGGATTGATGCCCCTCTTCTTAAAAGAACCCAGAGCATCTCAAAAGAACCCAGAACAGCAATGCCCCAGACGAATTTAAACCCATCCTATCTAGTTTGTACCTGCAGAATATATAGTGTAGTCATTTTGTATGCAAGTCTTTAGACATGATTTATTAAGTCAACAAACACTTGTAGTCATTTAATGAATATTTGTTTAATGAATTGTTGAATACATTAGTGTGTATTACATATAAGGCATGTGGGATATTATAGTGGAGAACAAGGCATAATTTTGTCCTTCAAGGCACCTGCCATCCGATGGTGTTGGTGGTGAGCAGGGCAGGTAAGTGAACAGGCATTGAGAGAATAAGTAAATTTAGAAAGCACTCAATATATCCCAGGCTCGGTTCTAAACTGTCTTTGCGAATTATATTAGTTAGCCTTTCCTACACCTTTACTAAATCAGTTCAGTTATTATCTCCAGTTTATGTATGAGAAAGTTCAAACACAGGAAGATTAAGAAATTCACCCCAAATTACACAGTTAGCAACTGGTAAGGTCAGAGATCAAACCCAGGCAGTCTGCCTCAGGCCACACACTTTACACAGCCCTTGAGTGGCCGTGGGCATGGAGCAAGAGAAGTGGATGGTGTGGGGCTAAAATGAATGTAAATTTCATAAGATTAGTTGATGGGGTGGGGAGAAAGAGAGAGAGAGAGAGAAACACACCAGCAAGGAAGCTGTAATTTCTGACTTGAGCAACTAGGAAGTTAGCAGTGCGTTTTGCTGAGTTAGGACCTGCACGACGAGGAATAGCTGCTGAGGAGAGTACGGAGGAAATGACGACCACAGTTTGGGACATGTTGAGTTTGAGGTGTCTGTAGGACATATAAGTAGATGTCCAAGCAAGCATATTGAGGTTTTGTTACTTGTGGGAGAGATCCTGGCCAGGTATATAGACTTGGCTGTCATCAGAATAATGCTTTCTCCTTTCTTCTTTACTGTTTGATGTGTTAGTAAAGGACTAGAGAACTGTTTACAAATGGTTTGGTTTTCTTCTTTGTGTTTGACTTTTTGTAAAAATGTGAACCTAAGATCATGACTTAATATATTCACTCCAATATGTTCATGGATATATGGAGATAGATATGTAGAACTAAACTAGGCAAAGACGTTTCAAAGGTAAAAAAGACATAGTTCCTGACCCCAAGGCACTTATTATTTCATGTAGAAGTGGAGAAAAAGATGGTCAGTTTATGTCCTATCTTCTTTTCCCTAATTATTAATCCATTGCATTGTGTTTTATTTGAGCTCAGAGAGTATGTCATCATGGCAGGTCTAGCAGTTCATTTTAAGTCCATAGTGATCTCTCTGTCCAAAGACATGATTGTACATCCCAAGAGACTGATTAGAGACTGGGTGGATAGACTTCTGTGTGAATTTTGATGACTCGAGGACATCTGGCTTGAGCAGTAGACTGGGGTGGGGGTTGGGGTAGATCCTGGAATGCAGGGTTTTGGTGGGCTTCAGGGTGGCTGTGCTTCATTTGCCCCACATCAAGCCTTCTTTCCTGTAGATCCTAAGCTGTCTCCAAAAGCTGGGATTTGATTAGCTTGCATTTGATTTCTTTGCTGCCTAATGAACTGCTTCTGTCATTCTAGCCGTGATGTCATTAGCATCTCATTGCCTTGGGCAGCAACTCAGGAGAGAGATTCTTAAGCAGCCTCAGAATCCTATAGGAATTGTACCAATTTACTTCCTAACAACTAATTCACCTCATGGCCTGTCAGTTACCACCAGAAGAGCAGACCCTGCATGAGAATGGGCCGGTCACTTTTGTCACCCTCATGTGCTCCTGAATTTAGGTGGGCCACTATATACATGCCTAAGGCCATGTGCACATCCACAATGACATGTTGAGCTTTAAGGACGCGATATTCTCATACCACAATATTCTATTGGGGAAACTCATCCACTGTATGCTGTAGGATACAGATTTAGCCTAAAGCAAATGACATTTATTTATAGCAAGCTGTATTTGCAAAATGCTTTGCAGTTTTAGGATTGTTAACTACATTCCAGGTTGGATGTTCTTCTATTTGTAAGAAACTGAAGTGTCCTGACTGGACTCCGGACCTTCCCTGACAACAGTGGAGTGAATTCTGCAAACAGAGGTGGGAGGGAGCCACACCTGGGTATTCTTTATCAAAAGGCACCTTTGTCAATTATAAGATTTTGAGACCTTAATTGTAGCTTATTTCTTCTGTCCAGAGAGGCAGTGTATTTATTGGACTAGAATATTTATTTTGCTAAAAGACAGCATAGTGTCTCCAACCTCTAGAGCAGTTCTACTCAGACTCTAGAGGGTAGAAGAGGGAAGATGCCCTAAAGAACTGTAATAGGTGTGGGCAGTGGAGGGGGTGAGCCATTGATTCACAAGGAAGTAAGGCAGGGTCTTCTTCTGCAACACTCCACACACAAACCTCCCCCACTGTTCACTCCCACACAGGAGGAGTTAAAAGCAACGGTCAAAGATCAGCCTCTCCTGAAGCTTTTAGGACCTGAACGACTCTCACTTACCACAGACGTGATGGTTATAGGTGCTCTCTTTGGGCTAAGGGAGATTTATCTGGGCTTTCACCATTGGACTCCATCATTTTAAAGAGTACTTCCCAATTGTATCTTTAACTGAACATAGGAAATGCATTTCTTCTTTGAAAAATCTCCCTCACACACACATCTCTATTCTTTGCTGGAAACTGAATAGATAGCTTTTGGGAGCTTGCTGCTCATCACTCCTGTGCAAATCCAGCTCCTCTCCAGACAGCCCCATCCTGTTTGGCGAGGGGACCAGAAGGCAGTGGGTCTTGGCCTCCGGCGGGGCTCTTTTTATGTGGACCTGAAGGTTTTCCGGAGACAGAAAATATGATTCTGAATTAAAACAAGAGTTTGGTGGGTTCCCTCCACGGATTTCTACATCCTTCCCATTCCTCTCTACTCCCTAATCTTGCTAGGTATCTAGAACTGAAGGGCTTTGAGGGGGATTCGCTGCATCTTGATTTTAATTGGGATCGCCAGAAAACAGTAGCAAGGGGAGCAACCCCTCAGATGTTTACAGCTATGACAGGACCCAGCGATGGCCAGCTGGAGGGCAGGAAGGCCCTCGGACCCTCAGCTCCGGAGTGTTTGTGGTCGCAGCGCCCTCTAGTGGCCGCATTTGTCATGAGCACGGTACATGCTTAGTAATGAGAGGAGGGGGCGTGGGGAGCATGCCTGGGTATTTGGGGATTTAAGGTGCGAGAAAAGGCACTGGTGGCATATTACTTCCCCTTTGAAGTAGTGTTTACTCCATGTTAAGGATATTGGGGGTAGGGGTTATTTTCCCTTCGGAATTTAATTTTCCTTTAATTATCCTGTCATCATCTATGCCCCTCTATATTTTTCTCTGTCGGGTAAATGTTACGGAATTGTTTTAGTCTCTAATTTTTTATTCTCCGGTTAAAGAAAAATTGTACCTCCACAACATTTTTTTAAAGTAGCCGTGTGTTACTTTTTCATAGTTTATTTTCTACAGTGCCAAAGTGAGATTTATCCATTTTTTTTTCCTCCCGCTCACGAAAGTCATTTTAGACTTATATCACCATCTAGCGGTCATGTCGTGGAAATTCTTTTCCCAGACTCGAACAAATTCTCAACAAGGAGGGCTGCGGGTCAGTTAGGAAATGCGTATAATTAGAAGGTGGGTAAGAGCCAACCAGGAGACCCTCAAGCCCTCTGGCAAGACTTGCATGGCGAAATTTCAATAATCTTTTTTGAAAAGAAACTGTATCTTTACTGATTTTTTTTTGGTGGGGGGGCCGGGATTTTACTTACTGCCTTTTTTTTTTTTTTTTTTTTTTTGAGACGGAGTCTTGCTCTGTAGCCCAGGCTGGAATGCAGTGGCGTGATCTCGGCTCACTGAAACCTCCACCTGCCGAGTTCAAGCGATTCTCTTGCCTCAGCCTCCCGAGTAGCTGGGATTACAGGCGTGCGCCACCATGCCGAGCTAATTTTTGTACTTTTAGTAGAGACGGGGTTTCACCATGTTGGCCAGGCTGGTCTCGAACTCTTGACTTCGTGATCCACCCGCCTTGGCCTCCCAAAGTGCTGGGATTACAAGAGTGAGCCACCACGTCCGCCCTTTACTTACTTTCTTAATGAAGTAGAGTTTGCTGACAAAAAAGCACTGGGTTTCTGAAATGCTTGAGCCCTTTTCCATACATTGCATGAAACAGCTTCAGAGAGACCACTGGGCTTTGGGGAATGATGGACACACACAGAACACTCATTCTGTTCCTCTCAGACTCATCAGAATGTGATGCTTGATAGGCTGGATCTTTGGAGGCACTGGTTGTAAGGATTTGCAAAGTGGTTCCAGAAGGTGATTATGAGCTACAACTCATCGACTTCATAAAAAGAGTTCTCTCTTATGGGGTGCAGAGAGCTCTCTGCTATTCTGTTCTTGATTGCTATGTAATATGAGCCCATTTAGAAATGCCATGAGGCATTAATGAAGGGCTGTTTGCCCAGAAATCACACCAAGGATCAAAGACCTCACCCCACCCGCACTCGCTCCGCCCAATCCGTACAGTATATTGAAAAAGATTGGGGGCCTGGTGAGGGGCTGGAGGAGGGGGGAGTCTTGGGTCAGCTTGTGGCCACTTTGCAAATACCCGTAGCCACACAGTTGACTGGGTTGCGTAAGCCTCCCTGTCAGTGAAAATTTAGTCATGGGTGAAGTGATTTGAGGGCTAGTTCTATTTGAAGCCGTCATTCTTATTTTTGGTTTGAGTAGTTATACAGTTCTCTTATAATCAAGGAAGGGTTTGAGCTTGGCTCTGGGTCGATTATTAAACAAAATGCAAGTATGCGATGAATTATATGCCATATTTATAGTCATAGAGTCCTTTGCCTTAACGTGCTAGGTAAAACTTCCTCATTGTTTCCTCTGGGAAACAACAATGCTGAAATGCCTCGTGATGTTTCTAAATGGGCTCATATTACATAGCAAACAAGAAGGGAATCACAAAGAGCTCCCTGGACCCCATAAGAGAGAACTCTTTTATAAAGTCGATGAGTCATATCTACAATCACCTTCGGGTACCACTTTAAAAATCCTTCCAACCAGTGCCTCCAAAGGTCCAGCCCATTGTCCATTGCATTCTTCATGAGTCTGAGAGGGCCAGAATGAATGTCCTGTATATATCCAGGATGTCCAAAAGCTTAGTGGTCTCTCTGAAGCTGTTTCACATTCAGGACTACAACTGTGCAAAAAGAAGTGATGAATCTCAGAAACCCAGTGCTTTTTTGTCAGCAAACACTACTTCAATCTTCCTTTAGAATTAATAAGTTAAATGGAGAATCATGAGGACTGGGAAGAGAAATGCCAAGCAGTGCTTTCTTGTATAAAGAACAAACCATTATTCTCTGGTAGGCAATTCCTATGTTTGTCACCAAAAGTAGACCAAAAGATTCTTTAACTATCCTTTACTCAACAAACAAAATTGATGTGGACCCATCTCTCAAGTTTTGGAGTGCAAATCTTTTTGAAAAAGTCAAAATTCCCTTCCCATCTTCAATACATTGATTAATAATGAAGCAGAGTTCTATTCTTCTTCCTCTCTGACCTAAAAGACTTAAGAATCAGACAAAAGTGGATTCAAATCCCAGCTCTCACAATCTACTAGCTGTGGGACCTTGAAGCTCTTGGCCTCATTTTCCTCATCTATAAACTGAGTATAATGATAGAACGCCATGCAGAGAGTTATCATAAAGGTTAAAGTAGACCTTGAATGGATCTCACTTTTATAGTACAGGCTTCCTAAATCTTAGCTATATTTATAATTAAAACTATTATGATGATGGTTTGCCATTTGTTAGCCATTGTGTTATGTGCTTTATAAAAGGAATTGCCATTCATTCATTACCCAATGCTAGACATAGATACTATTCGTATCTTTACTTCATAGATGAAGAAATTGAGTCATAGAACAATCACTGTTATGGTTTGTATTCTTGCTGAGGGTCATCAGCATGGAGCCCGATCCCTCTAGAGATTCAGTGGAGCTGATGATTCTCAGAAAAGGAACAACCTAGATTCTCACTGAAAAGGGCCATTTCCAACTCTGTGTGTCGCTGGGAGGTTGGGTGCCCCAAATTAAGTGGGATGGCAGAATCACATTCTTACCCCTTCAGTGGCTGTTTCTGATCCCAAAGATTGGACCCCAGCACTCAGGGGCCACGAGGTCATGATAGTCCTTACTTTTTTGACTCCTTCACTGTTTCTTTCCATTTTGTGTCTGCAGGCAACTCCCCATCAGATGAGTCTGAGGAGCGGGAAAGAGACCCCAAGGTGCTGACATTCCCAGAATACATCACCAGCTTGTCAGACTCCGGCACCAAGCACATGGCGGCTGGAGTCCGCATGGAGTGCCACAGCAAGGGACGATGCCCCTCGTCCTGCCCCCTGTGTCATGTGACATCCAGCCCTGACACCCCTGCTGAGCCGGTTCTGCTGGAGGTGACCAAAGCAGCCCCCATCTATGAACTAGTGACCAACAACCAGACCCAGAGGGTAAGAGGCCTGGGACTCTTGGCTCTGGGAGGCGTCAACCACAACAGAAGGCTTTCCAAATGGTGTGAGGAAGTGACAGGGTGTGGTTGAGGGCCATGCTAGAATATGGATAGTGAGGCTTTTTGTTTAGCTAATCTGGGCACCTAATTTGTTTAAATTTGCATGCTTGCATATTAATTCAAATCATTGCATCTACAACACCCACGATAATATGATTCAGGAGTCACAACTGAGCACCTGTGTAGGGCTGGAAGAAAGCAAGTAGGGAGGCACAACATTTGCCATCATCAAAATCATTGTTCAGAGAACCCTCGTGCCTTGGGGACAGTTGTGGGGAGGATGCTCAGTTCTGCCTCACTCTGGTTGGCTTGGGAGGTGGGCCAGCTTCCCTCGCTGATCCCTTAGCCTGGCCCAGCTGCAGCTGGACTAGAAGGAGCATATCAGGCACAGGTTGCAAAGGGAAGGATCTGGCAGCCTCAGCCTGGAAGGGGTTGGTTTTCTGCCTATCACTCTGGCTCTAAGAACAAAACGCCACATCCAGGCAAATCTTTTTGCCTTTCTATTATGCTGCTGGGCCATGACATTTCCCAACCACTCCTCCTTTGCCTCTGCCTCTCCCTTTCCAAAGATGCCAGGAGAAAATGGATGGAACCAAAAAGAAGGGCTGGAGAACTGTGTCAGAAGCCATAGCTCAGCCCCTTTCCTAGCTCTCCAACGTCCTCAAGGACATAGAGATTAGAGTGAGTCCAAACACAAAGCAGTAGCAACAGCAACAACAACAAAAGTAAAAACAAGGAGACGCCGGGTGTGGGACTTCTGGAACTATGGCAAAGGCAGCCTTGGGGACAAGGCAGCAGGAGTCGCAGCAGTGAGCTGCTTACCTGCCTGAGAGGTGTGCCCATCCAGGTGGGGTGATAATTGCTTTCTGTTTTCTCCTTAAGGAACACCTGGTGTTTGTTTCATAGGTAATGCCCAGACCAACAGGAGGGATTTTGTAGGTGTGTGTGTTTCTCTCGCCTACCTGCCTCAGCCACAGATATTTCACCGAGTGTTTGAAAATAAGGTTTTTCACAGGAGCAAAAAGATAAATTGTTCTCGTGGCCTACACGTTTGTCTTCAATCTGATAAAGGTGGCTACAGGAAGAGGAGTGGTAGAAAAGAGACCTTCGGAAGGATGGGTCTGAAAGGATAAAGGAAAGGCAGAGGGCTTGGGTCACCATAGAGACCCAGAGCTGCAGTGTCTTTAAGCCAATGCCCAGCCCTCTTCTTCTTCCCTTACCTGCCCCTCTTTGTCTCAAGGCTGCTGCTGCTGATACCCTAAGAGCTCCCGGGCCACTTGCCTGGGAGCAGTGGGATCAGAGAGTTCATGCAAAACCATCCTTGCAACAGGGCGTGCAGAGCTCCAGAATGGAGAAAGCATGCTGGGAGATGAGAGAGTACATCGTGCTTTCTTTGTATGATTGCAAGCAAAATGGGGAAGCTGAAGGAAGTTTGTCTTTGGCAACTCCCTTTCTGGATCCCCTACTTGGCCCTACCCCAGCCCCTTCCCTTTCTCCCTGCACCAGTTTTAAGAGATGGGTTGAGAAATGCTTTCCATCTGGCCATCTTTTGAACTCTTTAATTTCTAAACACAAAGACAAGTGGCCCTAGCTGGAGTTCAGTCACTGTCACATGTTTCTTCCTTAGACATATTTTGTCTTTGCCATCCGCTGTTCTGTTTTTCTTTCTAATTTTGCCCTTTCCTAAAGAATGGAGATGACGAGTGAAGAAGCTAAGAGTAGAGGAGTGCCAAATCATAACATTAGAATATAATTCAATGTGTGTTTTTATTTCTACCTCTGGCATATCATTGGGTCCATTTTCTGACCTTTGTTGGTCTCATTGTCCTCCTGTCGGACTAAATAATCTCTGATGCTATATTTCAGTCTAATCTGTGAATATCATAAAGAAACAAGCAAATAGGTCAAACCATATAATGAACCAGGTATCTCAAACCCAACACATTTGAACTCATCATCTTCCAGCACAAACTCATACTTGTTGTGTGGCCATGCCAGTGAATGGCACTATATTCCACTAAGTTGCCTGAACTGGAGACTAGGGCCACTTCCTAGAATTTCCTCATCATTCCCAACATCCATTTTATCACCAAGAGCCACAAATACCTCTTGAATTCATTCTCTTTTTATGATACCCCCATCACAACGTATTTCCAGCATCCTTTGTGATATCAGGCTACTATCCCATTAAAGTAATCTTCTCACTGGTCTCCCTAACAGACCACCCAGAATTATATATCTAATATGAACTTCAGATAATTTGGCATCAAAGTAATTTAATGGCTCCACAGAATCTATTGAATACAATCTAATGTCCTCAGAACATCATTATAAGGCAGCTCATGATCCAATTTTGTCTTCACTTACTTAGGTTGTTACCACTCTATATCTTATACTCTGCACTCCAATATTTAACTCTTTCTACCCCCCAAACACATTTTTTCTCATGCTTATGGCCCTTCAGACTTCAAACTCTCTGTCCCAAGAATGTTCTTGCCCACATTTCTACCACTGGAAAAGTCCTGCTGTTACTTCAGTTTCAGCTCAAAGATCACCAGCTGCCAAGAGCCCTTCCTTACACTCCTAGGCCAACCCATGTATCCCTTCATGTAATTCCCATTGTGTGTGTATCTACATCTTTTTGTTTTTTTTATTGTTGTTGTTTGTATGTTTTTGTTGTTTGTTTTTGTTTTTCTGGGTTTCTTTTTTGAGACGGAGTTTTGCTCTTGTTGCCCAGGCTGGAGTGCAATGGCATGTTCTTGGCTCACTGCAACCTCCTCTTCCCGGGTTCAAGCGATTCTCCTGCCTCAGCCTCCCGAGTAGCTGGGATTACAGGCATGTGCCACCATGCTCAGCTAATTTTGTATTTTTGGTAGAGATGGGGTTTCTCCATGTTGGTCAGGCTGGTCTCGAACTCCCGACCTCAGGTGATCCGCCAGCCTCGACCTCCGAAAGTGTTGGGATTACAGGCATGAGCCACCGTGCCCGGCTTGTATCTACATCTTTTATAGCATGCATCACCTATTATCGCAGCTGTTGACATAGTTGTTTCCTCCCCTCTAGACTATGAGGATGTTTTTCTTCTCCAGAATCCCAGTGCCTAGCAAGTGGCTGATGCATAGTTCATTTTCTGCTAAATAAATGAATGAATAGATGCATAAATAGATAAATGAATGGATAGATGAATTTAGCTTGAAGTTCAACCACTCTCCTTAGAGACAACAATAACAAAAATTGGAAAATTTTATTTCTTTCCTGGAATAAGAATTAAATCTGATAACAAATGTGGATTCCCTATGCAATGCTGGGTACATTGTAGATACTCAGACAAATGTAATTTCCCTTTCTTTTTCTTTCCAAATGGGCTCCTTCTTAATTCCTCTCTTCTATCCTCATCCAACAGTTTGCAGTTACCTGCAGCCCAGGATTCAGAGAGTAGAAACTCTTTTTTTTTTTAATTTTAATTTTTGTTTTTTTGAGACAGGTCTTGCTCTGTTGCCCAGGCCGGAGTACAGTGGTATGATCTCAGCTCACTGCAACCTCTGCCTACCAGGGTCAGGAGATTCTCCTGCCTCAGCCTCCTGAGTAGCTGGGATTACAGGCGCCCGCCACCATGGCCAGCTTACTTTTTGTAGTTTTAGTAGAGATGAGGTTTTGCCACATTGGCCAGGCTGGTCTCGAACTTCTGAACTCAGGTGATCCTCCTGCCTCGGCCGCTCAAAGTGCTGGGATTACAGGCATGAGCCACCATACCCTGCCCAGAGTAGGAACTCTTATGGAGTGGTGTGAATTGAAGATGGAAAGTGACAGCTTTTGCAAAATGACATTTAGCTTATTTGTCATCACAGGTATTTGTCCTTTCTCTTTTGGATTGAAAATCTGATCATGTTGCTCCACTGTTTTAAATACTGCAATTACTTACCAGCGCTCTTGAAATGTGGCCCCCTGCCTCACCATAACCCACAAGGCTTCTGTGTTTCAGCCCTGTCTCCCTCCCACTTGCTGAGAATGTCTTTTCTCCCTCAGGCTGTCTTTTACAGACAGACCCACCTTTTTTTCCATTGATTTTAGAAGTCAAGTTCCATCCAGGCTGGTCTTGTTGACATTGTTTTTTCAACCTGGAACACTACTTCAACTTTCATGAGTAAATAACTTTTGATCCAGCCCTCAGAGCTCAGATAAAAAGTTGCATCCTCATAGAGGCCTCCGCGTACCCTTCTGTAAGCTTATCTACCCTTCCTTGTCTCTCTTGCCACCATATGCATTCATGGCAGCTCAACCTTTTCCTTTGAGGTTCTAACCACAGGTGTGGTGATTTGGTTATTGTAACTTTGCTAGTTTGTTTGTCATCTGACTTTAAGATTTATGCAGACAGGGGCCACAGGTGTCTTGTGCATCCTCGTATCCTTAATGCTTCACGTAGAAAATGGCCCCTTGCAGGTGCTTAGCAAATAATTGTTGATTGAAGGCTCTGCAAGGCAGTAGTCACAATGTTGCCTTTATTCTACCTATCTCAAAGGACATCTGTTTTCCTAGTTTTAAGCAATGCACCTTTTAATTTTGAGTTTGGATCAGTCAGGCAAAGCATAAAGTGGGCACTTATGCACCAGGCTTCATGCTGGGAGCCTGAGTTGTCCAGTGAGTCATGTTGAACTCAGGTTCTGGCACTGCCCTTTTCACCACCCTATGACCCTGGGCAAGTCACCTCATCTCTTTGACTCTCAGTCTTCTCCACTGTAAATCATGATAACCATTCATCAAAGTGTTAGCATCAAAAAGGGCCTTGTAAATTATAAATCTCTGCACAAATGATAGTTATAATCATTCATTGGTTTCTGTTTCCTAGAGGCTTCCGATCTGGGGAGGGGGCAGGATGGACCCTTAGTCTAACTATTCTAACCTAAGGTGGCCAATGTAAAGTTCTGAAAGAATGGAACATAGGCTGCTGGCTTTAGGTTTAGACATTCTGATTTTTGGAGAGTTATCTCCTGTTTTCCGTTTGTCTCTTTTTCTTTTCTTTTTTCTTTTTTCTTTTGAATTCTTTGGTCTAAAATTTTCAAGGATAGCCAGGTTTCACTTTTCTAATTTACTGATTAGGTGTGAATGTAGTGAGAATGAAACAAAGAGAAGAGAATCATAAGAAACAGCCAAAGCTGCAGATGTTGAGCTCACCCAGAGAGAAAGTCCTGACTTGGCTAGCTTGGACCAGCCATGCTCCCTGCAGCCAGTCCCACCCTCTCCCTCCCCTTGGGATAGGGCTGAGGCAGCAGCGCCCCACTGAAGGGTCAGTACTCCATCAGGATCCACGTCGCCACCAGGGACTGGCCCTATTACGGGTTCTGTTACTTCACTGGTCTAATTTTATTCTTCTGTCCTTTTACTTAATAGTAAATATCTCTATGAACCCTCTGCATGTAAAGAATTCTGCTAGGTTCTGTGATGGTTACAAATTTCTATCTAAGACTCAACCCTGTTATTCAAAGGCAATAATAATTGCTGGCATTTATTCGTGACTAATGTGTTCCAGGTACTATGCATACATTATTTCATTTGGCACATATTATTAGATTTAATTATCACAGCAAGCCTATTAGGAAAGTGCTATTTTTATCCCATTTTATTATTGAGGAAACTGAGCTTATGTAACTTGCCCAAGGTCACATGGCAGTGATTGGCAAAGCAGGAGTTCTCACTCAGGGCTGACAGCTCCAGAGCCCAGCTCTTAGCCTGTGTGCCACATTGCTTCTCCTGTTCATGATTTACTAAGAAAGAAATGCCTAATGCCAAGTCACAACCCAAGGCAGCATTGCAAAAATATTGCAAGCAGGTTAGAAAGCATGCTGAAGGAATGCAAAGGGAATACTGGGGCAGGTAGATAAGGATGCACAGAGAAGCATTTGGGAAAAGGCAAATGCCTCTGGGCAGAGGGAAGAGTAGCCACCCAGAAGATGTGTGGTAGAGGCGTAATTTTTTTTCTAGAGCCTAAGTTGTGGAATGATGGAGTGGTATATGAGACAGATGGAGGGCGGAATATGACTTGCTGCCAAAGTGGCAGCCCATTACCACAAGGAGGAACTGTTACGGTAAAGGGAGATGGACACCCTAGAGGTTCTAAGAGGCTCAGGCTTCCCAGAAACAATCTCCTGGAATCAGAATTTGAGACAATGATAAAGTGGCGACACAACCTGCTGCTGGAAGTAATTTAGGGCCATGCAGATCCTTGACACTCTGCCTCTTGATTCTGATGGCCTAGCCCTGGCTTCTCAACACTCAATCTTTTCCCTGTTCTCTTATGCAGCTCTTGCAGGAGGCTACCATGAGCTCTCTCTGGTGCTCAGGGACTGGAGATGTCATCGAGGACTGGTGTCGATGTGACTCCACTGCTTTTGGAGCTGATGGACTCCCCACCTGTGCGCCTCTCCCACAGCCTGTGTATGGTTCTCTTTCTCTCTTTCAGCATTACTCTGGAAACAGATAATGAGCGTCTACTATTTGCAAAGAAATAGGCTGGGTACTGGGAAACAAAGAAAAATATGACACAATACCTGCCTTTAGAGAGCTTTCAATCTACCAAGGGAGGCAGCACAGATGGTTTTAGTAGAGAAAGGGTGTGACAAGTGTTAACAAGAGGCATTTAAAGAAAGTGTGAAGAGGGAATGGTCAAGTCTGAACTGACGCCATGGTGACGGCTCTGTGGAGGAGGTGGCGCTTGAACTTCTCCTTGAAGGTGGAGAAAGTAGGACAGCATAACTAGAAGACAATGGGGAGAAAAGTGCCATTGTAATGGAAGAAGTTAGAGATCTACACTGAGAGCTTAACTAGACCAAAAACATAACCACTCATTGAACACTTACTGGGTGCCAGGCATTGTATGGAGCAGTTAGATACTGCTCATTTAATAGACAAAAAAAAATGCATTCAAATGGATTGAATGATTTTCCAAAGTGGTAGAGCAGGAAGCAGAATTGGTTAAGAGGCATGTTCTTGGCCATTATAGTACGGAGAGGATAAAATTGAGAGATGATCTGGGGCAGAACCAACAGGGCTTGGTGACTGATTGAAGTAGTGGTGAGGAGAAAGGAGAAGTGGAAAGTGAACTTAAGACTTCTGACCCTGGTGGCTGGGAAGATGAATAGGCCACCAGTGAGCAAAGAAGAATCAAAGGATAGGCAGGTTTGAGGAGGAAGCCAGTTTCATTTGGGCTTGCCTTGGAGCTGTCATGGGGTAGTTGAGTGTGTGGGGATGTTCAGTGTGCAGAAAGAAAGATGGAGCTCTGCAAAAAAGTAAATACTAGAGATGAGATTTCAGTCAACCCCAGAGAAATGGGAGATGAAACCACAGCTATTAGAAAGAGTGCTCCAGAACAATAATCAAGTGGGAAGAGCAGAGGGCTGGGGATGAACAATAGGAGAGTCTGCATTTGAGGGGTGAAGAGGATGAAGTGCTACAAAGGTGTCTGAGAATGGACATGCCCAATTTCCTTCCCCTCAATGGAAGACGAAACAGAACTGGCCAAGCTGAGGGCCAGGACCTGAGACAAGAATCCCTTGTAGCCTCTAATATGGCATCTGCCATGGGACTGAAGCCACAGGAATATTGTATCTAATAAAGACTGCTGGCATGACAAGCTGGAAGAGAGTGACCCCAGGGGCTGGTAAGGCAAAGAAATCCTGAAGTAAAGATCAGGGCCTGCAAAAGTGAAAGGCTGAGTAGGCAGGAGCAACAGACCGCTTAGGAAAGCAGCAATTGAGAGGCTGCCCTCTGGCCTGTTTCATGCAGGTGCGGGTAGGCACTAAAGGGCCAGGACAGAGCAAGAAGAAATCAGAGGAAGGAGGAGAATGCAGCACTAGAGGGTCATTACAAGCCAATTTCTTCTCTTGTCCACAGTCTGTCTTCTCTCTGTAGGTGGTTTTAGATACCTACAGCCTTTGGCTGTAGATACACTAGCCTTTGGCTTCCTGTTCTTCATAGTCATGATTGGACTTCTTGAGTTAAAAGAGAATCAAGCTCATTATTAATAAAAGTTCCTTCATTTAGTATAAAGGGAGCCACTAGGAGAACTGCTGCTGTTACACTAATTCACCAGGTAAGAGAGCTACCTCTGAAACAATACTGAAGCTACCAAATGTTATCAGGTGGACACAAGATCCAGCCATAATGTCCTAGGGCTTATTTTGTTTTTAAACCTGTGTTTACTAAATCTTATTGCAAAAGATTAAATTGGGCTAAATTTTCATAAACAGTAAATGTCTATTAAGGACTTTCCTTTTCTTGACAACTGATCACCTCCTTCAGTAGCAAACCTTAGTTTCAGTGGGAAACGAAAATATACTTTAGTTTTACACAAGTCTGTGTAAATCATATACACTTCTATTTCTCAGAAGAGGCCGGGTTTAGTCCATATTTTCACAGAATTTGTGTTCTCAGAAATCTAACTTATTTAACGTTCCTAATGCTTTTTTTTTCAAAACAGCACTCTGCATATGACTCTAATTAATGAATTTGTCAATATCTGCACAGTTTTGGGTCTATTCCATCTTCAATGTCATATGCAAACTATGCACTCCTTCACTAACAGAAGAGCATGTGTTTTGTATTATTTTCCCACTAGTTGAATTCCTTACTTTTGTGTCCACAGTCTACTATAATTTATTTTTGAAACTCTTATCACATATTATTATAATCACATGTATAATTATATGCTTCTATTGCTCACTAAGCTCCTTTAAAGAAGGGACTGGGATGGGCTTGTGCACCACTGCATCCCCAGTAGCAAATGGATGCTTCACAAATATCTGTTGAATTGAAATTGAAGATTGCAGATGGTTTGGTGTCATTCATTCTTAGTACCTTGCACAGTGATCCTTGAGACGACCGACAGGCACCTGTGAGCCAAGCAGAGAAAAGGAGGGCCAGGAATATGAGTGATCATGATATCTGGGAACCAAGGATGAGATAAATGGCAGGGATACTTGTAAGGGAGGGAGGCTGGAGTGAGCAGGAATGGGGAACATTCCCAGAATCCAGTCATCTTGAAAGAAACACAGAATTGGAAGAAAGAGGGGAAACCTGAGGCACATACAAGAAATCAGAAGGTGGCTGTGAATTGAAACCACGTGGATAATTAAGAGATCCATACCAGTGAATGCCAACAAGGATTATTAAGTTTCTGCGAGGTACAGAGAGGTATGAGCTGGCAAGGCAAGACAGTGGTAAATGTGGACAACTTGTAAAGAATAAGGAGAGTATGAAGTGAGAAAAGCAAGGAAAGGCTGGAATCAGGAACCAGGATATCCATATAAACCCAAGAGCAAAGACAGAAACTGAAATCAGAATCTGGGCAAGCAGGCAGAAGACATCACTCCAAGGAGAACTTGACATGTGGCCAACTTTCTCTTGTCCAGTAAAGCCCCCTATGAATATTACTTCCAAACTGAACCTGTTCCAAGGTCCAGCTAGCAGATGGCCTGGAGAAAAGGATAGGTTAGTTCCCATAGCAAGAAGGGAAGCTGGGGTTTCCCCCACCAGCACGGCAGATCCTGATAAGGTTATGGAAGCCAAACCAACTGTGGCCTTATTAATTTGAGATTCTGGACATCACCTTCAATACGTCTTTATATGAGCAGTATACACACACTCTCTTGATATTTTTCAAGAGAAAATCTAGAAATTATGATATTTTCCAGCCATATAAAATGGTACTACTCCAAAAGCCCTATCCTCTGACCCATGTAATATGCAGACATTCATTAATCTTTGACTCACCTACTGATTTATTTATTTACACTTATTGGCTGAGTTTATAATATGTAACAGGCATTTAATACATAAAACATAGATCTCAAGAGTCCTCAAAAACATTACTATCTTTTGAAAGAGACAGGCCCTCAAAGAGATCATTTTTGTAGTTGGTTGGGAAAGAAAAGCTTACAGTATCACAATTGAGGTAGTCAGTGCCCAAAGTGAGTCACAGTTGTGTCCCTGTTTCATGTTCCTTCCTGTCTGCACACAGGCTGAGACTCTCCACGGTTCACGAGCCCAGCAGCACTCTTGTGGTCCTGGAGTGGGAACACTCAGAGCCACCAATCGGGGTGCAGATTGTAGATTACCTCCTCCGTCAAGAGAAAGTCACTGACAGGATGGACCACTCCAAAGTGGAGACAGGTGAGCACCTTCTACTTCATGGGCTTGTCTTGATCCAAGGTGATAAAACTAAAACAAAGAAAAATGCCCTGCCTCATGGCTTTGCTCCAGGTCCCCAGTATCCCAGGGCAATGCAGGAGGAGCAGGGAGAAGAAGAAGCTGTTCTTCTTCTCCAGGAAGCAGCTGTTCTTCCAAGCAGCAGCCATCTTGTCCATTTAAGAGTTTTTGCCTGGTGAGCATCTGACAAAGCCTTGTTTTGATTTTGTTTTTTGTTTATAAAAGAGGTGTCCATTTCATTGCCTCTAGGCACACTCACAAAGAAACAACAATACAATACACTAGTTATCCTAGCCCACAATTAGGAAACAATTCTCTGCTAACCACTGCCATGATTACAGAAAAAAAATTCCTTTGCTAATAACCCCCTTCCAGGCAAAAGCATGTGCAAACAGATGTGTTTGGCCCATGTCTTTTCCTGAAGCAAACTGCTTTTCTCAGGTCCAGCTAGTAAGAGGGAAGCCTTAACAAAATGGAAACACCCCATGAAAAATGTTCCTTGCCTTAGTATTTCACTACCTGCACACAGTGAAAGGTCAACATTCATAATCCCAAAAACTTATGCATGGGATGTGGTCACCAGCAGGATGATGGCACCAACAATCTAATTCAAAATAAACAGCTACTGGTGAGCCTGCCACTGAGGGTTAGAGACATACGCAGCTGCTGCTTCAGGCATAGAGAGCTGCCTACCGCTTCTTCCAAGGCCCTTTGCCTGATGCGCACAGGTATTGCTGAGGTACGGCAGGGACCACTGACCAGAATGCTATCTCTGTCCATGCCAAGAAAATTTTATAAAGGAGCGCCCAGGCCAGGCGTTGTGCCTCACGCCTGTATTCCCAGCACTTTGGGAGGCCGAGCTGGGCGGATCACGAGGTCAGGATTTCGAGACCATCCTGACCAACATGGTGAAACCCCGGCATGTGCCTGTAATCTCAGCTACTTGGGAGGCTGAGGCAGGGGAATTGCTTGAACCCAGGAGGCGGAGGTTGCAGTGAGACAAGATCGCGCCACTGCACTCTAGCCTGGGTGACAGAGCTAGACTCTGTCTCAAAAAAAAAAAAAAAAAAAGAAGCTCTCAGGTGTGATGTGTATCCCTTGCCCTAGTTGTGTCTGAACTAACTCTAGACAGCTCTGAGTGGTTAAATATGAAATAGAAAAGGCCATTCCTTCTAAGTCTCCTTCTCTACTCTAGAGATTGAGGACCAAATCATTGTCATGTTAAGTTCTCATTGAGTTGACTCCATCTCCTCATTGCTTGGCCGTCATTGTTTCTCATGCTTTTTCCATTCCTTCTCCTCTGGGCAGAAACAGTGCTGAGCTTTGTGGACGACATCATCTCTGGAGCAAAGTCTCCTTGTGCAATGCCATCTCAGGTGCCGGACAAGCAGCTCACCACCATCTCTCTGATCATACGATGCCTGGAACCTGACACCATTTACATGTGAGTAACACACACCTACCTAGTGACTTCTTACCCTGACAGTCCCAAGGCTTCTTACCGGTTTCTTCTTGCTACTTGAGTTCCTTTAGAGACTCAGCAAAACATGTTGAGTCTCTGAAGTCTTATCCCAGGTGGCATTATAGAGAATGTTCTCGAGTACTTAGACACTGGAATGGGGGGATCTAGAAAGATAATACGGTCCTGTCCCTTGAGGAGTTTGCAACATAGAGGGGAAAGATATAAAAAACTAACTTTAACTTAAGGCAGAATTAAATAAATGTAGATAGAAAAGCAAAAAATGAAAAAAAAAATTGTAAAAGAGAAGAAAGAAGTGATTAATTCTAACTAGAGTGGATGTCATCTAAACTGTGTTGTGTAGAATTTCAACCAACAGTCATGTTGGAAAAGGTATACTAGGCTCAGGAAGCTGCAAAGGCAAAGGTGAAGAAGCATGAAGGTGAGTAGCAAGTAGTCTAGTAGGGCAGAGGCAGACGGTGAGTAAAAGGGAAAGGAAGAAAGTGAGACTGGAAAGATAGAATGCTATAAGTCCAAGGAGTCATTTTTGAGGAAAGGCATAGAATACCAAGAACTCTGCTTTAGAAAGCTAGCTAGCTCCAATGGCATTGAAGTAATTTAGAAATGTTAGAAATGGGCAGCACTTTTCTTCAAAGAAATGCAGCGAACTATATCATGGCCATTGGAATGACCCTATTCTTTCTGCGAACTCTTCCCCATTTCTCCCTGTGCTCTGGAAACAATTGTAAAATGTTTGTGACGCAGAGATGTAAAAGATGCCAGAAAAGGAGAGATAATGATAGAATCTAAATCATGATGGAAAAATTTGGGTGCTAAGGCAGAATTCATAGTGATGTCGTTGTAGGACTTCGTGACCCCATCAGTATGAAAAACATTTAACAGTTTGCAGAGGAGATCACGAGAATAGAGTCAAGGTTTCCAGAATAAATCATGTCTATTTCCACAGTTAAAGAGTTCAGAGATGAAAAGCACTAGAAATTTGAGTGGCATTGATTGCAAGATGAACTTCAGTGCTCAGGCTGAATGTCTTCAATATAGGAAAAAGGGATGTTGCTATGGGCTATGCATGATGAAAGTAAAGTACATAAACACAAGTGACATTCTAGAGGATTTCGACAGTATATATAGACACAGATGAGAATACTAAGACCATGTTGGTCCACTTTTTGGGTGATTCCACCAATGCCATGATTCTCGTTGGCTCTTTTGATAGGGGGCAGTTGTGGCCCTTTATTGGAGGGGAGCAGGTGAAAGGAACAAGGATTTGGGAGTGCAGACCACCTAACCTGCTGTAAGGCATCTCAAACTCAGTGAAACTTGAACTATCATTTATAGTAAAGGCTCAGTAGTCCTTCAGTTGTGACTAAATCACACTGTTACTTAGGAATTCCAAAGTTCCAATGTACAAGAAGTGGTATTAGGAGTGCAGCCATTACCCACACTGCGACCCTCCTCATGTTGGCCTGATTGGCTGCGTTTCTGATCAGAGACCGAGGCCAATACCGTCTCTCACTCCAGCTGTCTTTGCTGATCTCCCATTATGTCCCTCCTACATCTTATAAAATGCGAACTGTGAATGCTGTTTATTGAGAAGTTGGAGCCAATGCAGGGGGCTAAGGAAGAAACAGCAAATCTCCACCAGGTGGCGCTGCAGATCACAAGAAGAGGGCCGTGTGGGAGGCCAGGAGTGACATTCCTCTCCCGGAAGGATCCAGGAGAGCTGCGCTTCAGCCCTTGGGATAGGGACAGAGCCCTAGATTAAGAGTTAAGAATACATGGGCTGCAAGCCTGGTTTTTTGTTCCTAACCACTAAATGGCTGTAAGCAAGACACTGAAACTTTCTCCAACTAAGTTTTCTTTCTATAAACTGGGAGGAGGGCGGCCTTCATTAATGGAGTGCTGACTCTGAGAATCCCCTCTGACTCTGTGAGATTAGGGGTATTGTTTCCATTTTTTAATTGAGGAAACAGGTGCAAGAAAACGGAGTAACCGCCCCAGAATCACACAGCTAGTTGCTTCGGGTATGCAAGCCTTGCATCTTAACTCCCTGCTGCTCTAGGTTACTGTGAGAATCTCAGAGCATGACCTCATTACCTCATATTAAAGCAGAGCGCTGGCTCTGCACCTGGGATCCACAGAGGTGGAACAGCATTTCTGCTTAGCTGGCTTCCTTTGTCACTTTTTATATTTTATTTAATGCTTTTTAAAACATTATTCTGAGAAGGATCCATGGCCCAAAAACAGCGAAGAACTCCTACTTGAAAGAGACCTTAAAGTATGTCTGGTCCAGCATTCTTCATTTTACAGATGAAGAAACTGAGGCCAGGGTAGGGAGGTGACTCACAGGCCTTTCAACCTACTGCCCCATCATCACAATGCATGCTCACAGGAGAGCTGCTCTCTTTCCGGACGTGTGACAGCAGACAGATAATTCAGAAAAAAGGGAGGCAGATCAGAGGGATGGGCAGAAACCACCATGACTGGAGAAGGAAAGTGGGAAAGTATCAGACAAGAGAGCCAGTCCTTAGCAGGGGGCTTACGAGTCCTCCACTCACATCAAGTTTCAGGCCTTTAAGACCCACCTTTGGAAGCAGAGCTGTTCTGTGTCGGTGCGCACTCACACAGGCCTCCGTTGGGGTCATCACCAAGTCTCTAGCTGTGGGCTGAACAATCCCAGCCAGGCAGCAGTGGAAGAAGCCCAGGAGTTTTGGACAAAGCAGTAAATATACTAACACATGAGCCTTCCCACTGGGAGCAGGGCTTATCTCTTCTGCCCAGTAATCCCATCTAACCCTCTGAGGGTGCTGAGTGTTCAGTGGTAGAAACGATAACGCTAACGGTAAGCCGAGGCCTTTCTGAGATGACCGCACATGGCATTTCCACATGAAATGTGTAAAGTGCTCCCCCGGCCATGATGATGAAATAAACTGACTGCTCTTTCAGTGGGCCCTCCAAAACTGAGGGATTTGGGACTACTGAGGAATGGCCCTTAGGTCAAGCCTGGACCCTCCTCAGAAGGTTAAGTGAAGTATCTCCTTTTCTAATACCTGCTTCATGTTAAAAATAAAATACACTACTAAAAGTGGAAAGAGCTGGAGAACTTAAATTTTGCACTGATTGCCCCATTGGGGTAATGTGAGAATTAATGTGAGGACAGGTATTTTCATCCTAGGTCAGCATCCAATACAGTTTAGCTGGAACTTACAGCAAGGCAGGCCACAGGGCAGAGCTTGGGCCAGCTTGGGGGCGGGGGGAGAGGTGGGGATTGACTGAGAGAGAAGGGGTCCATCTGACAACGAAGTAGGATGTTTCTCATTATAGTCCAAGGACACTTAGAAATTAAGGGTCCAGGGTTAAGGAATGGTGGGCTACAAAAGGTGGCTGGAATGCAGCCATAGACGGTCTAGGGCAGGTGACATTTTAACATATTGCAGGCAGCATCATGTGGCCCAGAGCTGCACATAGCCAGACTGCAGCCCTGACCTGAGTTCCAACACCATGCTCAGGGCTCTGGTAGTCAGGCAGGAACAGGCAGAGCAGGGCCAGAATGACAGGGGATGGGGCACTGGGCAGGCAGGACCTCAGCAATGGAAACCAGAACAGGGGCCTAGACTTACGGACTCAGACACACAGTCAGGGGTGCAGGCCCTGTAGGAAGAGGGAGAGCGAACTGCGAGGACCAGAGGACCGGGTCAGGCCCATGCCCCAGCCCTGTGACCATGCTGGCCTGAGAGCATCAGCCTGGGAGAGAACAGGACTTCCTATCTCCTGACACTGATGAGAACTGATAGCCAGAACTGGGCTTAGGGCACAGTCTGCAACAAGGATAAAGCCACTCCACCTCTGGGCAGAGGACGGACTTCCTACGCACAAGAGCCCTGGTGTCAGGACCTCTGTGGGAGAAGGGGGCTCACTCGGGCCCCTAGAGGGCAGTGCTACCGAGGTTTGTATGACATTGTTAATCCTGGGGCTTTCTCACTTGCTACTTTATGGAGGAAACACGGGTATGAGGGGGAACTTCGCCTTGTGGGAGTCCCAGACTACTAGGTACAAGTCTGAAATCTGCAGAGTGGTACCTTTGGGCGCCTTCTTGAAAGGGAAGGTCAAGATGGTCTAGAGCAGGTGGGCAGAGGAGGGAGTTGGTGCTGACCTGGGACTGGATTGTGGGATTGAACCAGGAACAGAGCTAGTTCTACACGGGGCTGGTCAGATACACCAGCTGCTGGGTTTGGTGGCCACATTCACAATTCTAGAAACAGTACCAGAAGCTGATGAAACATCAGCATATGGCATGTGGGGCCAAATGATGCAAAATTTCATGACTGCCACTGCTAGGGGTCCAGCCAGCCTAGCATTGCCACCGAGAAGCTGTAGGGGCTCCCCTCTGAGCTTAGAGGAGAGGAATGGCAAGGAGACAAGGGTGAGAAGACCTTGAGTTTGGAATCAGGGTCAGGCTGGGGTTGAGTACAAGGTAAGACCATTTATAAGAACTCAGGAACAGGGGATGAGGCAGAGGCCAGTGAAGTGGATTGAGCCACCGTGTTGTAGACAGGAGTGAAGGGCTGCACACTTGGTCCTGGTCTGACAGCAAGGAGGGGCAGGAGTCCTGCAGGAGGCCAGCAGGTGTGGCCCAACCTGCTGTGTCCTGAATCTAGGCAGATCGTCACATTCTGAGTCCCAGCAGACCAGTGTTCAGGTGGTATGGGGGCTGCCTGTGTGAGGCCCCCGTAATTCAGCATGATAATTTGGAGAAGGTAGAGGGAAGGCAAATGGCGTATTGGGGCACACAGGCTCTCACACTGACCATTCTGTGGATGTCTTTGTGGGGAGGGAGTGGTGGGCCATGGTTGTCTTTTCTCTGTTGAGAGAAATGCATATTTCTTGCCAGAATCATTAAGCAATTATCTATATCTTTTCTACTTCACCAGCACGTCTGTTCCATGCCAAGCTGACATTTAACTGGACCACTGTGTCTTGGGGCCTCTCTCTCCTTTTCACCTCTCTCCCTCCCTGTAACTGTGCCAAAAGAAAACAAAATAATTGCCAATAAATGCAGCCTCCTGTGGTGACACAGCAGAAAGTAAAGTGACAAGAAAGGCGACATTAATGATTTTCTTTAGACCGACTGGGTTGGTTATCAGAGGCCCTTGGCACAGACACCAGAGCTGATTGCCATGGTTGTGTTCAGATTCCCTTTTCAGTGGCAGAACCTAGAATTCCTCTTCTTCCTCTCCATCTAGCTCCATCACCCAAGGGGAAATTTTACTTTCAGCCTTTAATAGCCAGGTTTTCATTTTCTTCTAGGAAGGGGCTCCTTAGAATCATGTCTTCACATTGTCATGGAGACTGCGATGTTTCCACTCTGGATTCCTGGTCCACAGTGGGCAGTATCTCAGAGGAACAGAGTGAGCTGTATGTGGGGAATGAAGAGTCTAGCCACAGGCAAGCCAAGAGACTCTCCACTAGGGCTGTTTTGCATCTCACTTTAAAGAGGGAAGCTGTCCCCGGTCCTTTGCATAGAGGTGTTGACTGCACATGGGAAGGAACTGAAGAGAACTAGTGTGATATATGCAATGTCATGAACCATATTATCTTTCAGGTATTTCTGTACATTGTTGTCTCATTTCGTTCTCACAGTGGCTTACAAGTAGTCTTATTATCATCTCCATTTCACAGGCATTCACTATAACTATGTGGCTTCAGACCCAAGTTCTGACTGTCTGTTTCCAAAGATATAAACTCTTCCCCTGAGTGGTTGTCAAAGTTTAACAGGCACCAGAGTCACCTGGAACACCCGGGAAAGCACAGAGGTCTGGTTCCCATCCCTAGAGTTTCTAATTCAGTGGGTCTGGGCTAGGGTCTGCTGCTCCCAGGTTCCCAGGTAATGCTGGTCCTGCTGGTCTGGGGGCCCGACTTTGAGAACCGGTGCCTGATGCCAGATGCTTTCTGCCAAAAAATATACCCAAGACAGCAAATTACAACCCAAGACCCACTAGGAAGCAGTGAGAGGCTCTAGGCTTCATCTTTCTGCCTGGGATGGTGGCAGTAAACGTGACCCAGGATGACGAGAGTATCTGGGTCCATAGCCACCCATTCAGGCAGAGCTGGGCCATGAGCTAGGGCCACAGAGATCTAGCCTCCAGCCACACTGTTTCTGCTAACCATGCCCTCCCACTCCCTGCCAGGTTCACGCTGTGGGGAGTGGACAACACAGGACGGCGCTCCAGGCCAAGCGACGTGATCGTGAAGACCCCATGCCCCGTGGTGGATGATGTCAAGGCTCAAGGTAAGAGACATCGAAGTTAGCAGTGTTTCTGAAGGGATGCCCCAGGTACCCACCACTTGCTATGAGGACAGAAGGACCAAGAGAGTTGAATAGAACAACCTGGAGTTCAGCAGGGAAGGAGAATTCAAGGCCCAGTACAGGAGCGTTGCCTTTCCAGAAATAATACTCAGCCGCTGGCAAAAGTCCTCATCGTATTGCATTACTCCACACAGTCATTAAGTCAGGGAGCCCATAGGAGACACTGATGAAGCCCCCTAGCATACACGATTGTATGCCAGGTGCTGACGTATGTAGTGAAGTACCTGTGATCTCTGCCCTCAGGATACTGATAGGGTCACTCACTCTGTCTATAGGTTTTTGTACATCTGAAAGATTATTTTGAATTAACATATACAGCAAGGCTGCAGATTTGCAGTTAATTGCTAAATCCTCCCATCCCTGGCAAAAATACATCAAAATTTTTAATTGTATATTTTGAAGTTGTGGGCCAGTTCTTTGATAAATAGCTGGCTGTCTTTAGTACAAACTCCCCTGCAGGATCAGTCCCTGTTAATTAAGAAAAACTTGACTTCAGTCAACATCCATTGCACAAAGCTTACCTTTTCCTCATGACAATACCGGGCTGGTCTTGACATCATCCCCTGTTCTAAGGTTTTTACACCCTATTTATAACCAGAATTTTAATCATCCTGGTCACCACTTCTTCAGGGCTCCAGCACTAATTTAAGTAATCTTATCAACCACTAATGTGGTAGTATTGAACGGATAGCATTTGCATATTAACAAAGACATTGATGCTGAAAGTTTTAGGTTGTGCAAGTTTCAGTAAGAGAAATATTGTGTCCAGTCTGATTTGCTGACATCCCTTAAATCATCTTATATATGGCTCCTGACTCCAGGTGTATTAGATTGACAGGAGGGACATAATCCCAGAATGTCCAAGGGGTGACACTGTGATGATGCAAAATCACAGGGGAAAGAGTGACCTAGATTCCCATTAATTAAAACCACTAATATTGTAGCACTATGCAACATCTGAAAAGATTTTCATCTTTAATCTGCAGAGCATGTTAAAGGTAGGGTTATTTCCAACACAGACACCTGATCATATCAAGGGCCCTTCTTAAAACTCTTTCATGTATTGCCATTCCTCTTGTGACAAAAATATTAAACAGGTAAATTAGGACCTAAATGGAGTGGCCCCAGCCCACTTCTCCAGCACTTCGGCCCCCTCCCTTAGCCAATTTCTGCATTCCAGCCTCACTGCCTTCCTCAGTTCTTCCAAAACCGTTTTCATTCTACCATGAGGCCTTTGCACACATTGGTCCCATTACCTAGAATTCTCTTACCCTGTCAACTGATGAACACCTCTTATTCTGCAAATCTCAGATCAAGTGTTCCTTCCTCAGGGCAGAAAGGGCCAGGAGCCATAATAAGGTATCCTCACAGTACCATGTTTTATTCTTCAGAACATTCATCATATTTATTATTATAATGATATGTTCAATGCCTTTCTACCTCACTAGACAGTGAGCTCCATGAGAGCAGGATCCCAGTCTGTTTTTGTCCACTGTTAGGTCACTAACACCTGGGAGGCAGCATGGTTGACCAACTCATTGCAGAGAACCTGGAATCAACATCCCAAATTCAAATGCCTGCCTCCCATCTAACTGCTTGATCTTCAACAGGTTACTTCACCCCGTGCCTCAGTTTACTTATTGGTAAACTGGGGATGAGGGAGATAGTACCCTAGCTAATGAAGTTCTAGTGAAAATTGAATGACTTAATTAATTTAAAATAGAAAAAAACCACCCAGTGCCTGGCATATAATAATATTCAGTAAAAGTTAGCTGCCATTATTATCAGTAACCAACCATAGAGCTTGCTGTCTACTAGGAAGTCAATAAGTATTTACTGAAGGAATGGCACAATACCCCCATGTTATAGATGCAGCAATTGAGATTCAGAGTGGAGTAAGTAAAGTGATAAAGATCACAAAGCATCTGGCAGAACCAGCACTCACACTTGTTATTTTACCCAATTCCCATTTTGTCCATGTTACCAAAAAATGGTTAGAGAATTATTATGTCAAAGACTGAAGCCCTTCCCCCTTGTCTTTAAATACTGGTGAAGAAGAAAAGGCTCACATTTTAAAAGACTGTTCAAGTTACATACCGAAACTCTCCCTTTTTAGACCCTCTGGAGTGAGTGCTGCTGGCTTATAGGGTATAGACTGAATGACTTTCGAAGGTCTCTGCAATTCCCTGATGAGGAAAACTGGCATTGAAAACTCCCAGATGAGAGACTGTCTGCAGAGGACCCATGACACCCTTATTTCATTGTCTGCTGATTTCTTCCTCTAAGCCAGAGAGAGGCAGGTAGCGAGAAGGTGCCTCTGCTATTCCTGTGTTGGAGCATTTGCTGGTGTCCTTGCAGGTAGTACAGCCTGCAGTGAGTAGTGGGAAATCAGGGAGTAGGCAGCAGGTGGTGGGACATCAGGGAGGTGATTAGCAGGTGGAGGGGATGCAGCATGATGCTACCTACAGGGATGGATAGGTAGAAAGTAATTCTAGAATAAAGAGTGGCCCATATAGGGAAGTTTGCTGGGAGCAGACAACTACACAGTTTTCCATGCGGGGCTCCTTCGGGTCAACCCAAGCCCTCCAGAGTACATCAAGATGTGCTCTGCCTGCTTGTGCTTCTTAATAAAGGGAGTTTCTGAAATCCCAGCAGACGAGCTGGGAGCAGAAGAGCCAATTTAGTGTTGAGACAGTGAAATAACACTCCCAGGGCCTGTTATCCTTCAGCCAGGAAGGTGTCCTGTGCAGGTAAATCCAGAATTAATGACTTAGACTAATTGAGGGTATCCTTGCTAATTAATACAGTTCTAGCAGTTCTACCAAAATACCATATGCTTTGTCTTCCTCACACCCAGATGGTGATCATAAATATGATCTCGCAGCACTCAGGTCTGAGTTTAAATCCAATAACAAATGGGAATTACCTTTTAAGTGACCTGGAGCATGACTTCAGCTCCTCATTATCTACCTAAAAGCCAGACTTCATCCCTTATGTGAAGATTTATCCTAAACTAGATACTTTCTCTGAGGAATTTTCCTGCATCATGACACTAAAGCCACTGTGGAAATAAGTTTCTACCGATGTTTTGCTGAAACCAGCCTTCCCCCAGTAGGTTCAAGCTCATGTGAGTAATGAGATCAACCCTCTTGGCTAGACTCTAGGTCAGGCCATGGCCTTCCGAGAGTTCTTCATGAAGCTTCATCCAGGGAAGGCTAGTTCTCATCCACCCCTCCCTGATGCCTGTTCTGTCTTCCTGATGCAGACATAAATGTTTATCCATCCCTTTATTTGCTCTTTCCACAGCCATTTATCGAACCCTGCTATTAGATGCTACACACAAAAGCAATTAGAATCAAAATCTGTTTTCAAGAATTTTATAATCCTATTTCATGAATTCATTATGTCATTCAATACACATTAAGCCCTTACTAAATACCTGTTCTAGGCAGTAGGAGCCAAACCTCCTGTCTCATGGAGCTTATATCTTAGTAAGGATGACCAACAACAGCAAAACAGTAATGTGTATAATATTTCAGATGGCGATACGTGTTATGGAGATACATAAGGAGGGCTGTGGGATAGGAGGTGCAGAGGGTAGAATTTTAACTGGAGTGGCTTGGGAAGAAGGTGAGGGAGAAAGTCGTGCAGAAATCTAGGGGAAGATCGTTCCAGATCAGGGAGCAGCGGTACAGAGATTCTTGGCTCATGTTTGAAGAAGAGGAAGGAGGAACAGTGGGAGGGAGAAGAGCAGGAGAGGAGCTCCAAGAGTGTGGGGAAGATTCCACAGGGCCTGGTCATCAAAATAGGGCACTGTACTCTGCCTGGGATTGGAATGGGAAGCCCTGGAGGACTGTGAGCAAGGGGCTGACATGATGGACTGTGAAGTGGCCCCTGCCTGCTCTCATGCTCTACATCCAACCCATTGGCAAATCCTTTCGGTTCTCCTTTTCATTATTGGAGAATAGATTTCACAGAAATATAGAGGCTGTGAAAGGAGGAACTTCATCTTGTTTTATTTTTCCCCACTTTTGAACACACTATATTTTACTTATTTACTATGTTTATTGCTTACCTGACCTGACTGTCTCCTACCACCAGACTGTAAGTGCCATAAGGGTGAGGATTTTTGTCCAACGTAGTGCACGTACATAGAAAACTGTCAGGCACATAGTAAGCACTCGAAAACAATTTTAGTTGATAAATCAATAAATACAAGCTTACTATGTCCAAACATTGTGCTTTTTTTTAAAAAAAAAAAAAAGGTTTGACATTTAATATAGCTTTTATTCTCACAAGAATCTTGGAGGGTATGTATTATTAACCATCATTGAACAGACATGGAAACTAACACCCAGAGAGGTTAAGTAACTTGTCCCAGGCCACACAGCTGGTGTGGCCCAACTCCATTTGATGCCATGGTGTCTGGGTCTGAGAGCCTCAGTCTCAGCCAATTTACCCGGCTGCCTGAGAGATCTCAGTTCTTTTCTAATCATGTTTTTTATGATGAGGCTGTGTAGACAGGCTCTTTGCCATATTTTCACCTGCATCTTATCTATTTCTGAACATCATGAATGTTAAAGAGAGAGAAGACAGGTATCTGTCTTGAATAACTCAAGGTTTCTGTGAACCTGCAATTGAGTAAAATTATAACTAAAAATACCTATACTATTTTCCATTGTTTAAGTTAGTGAATTCTTGAGATGCTATGAAGACTAACAAAATAAATTCTCTCAATTCTTTCTGTGGAAATAGGAGGAGCCAGAAATATTCATGCTCTAGGAGCCTGGAGCATAGATCTTTCTGAAGACAGCGTCTGACTTACTGATGTGGGCTCTTAAGCACACCCAAGAGCTAGAATATCGTGGTTTTAGGAGATTGGTGGTGGAAACTGGTCTCATCCCACGTGCTGCAAAAGCTGGGAGCCCTTAGTCTTCCCTAGCTGGATATGACTACTATGTTATGAGAATGATAGGCACCTCCTCAGCCATCACTGCTCCTCCGCAAAGACTACCACAACCAGGGCCTGGCGTGTGGACTGTTCTTTCTTATCACAAGAAGTAGGCACAGATTGGCACCAGTGCAGGGGTGGGAGAGGAAGTCCAGATCTGCCTATCTCAGCTCTGGTCTTATCACCAGCATTTTTCCTCCCCCGGTCATTCTTCTCTCAGCAAGCGCTCCTTGCTTCCCATGGAATACAACACAGCTCTTAGAAGAGTCCCTTGGCCTCTTCTTGTCTCAACTTCAGAAATGACAGACCCCCTGCACAGCTACTAGGATTCCCTCTTTCTTGGCATCTGGGGCCCAATCAGTGCAATGCTCATGACTAGAGAGAGTCATCCCAGATTTTCCATCCCATGACTCTGCCTCCTGTACCTTAAATTGATTATACATCATCTATTCCCACACATCAGTACACAATAGCAACGGCAGATAGTCATAGTTTTCAGTTTTGACTCCATCTCACCCTGGCAGTGTGACCTTGGGCAGGTAGGTAACTTGGCCTTTTCCCAAATCTTCTCATTTATAAAACAGGCACATTCGTATTCATCTTTCAGTGGTAGTGTAAGGATTGGGAATCACATGTGCAAAGTTCTTGGCAATCATAGGCCTTTGATAAACAACTGGAGATACCATAGATATTTATTTTCTAAATCACTATCTTCTTTATTTCTTAATTCCATTTTTAACAATATGAGAATTTTAACAACCTGAAAATCTAAGTGGACTTCTATACTAAAGTTATTTGCAATGCAGCTAAATATGCTGGCTGCAAGTTTGGTTGCTACAGGATTGGTGTCACCTGGTATCAAGAGATATCAGTGAGAAACTCTTCCCCAAAGTAAATTTAAATTGTTTCCAAAGGTTTAAGTTCTATTCATTCAGGTAACATTTTTGGATCTACTAGATTGTCTGGCCTTGTGCTAGCCACTCAGGATAGTAAGGGCATACAATCTGGCTCCTGTCCTCATAGGCAACAGGTAAGACAAAAAAGTAAAGAAATAATTGCAGTGTCTGGGCAGGATAGAGGTAGAAACTTTATTCATTCCAACTCTGGAAACTGCTACAGGGATGACTTTGTCATGACCAGCAGTGCTGAAGTCACTTGGAAGTTTGACCAGGAATCAAGCTACCATGGCTGCGAGCTAACAGATGGTCACACTGGCCAAGTTGTGGCTTAGGAACCTGTGGACTTCATTTCTTCATGCCCAGAATTAACACTGCATCCAAGACAAAACGTTGCTCTCCAGATCTTAGTTTCCAAGCTGTTTAGAGAGAAAAATGTAAATACATCTCCTTTTGGACAAATTAAAAGAGAAAATATTTAATGATGAACTACTTTGAGCTCTGTAAGAAAAAAATGCCAAGTCTATACAAAATCATTTCCACTTTGCCACATCACCAACTTCAGACTTAGTAATTTATGCCTTTGAGGAAGAAATATCAGAGACATAAATTAAATGGAAAGATTACTCATTTACACTAGATTCCATTTCTGGGTCTCCACAGATCTGCCTTTGCACCTGGTCTAGGTGGTCCTAACAAGGGTTCTGCTTTCCCACAGTCTTGAGGCCACTCCAGACTCTTCACATCACTCGCAAGCACTGCCTGACAGTGCCTCACTTCATCTCTGAGCCGAATGCGCACCACCCACTGCCAGGGCTGCCCTGCTACTTTGGCAGGAACCCTGGTATTCAAGCACATGCCACCTAGAAGTGCAGGGTTGTTAATGCCCCATGGGAACACACTCAGACCAATCATGGATGGAAGCTGGAGATAAATTCTTTCCTTCTACCCCTGAATGACCCAGTGGCGATCCAGCAGTTCATACATCCTCTCCTGCAAAATGTAGCAGTCAGCTCATCAGGAAGGCATGGCCAGCTCCTTCATGCTCTCCCTTATATTTACTTTCTCTTCTTTCTTGCTTCATTTCCCTTTATCTTCGCTCCTGCTTCTCTGGGATTGCACTTTCCAAAAAAGTGTTAATATATGAGCTTTTTCCTCAAGCTAGGTCTTTTTAGAAAACCTGAGTAAAAGAAAGAATATTGTAACTGAAACAGACCTTAGAGAGAGTCTAGTCAAAGCCTTTTATTTTATAGAATAGAAAACTTAAGCCTGGTGGGGCAGACACAAAGTGAATTACTCAAATCACTTTCTTCAGGCCTTGGGTTCAATGCTCTTTCTGTAACAGCATACTCACACACACATAAGTAAACATGCATATATGTATATACATACACATTGACATACGCACATATATGTGTATGTATATACTATATGATATATATGCATATTATATATACATTATAAATGATCTACATATGTTTATATGTGATATGTCTATATGATATAGATCATATATAATGTGTGTATATATATACATTATTATATATATGTAAATAACTTATTTTCCTTTTCCTCCTTCCTCAGAAATAGCAGACAAGATCTACAATCTCTTCAATGGCTACACTAGTGGGAAGGAGCAGCAGACCGCCTACAACACCCTCCTGGATCTGGGTTCCCCCACCTTACACCGGGTCCTCTACCACTATAACCAGCACTATGAGAGTTTTGGGGAATTCACCTGGCGATGTGAGGATGAGTTAGGTCCCAGGTAATCAATAAACTAAGTCAACCCTTTTAAAGACTTCTTGAAATTTTGTACCTCTTGTGCCGTAATACTGCATCCATGAAGTTGTAGAGATTTCCTGGATGAGCTTAGGCAATCAGAGAAGTCAGTCCTCTGATTTAAGACAGTTCAGTCCATGCAGATTAGTTTTGGATAAGCTCTATTTAAGCAGTCCAGCCATGAATGCTTTTCCTGAACTCTGAAAAAAAATTTTGCTCTTGACCTATTTTGCCCTCCTTTTTTATCATGTTGACATTGCATTCCAAACCCTAAAACTCAAAGAGTCAAAAGCATGGTCTTGTGAAAGGAAATTTGGAATTTTATTAAAGAGGATATCTAAAAATTTTTTTTGCATTTAGGTTTTTCATATGTTACATCCATTGTAAATACTTATTTTGAATTAAATTCCACATCTCTTGAAATGCAACATGAGAGTAGCCAAAGACCCATCTTGACATCAATCTTGGCCGGAGCTAGGGTCGCATAGTGTGTGCTAACTTCTCTTGGCCCCAGGGGCCATGACTGCCTAATACCCACACCCACTGCTTTTAGGTTGCACAGACAGATTAGAGTGCTTGGAAAGTAAGAAATGAGAAGAATCTGCAGATGTATCACTTTTCTTTTGTTCTGTTAATCATAACTGTATATTGCTGCTTTGAGAAAACAGACTTCCCTGGAAAGACTGAAATTTTTGGATAGATATGATAAAAAGGATTTTCATATGGAATGTTGGTACCTATATGTCCCCAAATTATTTAGGTGCTCATGAAGAAAAAATAAAAATAGGGGAAGAGCTGTGAGAATAGAAAAAAGAATGAATGAGAAAGAAAATGAAGAAGGAAGGAAAAAATTTAAAAGGAAGGAAGGAAAGAAGGAAGCAAACAAGGAAGGAAGGAAGGAAGGAAGGAAATGAAGAAAATCAACACTATAGAATCCTCTGTCCCTTAAAGAATTCTTTCACTCCAGCCAACAGGGCAGAATGAAAGTACCATACAAAAGTCATCCCATCCATCTGACCTCTGACTAAACTGGAGAGAGAATCATCCTCATTTGGCCTGCTGTGACTTGCAGTTATAAACTTTCCCAGAAGACCATCATTGAGGACATTCTATTTTCTTACTTTTGAAGGAAAGAGGAAAATTAGGTTTATCTCCTGAAATAAAATGATTTTATGTGTAAGATCTGGCAGGGTTTTTCTACAATCCATAAATAATTTCCTGTTTATAAAGGGTGATAGTTCTTGGACAAAGAGAGCCACCACTACAGACCAGAGAGAAAAATGTAAGGGATTTTTAATTTGTTTTGTCTCAGTTTTGATAAGAGACAAACCCAGAGTTAGAAAGTAGATACATGTTAAGAAATATTGTCTTCACTTCATACTCTATCTTTATCTTTACCTTATTCTTACTCATTCCTAATATCAACTCCATTCTCTAACTGTCCTCTCCTCTCCACTCCCTTCTACCTCCCTCTCCACCCCCTCCTTTCCTCTCTGCTCCCCTCTCCCCTCTTCTTCTCCCTTCCCTTCTCTCTTCTGACATTTATTGAGTGTATATATACCGTTCTTTTTCAGGGAACATAAATGTCACAATTTGAAAGGCACTAACATTGCATATATCATCTTGATTTCTAAGGGCATTTGGAGTGCTTTTAAAATTTCTCTTTTGTGACTCAAGAGTCAGAAAGAAAATTGGTTAATGAAGAAAGTGAGCAGGGGAAGAAATGTAGATCTTGTTGTAAAGTAAGGCCACCGCTGACTGCACACTCTCCTCCCAGGAGGTTCCTTCATGTGTAATACTAGTCTTTCATGGCTATATATTAGAAAACATTGTGTAGTTTCATTAGTCTGCAGGAAATAAAATTTGGCTGTTTAGTGTCATGGATCTCAGAGAGAACCACAGGAAAGGAAAAATCCTCTGTGTTGAAATACATCAACCCACTTTGGGGTTAATTGTGAAGATGAGTAGAAAAGGGTCTATGGCTACTTACTTCCTCTGAGCAAACAGAGGATTCCCTCAGTTCACCACAACCCAATTTCATTAAAACTTGATGACGCCTCCAGATTGAGCTGAGGGTTGAAAATAGTTTGAGAAAAACATTGGTTGCACCACTAATTAGAAAGGAAGTCACAGGCTCCAAAATTAATTTGGCAATCCCAAATTAATTATTATTATTTAAAGTGAGCACTGAAAGCAGCAACGAAGGCTGTGTGGACTAATTTAATTCATTCTTTTGGAAGGATGATGTAAGTTCTTTGTTCATTTCTTGAAGATGATGCTGATGTTGTCCCTCCCTCTTCTGCCACTCCCTCTTTCTTCACCTCCCATGAACTTGTCAACAACTAATGGCATACAGTAGGACAGACTGAGAGGAAGGGACACCAGAGTTCTTGTTGATGACAACTTTTGGAAAACCTGCTTGGCCAAACTGCAGAGGCTCTTAGGGAAAGTACAGATCATCTGCCCCAGATGATTTAGTCAGCAGGCAGAGTGTTTGATTTCTTCTGACCCACCATTGAAGTTGGAGAAAATATGACTATCCCTCCCATGACCTCACTTTACTCTTAGCCCTTGACTTTGCTGCTGAAGCTCAAATCCTTCCTCCAGTGGCAATCTCTGCCCTTCTCCCAGCTCACCCTTTAGAAATGCAGGGAGGTCATCTCTTGATGATGCTCTCTGCCAGAACAGTAGAAGAGAAATGAAAGGAATGTGGCTATTGTTCTTTGAAACCTCCCTCTGAATAAGGTGAATAAAATTTCAGTTTCTGGAAGGAATTGTGATATGATTTGGCTGTGTCCCCACCCAAATCTCATCTTGAATTCTCATGTGTTGTGGGAGGGACCTCAGGGGAGGTAATTGAATCATGGGGGCAGGTCTTTTCAATGCTATCCTTGTGATAGTGAATAAGTCTCATGAGATCTGATGGTTTTAAAAATGGGAGTCTCCTTGCAAAAGCTCTCTTCTCTTGTCTGCTGCCATGTGAGATGTACCTTTCATCTTCCACCATGATTGTGAGGCTTCCCCAGCCATGTGGAACTGTAAGTCCAATTAAACCTTTCTTTTGTAAATTGCCCAGTCTCAGGTATGTCTTTCTCAGCAGCATGAAAACGGACTAATACAAATTGTTGATGGAACTAGAAAAGAGTGGTTCTGCCCATGAGTTAGACTAGCAGTCAATAAATGCTGCAAAGAATAGTGTTTATTGAGGTTTCCAAGTCAGTAGTCTTCATTGAGTTTTCCAAGTCACAAGACCTTGTTCAAATGAGAGTGTCTTCCTTCATGGGTCTCTGGTTACTTGCATTTTTAAAGAATAAGAAAAACACAACTGAATGAGAGGATCCTGATCTTTTACTCTTCCTGTATTCAGAGTCAAATCCAGTAGGTCTAAGAACTGGCTCTACACTTTCTTTATCTATGACACCAGAAGTGAGTGCCACTGGTCTGCACCAGTGACATGGTGTTGCCAGTCCTTTCCCCCAAGCTGGATGCCAGAGGCTCTCACACTCTGGCCCAGGGGGTTCACTCCTTTCCAGTGTGTACAACTTGGGGCACCTTGCTGTCCTCTCTCCCTTCTCTCTCAGGAATCTGCAATGGCTCAGGTGACCTTCATCACCTTCTCTGTTTTCCCTCTCCTTTGACTGGGGCTAAGTGACAATGATAATGGCCTCCTGACTTTCTGAGGGAGGTGGAGAAATGGAGCATGAGCTCACCTGGAGGTTAATCAGGTGATGTGTGCAACTGACAGTCTGCATATTCCCAAAGGCTAATCCTGTGTCAACATGAACTGAGGGCATTATTGTCCTTGCCTTTATTACACTATGGCTACTTCCATCCAGGCATAATTGGTCACATCTAATATCCTTTTCAGTTCAACATAACGGCTGCTTCTACCAGTTCAGAAGCGGCATTGGAAAGGGAAATATCCAGTCAAGCATATTATTTGTCATTTAGTGATGATAAATGACTAGCTTTAAAGAAACTTGATTTGATTTGTCTTTCAAACCTGCCAACTCTATGATTTTTAAAAGCCATGCATTTCCACTAAAATATTATGCATTTTGTCTGTTTCTTTTTGGTGCTTGCTCACTTTGAACATTTATCCAATTCATTCATTCATTCATTTATTCATTCATTTGCTTGACAGATATTTTTGGAGGACTCACTGTTCCAAGTGCCAAAGATAAAATAGGGAGCAAAACACACCACACTCTTCCCTCTTGAAGTTTAGAGTCTCACACTAACAGTAGCTGTGCTCATCCAGACCCTCTCTTCTTTCTAACTTAAGTATCCTCTGTGCTTGATCCATAGGAAAGCTGGTCTCATCCTTTCCCAGCTTGGGGACCTCAGCAGTTGGTGCAATGGACTCCTTCAGGAACCCAAGATAAGCTTGCGGCGCAGCTCACTCAAGTACCTGGGGTGCCGCTACAGCGAGATCAAACCCTACGGACTTGACTGGGCGGAGCTCAGCCGGGACCTCAGGAAGACGTGTGAGGAGCAGACCCTGAGTATCCCCTACAACGACTATGGGGACAGCAAAGAGATCTAGCACCATAAGGCCAGGGAGCTGCTGCCAGAATGAAGTAGGAAAGAGGAGGGATCCATCTGGGTTGGTCTGTGGATTTTTAATATTTTTTAATGGAACATGAAAACCTCCACAGCAACATCGAAACCAGGGAGAAAGTGATCCTTGCTCCCTGCAGAACTTCTTCAGTATGATGTTCTCCATCTGCATGATTGGGAAATCTGCCAGCCAGTGGCTTCATGCAGTGCCATATTTCTTTAGAGGATTACTTTGGGGTTTGCTTTGCCATTAATTTGTTCCATTCATTTTTTTTTCCCTGAGAAGTTTACCAAAATGCTCAAGAGCTCTGCCGTGCTCCCCATGAAAAGTCTATTAAGTAGGCACCCTGTGCTCACTCAGTTCCTAAATCCATTGCAACTGGGAGCAGAGGTGAGGCCAGAAAGTTGTTAGGCCTGCCGCAGGCCCCACCCTCAAGCATTCCTCAGGAAGCGTCTCACTCTGGGAGCCTTGGCCCTGCTCACAGAGAGAGACAATAGAAAATTGAGGAAGGTGGCCCTTGTCTGTGTCTCCTGGTTTTCTTCCTAGGCCTTGCTATCACTATTTCCATACCCGAAAGGTGAAACCAGCTTTCATTATAGGCCCCAGTGGGCCACTTGGGTTTTGAGATCCTTCCTTATTTTAAGCCAGGACTGGGATTAAATCTCCCTCTGTCAGATCTCTGTCCCTTCCTCTGAACAACATGATCTTTGAGAGGGAACAAGATGCCATCTGTCAACTGCACCTTCAGAAAAGTCTACCTGGGAGACTAGTTAGCAGTCCACATTCAAGAGGAGACTTGGAGTTTATTGTTTTTTAAAAAAACCATGCTTCCTTTGGATAGACTTCTCCAGCCTACCAATATATATCCATGTGCCTGGATTATCTTTAACCCCCACACCTCTTACCTTGGACAGGTAAGGCTTGGCCGATGTCTGATTGGGACCAGGAGGGGTCAACACTTTCATATCAGTGTTACAGTGAACTAAAGCTATTATTGATCACAAAAAACTTCTGTTCATCCCCACCTTGCTAAATTTGCTTGTGTTGCTAGTTTTGCAAATCGTTTCTCTGATGACCATAAGCAGGAGGATTCCACCATGGTCACTGCCCATCCAGTCACAGGGATTCTGTGTAGGGAAGCACCACTGATTGCAGTTAACATCTAGAGTGTTGTTTCCATCCCACTGCCCAAGCATTGGCATGGTCATGAATGGTGGCCCAGCCAACAGGAAGCCCAGCCTTTCAGAAAGAGCCTGGCAAGGCCCTGTTGACTAGCAATGGCCTTAGCTGTCCCACACAACTCAGTGGCCTGAACACACACCTTCAGCCACCATGCCTTTGACCAGGGCTCCTCATCTGGAAACATATGAGAAAGGTCAGCAAACAGATGCAAGACCTATAAGGCTAGTCATTGAGCTATATTGGTTTTTTTTCTAAATAGTAGTAGTGACAGATAACATTTATTGAGTGCTTGCTGTATGCCAGGCGCTGATGTAAGCACTTTAGGTATCATTGAATTCTCACAGCAACTCCTGAGGAAAGTGCTATTCTTGTCTCCATTTTAGTGTTGAGGAAAACGAGGCAAAGAGAGGTTATACAACTTGCCTCAAATCCCTTGTGCACTGTAACTCACACTGAGTTTCAGTGTGATTTCAGGCTGTTGGTCTCCAGGGCACAGGATCTTAGCTACTCTGGGATACCCAGTTCTGTTTTCAGTATCATCTGGCACACAACTGTCCAAGCTCTCAGCCCCACAGGGAACCTGCCCAGAGAGCTTTACCTTTCCCAAGCATCTGTGGCATGGACATGTCCTCTGTGCAGTGGAAGGAGGAGGGGCGAAAGTACGCCCTTAGCCTTTGGAGCTAGAGCACCCTTGGGACCCCTAGTTCCACTGCACATGGCCCTCCTCCCCACCCTCATGACTGGGAAGGAAGCCTGTGATGAGGCTGAGATAAAGCACAGGGTGGTTTCACTCTCCTCTCTCCTTCTTTCCAAACACTGAAGGATTTATTTCAAACTCTCTAATGCACCTGCCTCAGAGATTCCCCTACTTTCAAAGCAAAGATCAGCAGAAAAATTGGCTGTCCCACCTGTGGCAAATGCTGGAGCCTCAGTTAAAGTGCCTCAAGGGGCAAATATTTCACCATTGCCAGAGAAGATGTGACAGGCCAATCAGACAGGGCCCAGAGCATCTCTTTGCTGCTACTGTTTTGCCATCCTTCTATTCATATCTGTGCAGAACACGGTGTTTTAAGCTTGAGTGAAAGGAGGGTGAGGCTGCCGATGCCTTCCTGCCCAGAAGTGGATGATGTGGGAGTTGACAGGCCAGGGAGAGGGTGAAGCAGGTATCAGAGTCACTCCTCTGTACCCTCTCCTTCTGTTTTTATTTTAGGCACACTATCTTCCTCTCTCCTATCTTTCCCTCAGTCTCCCAAGTTCCTCTACCTTCTTTATCTTTGTCTTTTACTTCTTCTTTCTGTGACCCTCCTTTTTTGGCCTCCTCTTTCCCCAAGACTTTCTTCCTCCTGTTTCTCGTTGAGTTCTCCCCACTGAATGTGTGTATGTATGTACACACACACACACGTGTGCACACACAATGCACACAACTCCTATGACTGGCTCCTACTTACATTCAAGTTAAAAAGGCTGATATGAACAGGGCAGGGGAAAATCTTAGGATGGTTGTACAATTGACTGGAGGATTTTTTCCCCTTGGAAGACACTATTGATCTCAACCTGCTGACTTTTCCTAATGCTTACCTGAAGGAACCCATCCTGGCTAGAAAGGGTGATGGTACTGGACCGGTATTCAACCTTGAGTTTTCAAGCTGCCAAACAGGTCTTAAGGGAGGTGCTTATATCCCACCAACACTCTCCCAGCTCCCATGTCCCCAAGACCTCTGGAGTTTCCTCTTGAATGTACATGAACCACTGTAATAGCATTAGACTTTTAATTGAGTGTGCAATCGTTTTCCATGGAGTTTGGTCCGTTCATTATTTTTTAGTTAACTACACTTCTTGATATTCAAATGTTCTATTAAAAAAACTGAGTATGAAGAAAAACACTTTACTACTGCAGAAGGAAGAAAGAATATAATATGACCATCTTCAGGTATAACAGTGTTGTTTAAAAGAGAATTATTGTATGATTATAAAAGATGAAATAATTAACTGAATAATAAAACAAAGCTATTAGTAAGCATTGGGTATGTGGATGTTGTGTCTTTCAGTAATCTGAGTGAACTGGTTAGACTCATCAGGGAACTTGTTAAGGTTTTAAAGGTTACACTTCAGATTCCAGACATAATGGGCCTTATAGTCATCATTCTAACTGGAAAAAAAAAGAATCAAATATTTCATAGCAAATTATAAACTTATCATTAAATAATAGTAGTGAGTCCCATCTTCTCTCTACAACCTTCTCCAAATAAGTAGCCGGTGAAATGTATTTGTTGCACAGCTGCTATATTCTAGACACTACGAATGATGCAGAGGGTACAGGCTTGTTCTCTATCAGAGAGCGTGGCATCCTATGGGGAAAATTAGGCATTGAACTTGTCACCACAAGGGTGAGGAGGACTATGATAAAGAAGCACAGGATGCTATGAGAACTGCTGAAATTTATACTTTGGCCATTTAAGAAAAATGTTGAAGAAAAATGTTGCAAAAGGCCCTCCCAGACACATTCCTGTCTTGCACTGTGTAGGAGCATTTGAGGAAGACTGACTTATGAAATGCTTCATGGTGGGTAGCCCAAAATACGTAATCTCTTTCTTTCTCTCTACAATGCCACTTTAAATAGAGATTATCTCAGCTACCATCAAAATATGTGATTCTATTTAAATTCTTCAACAATCAGGTGGTAAGTGCCTGGACTTAATAGGTCCTCTTGAAAAGTAATGATCAGAATCCAAGTCCCTGCCCAAGCAGGGGCAATTAAAAGAAGATGATGACTGTAGCAGTTTTAAAACATGGCCACAGATTCTTTGACACCCCTCCCATATAAAGTGTGATCTACTGCCTCTCCCTTTGGATCTGGGCAGGTTTATAACTATTTTGGCCAACAGATGGTAATGGAAGTGACACTATGTGACTTTCAAGCCTAAGTCGTAAAAGGCCTTAGGGCTTCTGCCTGCTTCTCTGGAACTCTTGCTCTCGGAGCTCTGAGCCACCACCTAAGAAATTCAAGGCCACTGTGCTGAGACCACCAAGCTGGAGTGGTCACATGGCAGCACTCTGGTCCACAGTCCCAGCTCAGATAACCATGCCAAAGAACCAAACAGGTGAATGAAGCTGTATTGAGACCCCAAGACTGGTGGTATCCTAGTTGCATACCACCAAGCAACCTCCACCAATACCACATGAAAGAGAATAATCACCCTGCAAGCTCCTCCTGAATATCTGTCCCCCTCACCAAATTATGTAACATAATAAAATGGTTATTGCCTTAAGCCACTAAGGATTTTGTTTGTTTGCTTGTTTGTGAGACGGAGTTTTGCTCTTGTTGTCAAAGCTGGAGTGCAATGGCACGATCTTGGCTCACTGCAACCTCCACCTCCCAGGTTCAAGTGATTCTCCTGCCTCAGCCTCCCAAGTATCTGGGTTTACAGGTGCCTGCCACACTGCCTGGCTAATTTTTTTTGTATTTTCAGTAGAGACAGGGTTCCGCCCTGTTAGGCTGGTCTCGAACTCCTGACCTCAGGTGATCCACCTGCCTTGGCCTCCCAAAATGCTGGGATTACAGGTGTGAACCACTGTGCCCGGCCAGGGGTCTTTTAAATAAAAATAATCCAGTCAGGGGTCAACAGTGCCTTTCCATCCACTCAGTGACAGAATATTTAGGTAAGCCCTGCCCTGGGCATGAATTCACTGTGGAAAGGAGATGAGAACTTATGGAGGCTGGGCTACATCCACAATGTCCCCATCACCAATGAAGTGGGTCTCTGCCTCCATGGAGGGGAGCAAGAAGAAGGGTGGGGCACTGTATCCTAATACTTCTGAGGGGGTAAACCTTAGAGCCCAGATAGGAATTCCAGGAGAAGAAGAGAATTGTTCCAGAGCTGGGAAAAGAAAGACAGAGAAGGGAGTGGACAATTTGGGACAAGGAAAAAACATTGGAAGAGAAGGGTTTCTTCCAATTTTACTTTGTTTTTCTGTCCCTTTGTATTTGGAACTTTTTGGATGCAAATGTGCATACCCCATACTTATTATGTGCCAGGCACTGTGCTAAACACTTGAACTGCATAATATTCATCAATCTTCATTGCAAGTCTGAAGTAAATACTCTTAAGAAAGAAGAAGCAGAGTCTCAGTATCTTTATATATCTTGCCCAAGTTCACAGTTAAATGGAAGTCCAGTCATTTTGACCAAGGGCTGTCTGACACAAACCCTTACACTATACTGCCATCATGATTAATGAGTTTGCTTCTCTAACAAGGGAAAGACTCGTCCCACTGAGATTTTTGCAAGTCACAGCCCAGTTACCCCATGTCAGACAATAAGAGAGAGTGTGGTTGGCCAGTGCAAACCCAGTAATGCCTTTAGGAAATCAACTTAGGGCACATAGATTACCTTCACAAGCTGAGCAGATTGTCTATTCTTGTTTGTTTAGTTGTTTAGCTTGGTTTGGGTTTTTTATTTTATTTTCCGTCTGTCACGTGAGGATGATTCAGAGCCAAGAAATTGTGACTCTCACTCCGTATGTTCAATGTTGCCTTTTACTATGCTTTAATGGTTCTTTTTGTGCCAGTCTCTGTTTTCTGCATGCATCCATGGTAACACTCAATGCTTGGGTGAGAACTTGGGGAACAAATGCCTACTGCCCTGAGGACAGCATAGCTTGATATGTTTTGATAACCTAATGCCTCCTAACCCTGCTCCCACCAGCAACTCCTATTTTATTGTCACATCAAGTGAGCAGTTAATGAGCAGTTTGATTTCAAATGAAACCTCAACATTATATAATAAAATTTTACAATTTCTGTGGACATATGTGGGAGTCCAGGACTTGGCTCATGTCTGCACTATTCCAAAGTGAGAAAATAAATAAATAAAACTCTTTGTTCTGGTAGTTTGCAGTGTCTGCTGTAATTGGATTGATTCCCCTAGAGACAGGTTTTGACATCATGTTTCTTCACCAAATCTGCCTTTTGTTAGAGTCTATGATATGCTTGCTCACATGGGAGTACAAATTAGTGTAATGGATTCCTTACTATCTTTCTCAGTGGGAGAACTTTAGCCATATTTTGTGCTTAATAATTAGGAGCAACTTCCTTTGTTTCAAATAATTCAAATGTCAAGTGCCCCTGAGGCTATTGGTGTCCAATGAGTCAGGCAGTGTTCTCTGAAATACCAACTTAGAGATGAAACCGACTCACGCCCTGTCCCTGTGGTTTGGAAGGACTTAAGTGCCCACAGATAAAACTAAGGCTGAATGTGCCTTACATGCCGTTTTGTCCTGATGACCACTGAAAATAACAGTAAAGCACATACTCCTAATCAGCCACTGCCTCTTTGTTCTCACATCCATTTTCCAACCTTCCACTGTTCTGTTCTGTATCACATAGTGCTGACTCTTATAAACTATTGAAACTTTTCCCACACTCCTTTGTCAACAGGCTTCCAGCGTGTTGGGACAGTCAGAGGAGTTGTAGATGATTGGAGGAAAGGAAGAAGACGGCAGCCAGGGTATTTCCCCTTCTCCCTGCCTCAGATGGCATCTCCAGCATCTCCTTCATGACCTCTGTCTCCTCCGTGTGACCTTCCATCCCCTCAAAGCAGGAGCTGCGCCCTGATGTTGCTAATCTGATAGGTTGCTCCTATTTGTCCTTCTATAATCCCAAAGTCTTCCTAATTGGTTTCTCATCTTGAACTTCCTCTGTGGAATTACCTAAAATGTATTTTGCTTTCCTGACTAGGTCTTGATTAATATATACTTCAAACTAAAAGTTAGTACATATCGTCTGACATAGAAATTTTGTAACTCTTTAGGATTTGAAAAACAATCTGGAAGATAACAATTTTATGCCAAAAGTAAGTACATTTTTATGAATTCTAAGATTGATTGCAGGGGTGACAAATAGGTTTCCACTTGAGTGCTAAATTTGATCAAGCAGCAGTGGCTGCCTGGAAAACTGACTTGAAAAAGATTCTGAGAATGGATCTGTACCTGGCCAGAAAGAGTGATGAGATGCATGATCAATACTTCATACAGATATTGAAATGGCAAATAGCAAGATACGTGCCATGCATTTGTCTTGCATAATTTATAGGGCCAAAATAGGTGTGGAATACTCAAAGTTCAGACTATTTAGGAAAATCTATTATGTATGCATCACATATTGTATATAACTTATGGCATATACAAAGGGGAACATAAGTTAATTACATGTTGAAAATGGAAATAGAGTGAGAACAAACTACATGTCTGAGATTTGCTAACCCCACTACTTACACATCAATTTCATGGCATTTCCCTTATGTTTTCTGAGCTGCCATTTTTATTTGTAAATCAGTATTTTTTTAAAAGTCCTAACAGTGTTGATTTGGTATCTTAGATGGCAGAAAATGAAAAATTTCAGTTTCCATCTGTTTCTGCCACTTGAGCAATGCATCAGTAAGGCTCCAGTCAAGACTTTGGCAGAGAGAATTTAATATCAGGAATTGGTGAAAAGGTTCTGGAGAGCCAAACAAAGCAAAAATATCTGAAACACTGAGAAATTACAGAGGTATTAATATAACTGCAGGATGCAGCCACAACCTTTAGGGCTGGGAGAGCAAAGGGAGGAATTTGGTTTACTAAAAACTAGATTCCCTCAAAAAGGAGGGGTCATTTGCCTGGTGCTGGGACTTCTTTGGAAGAATATAGTGAGGCTGGTTCTTTATTTTATTTTGTTTATTTATTCATTTATTTATCTTTGAGACAGAGTCCTACTCTGTTGCCCTGGCTGGAGTGCAGTGGCACAATCTCGACTTACTGCAACCTCTGCTTCCTGGGTTCAAGCAATACTCCTGCTTCCTGGGTTCAAGTGATACTCCTGCCTCAGTTCCTTGAGTAGCTGGGCACCACCATGCCTGGCTAATTTTTGTATTTTTAGTAGAGACAGGGTTTCGCCATGTTGGCCAGGTTGGTCTTGAAGTCCTGGCCTAAAGTGATCCGCCTGCCTCGGCCTCCCAAAGTGCTGGGATTAGAGGCGTGAGCCACCGTGCCTGGCACAGGCTGGTTCTTTAATGCACAAAGATGAAAGAGACAGGAATACACTGCTGTCACCCCTGTGAGAAGCCATTGGTTGGAAGCTGCTGAGTTGAACATCCAGCCAACAGGAAGGCACCAGCCCCTCTCCCTTCTTCCTTCCAGTCTCCCTCTGATGCCCCCATCAACAAAATCTAACATGGACTGACTGATAAAAAGGAACTGGTTTGTTGTGTTCCAAAAGCAGCATCACGAAGCAGAGGACAGAGGATGGGTTTCAGCCATGACACAGTAGCTTACTAACTGCAACAAGCAGTCTGAAGATGGAACAAGATAAGACTCTTGAAATTACTTAGTGCAGTGGCAAGAATATGCCTAGTAGGTGTTCAACTAATATTATCACTCCAGAATCCCCTTCAGTGTTCCTTAGACACTGAAACGAGACCACATGTTTCACCAACGTTATCCTTCCCCAGTTGCTTTCTCTTCGTAACAAGATAGGGTAGCAAGAAAATATGTTCCAAGTTTCCATTGCTCATCATTTTTTTATGTGCCAAAGATCTTTTGAATCTGAAATTGAACTTCCTTTAAGAGGTTTGATTATTGTATGTGAGGTTTCTTTGTTGCCGAAGATGCTATTGTTTTTAACAGCAACTAATGTTTATTGATGACTAATTATGTACCAAGCACCATATAAGCACTTTTGCATAGTATCTCTTGTCTAAATCACCGAACAACCCTATGAAAAGATACTACCACTATCTACATGTTACAGATAAGATGTTGCAAACTTCAGTTCCTTTTTGTCAGACTTAGATTAACTGGTCTAAGACCATACAGCTGGGAGCTCCCGTTAAGCATGGGAGGCTAGGATATCCCCTTTGTACCACTCTGCAATGCTGCCATGTTGCTCACTGAAATCACCTTCCTTTCTACATTAGTTCAACATGGTGAGTGAACTGAACTAACAGCAAAATTTGATTAAATGCTTTTTTTGTTTGTTTTGTAATCTAGGAGGAGGGGGGCAATGCACACAGTTCTTGCATACAGCAAAACTGGAAGCCTTCCAACAAACAAGACATAGCAATCTTTTTTATATTTCCCAGCCTTGCTGCTGCATCCGGGTCATTAGCACAGAGGCAGTCCCTGCCATGGAGGAGGTGCAACTATGGCTCTGGGCCTGTGCACTTTCAAGGCTCCTGGTGATATGTGTTTATTGGCATAGGTAGAAATAGAAACTCCAGAACTCCTCCCATCTCTGAGCTCACTGAAATTTAACCTACACTGGCTTAACCTACAATGTGTAACTATCATCCTGGCCTGGCCATATTTTCAGACAGACCATCCCAGCTACTGGGATGTCTATACAGTTAGAGGACAGACACATTCTACCACACTCACTTAGATGTACACCATGGTAACTCCTGACCAGGAAGGTCAGTGTAATGCACTTCAGACTTCTGCATCTTCCAGACAGTTTCACTTTTGGGTATCCGATGAAGGAAGATGTTTGGATCCTCACCCTGTAGCTTCTATGTCCCTTGGCAACTAGGAGATCAGAAAATGCCCACATAGAGGTGTTGGTGATGGAGCTGACTAGAGTAGGGCAAAGTGGGGGGAACATAAAGAAAGGGTATCTGGTTGCCACGGCAAGCCAGCAAACACTCAAAAGAGAGGAGTGGCCCAGGACTTAATGAAGTGCCACTGGGTTTGAGCAGCAACTGGAATGTCTGAGTGTAGCTGCATTCCTTCCCACAGAACCTGGGGCCAGGCCACTAGCGGGGACTATCCGTACCTCTCAGGAATGCTCAGGATAAAGACAGCCACGGAAAAGACAAGCAGGCCTCCCAGGTGTGGGTTTCCATACTCCAGCCACAGAAATTGGGGCCTCCCAGAAGAAATTTGGAAAACTCCTCAAAGAGCCAAAAGAGACTTGATCTACAAATTATTTTTTTCCCTAAAAACTCTGACACTCACATTCTTCAGGGTATGAGAAGGGACTTTGAAAGTTCTTCCTTGCAGAAGTTTACTTCTGGCTTTCTCTTTGCTCCCTGTCCTCCTCTAAGATGGTATTTTCACTGTGGCAATGGCCCTGGGGTCTCAGAGACCTCACAGTTTGATCAAACAGAAGACATATGTTAGCAGTGGGACTGTAGATGACAGTAAGTTGAAGAGGCAGGTCTGGAAATATGCTGGATCCAGAAAGGACAAGACCATAAATACATGGAAGGACTGGGGCTGGCATGGCACAGGCAACTGGATTTAGGGAGTACAAAAAAGCCTGAGGTCAAGGCAGAGTCGGGTGTCAGAGCCCAGTGGTTGAACAAAGCGTTCACTAGCCAGGAGATTCCTAGAAACTCTGATAAGAGTGTAACAGTGAGATCAGCTGCTGGCCAGGAGGCCAATGAGGAAGGAGATCTGGAGGCCCCCTGAAGAGCCTGGAAAACAGATACTGCTGAAATCTCAACTTCACTTCACCACCGAGTCTTGCTACCTAAGTTCCCTTCTCCAGACTAACTCTTCTGTCCCATTTCATCATACCCTAAGCCTTAACTAGCTTAGAGGAGAACTCATGTCTAACGTGTGGCATGAATGGAAACTAGAAACAAGTGGTGAGATTTTGAGCACTTATGAAATGCTAATAAGGTGATGTAGGGTACTTCACTGAAGAAGAAGGAACAAAATCCATTTATTAATAAATATGTAATCAAATATTAAGTATTTAATTAAGAATTTAAAATGTAATCAAATATGTATTAATAAGTATATTTTTAGCTCCAGCTATACTAGGGAAAGAATCTTGTGCAGAGAGTTTTGTGCCAGATGCCTTCAAGGATGACTAGATTGCCCATTTGAATATGTGTAACATCCCAGAAAATTTAAGCTTATCCCTCAACTTTACAAATGGGCCCTAAAAGACTCAGTCATCTGCTCAAGATCTCCCTGAGCTAGGATTCCAACTAGGTCTTGATGTTGAAGTCTGTACTCCCTGGATGAGCACACATGAATACATAAGTGCCTGCAATGTCTACCAAAGATCACTTTGAGAGAGACAAGGCCTGAAATACAAAAATGCCTTGTTACCTCCAGGGACTTCATTTATACCCAGAGAGAAGCTCTGCTACTCTCCCCAAGCAATGACCATTGCCTGGGGCACTCTTCCCTACATGAAGGTAAACTGTCTAACTCTAAAATTATGAAGGGTGGCTATGGATTGCTCATTAGTGAGCGTGCTGCCCAGGCAGAGCCCCGGGACATGCTCTGGCATTAGCGTGACCCTCTAAAATGGTGGAGAAATTGCACTCTCGCTGGCATAGTTTGTAAAACATTTTTCCTCCCTTAAAACTTGGAATCAAGGTCACATTCTATTAAATCTGGGGCCTCAAATTGGAACATGGCATGGCTTTAAATGAAATTATACTTAAAGCGTAGCCAAAAGTTCATAGAACACTTAATTGTATGTGAGCCTGCACGTGTGTGAGAGAGGGGGAGAGACAGAGAGAGAGAGAAACATTAACCAGCCTATTAAAACAATGCATATCCCAGGACAGAAAGTGCACAGGAATTCAAAAACTGACCAATAACCATCTCCACTACTTTGTTTCTTCTTGGTTCTTTCTGTACCAGGGATACTTCTGTTTACTTAGGGTATTGATACATAGAACAACTATTTTTGAAGTGCCAGCTCCAGGATAGGCACTTCACATTAATTGTAGTAAGTCTGCATAACAATTCTTTAAGTTGTGAATTTATTAATATCTTGCCATTTCACAGATGGGAACATTGAGTCTTAAGCCATTAACTAATTTGCTCAAGATCTCCCAACTTGATCTCAGGACAAGTTGCCTCTTAGACCCTCTATCTTGCTTGATCGACAGTTGCTACTTTTTCCCCATCCACGTGAACTACTTACACCTGACATGTTTATGCACACCCGTTAATCTATTAGCTGGGCAAAAGCATGCCTCAACATAAAACTGACCTTCAAGTCCAGAATACAATGATCAACTTGAAAATGAGCCATTTTGCTGCTGTGTACTCCAAATCCACAGTCTTCTATGTTGGCCTTGCACTACCATCAATTCTTGAACTATTGCTCGAGAAGTGATCAAAACATGAAGCTCTAGTGTCCACAGATGAACCCACCCATCAACCCCAAATGCACAAATACAACATGCTCTTTTCTTTTGGTTTTCACATGCATCAAATCAGAGTTGAAATTCAATTCAACATATTTCAAGGTTTTATTTAGGGCAGGAAAGGACACTATATAAGGCAGTACCAGAGATCCAAAAATGGGTAATACAGTGTTTTCAGAGCCACCACATAAAGGTGTGAGGTTGTGTCCTGCCCAAGGCTGCCTGGTCCAAGGAGTGAATATGTCCAGAAATCCAGCCCTGCTACCTGGATTGTCAAGCCATAGTCTCTGATGCTGACTTGCATTTACTCAGATAAAAGGATGCCTTTTTCCAATTCTCCCAAAAGGCATCAAATGGCCTAGTGGAGCCCCAAGTTCACCTGCTGTTAAAGAGGTTACAATTGAATAGTGAGGAAAGGCAAGAACACACATCTAATAAAATATCAGTCAAATATATTGATTATCCTAGAAGAGGACAATAGGGGTTATGGGAACCTTAAATCTCATCAAACAGAAAGATGAAGAAAGTCTTCATGAGATTAGAGATGTGTGAGAAGCAATTGAAAAAAATGAGCAAGTTTTTTGCCATGTGAAGGTAGAAGGGAAGGCGCTCCAGGTTAGAAAATAACATGAGCACAAAAGTGGGAACTTCAGGGACTGGGGATGTATCACCTTTGGCAAAGGAATGGAGTATTTGTTCAGAAGTAGGGGGAGGTCAGTGTAAAAGGTTGGCTGTGCAGTGTAAAAGGTCTGTTAAGGTTCAAACCTTAAGGGCACACAGAGACAGCAAACTCTTTCCATGAGTAATGGGTGACTCCACAAGACCTGTGCTTTCAGAGGAACAGTGTGGACTCACTGTGCTGGAATGGATCAGAGGGGGACGAGGCAGGTGAAGAGGACTTGCTTGGAGACTTTACCATGGCCCGTTCCAGAAGCGATGCCAGCCCCAGCCAGAGTGAGAGCACAGCAGATGGAAAGGAAGATGATGGATGTGAAAGACGTGAAGGATATGCATGGATTATGTACAAGTACAGAGAAACTGCTGTAGAAAACAATTTTACTCTGAGTAAAAGCCAGAGTCATTACCATAGCTGACAAGACCCTCCATGGTCCCCTCCACCCCTCCATACTTCTCTGACCTCACCTCTCTCCCTCATTCTGCTCCAGCCATACCAGTCTCAGTGGTCTTCCTCACACACACGAAGGTCTCTCCCACCTTACACTTGCTGTTCCCTGTGCCTGGCTCATTCTCCCTCCCAGGTGTCACTTGGCTCATTTCCTCACTCCCTTCACATCTCCAAGAAGCATCCATGGACCTTCCCTATGTGAACTAGCTCCTCTCCAGCCCTGAAACTCCTTACCCCAACTTACTGCATTTTTTTTTCCATAGCAATCTTCAACAGCTGGCATACATATTTGTTGCCTATTATTTGTCTCCTTCAACTTCAAGTTTCTTGAGGACAGAAACTTTGTTTTACTCACTACAGTATCCCTAATGCCTGGGATGTAATAGTTGTTCAACAAAAATATATTGGCTAAAATAATGATATTATCAGCTATGTGAGTATTTTTAACTTCATTAAAGTCAGAAAAGGCCAGATATAAAACACACAGCTTTGGGAGATAGCGAGTTTCTTGATACGAGGTGAATTCATAATGAAGCAGGACAATTCACTGGAAGGAATGTTATAGTGAATAATAAGGGACTATTGGAGACCCTTTCAAGCCTAAGAACCTGCAAAACTAAGTATGGTGCTTTATACGTGTGGTTTCTCAGGAAATGGAGTGTCGTAATAGAGCATGGTGGGTTAATGCACAAACCCTAGAACCAGACTACTGGGTCCAAATCCTGGCTCTGCCACTTACTGGATGTTCCATCTTGGACTTCTTTGTGCCTCTCTCAATATTTCTCATGTCTCACTTATATTAAGTGCTGCACTGCTCTCCAGTCACTGTCTGACCTCCCAAAGTTAGGGTCCCAGGCATGACTACCTATCTCAGCCACTAAAAAATGGCTTTATGAAAGCTACAAGCCAGTAAGAGATCTTTTTATTTGTTTTTTTAATTTATGGTTTCAGGTGTCTGGGTGTATAATTTGTAGATGATTTATTAAACATACTTTTCCAAACTAGAATAATATAACCCAAAATATCCACCCAAGCATGATGTAACATTACAGTAGCCATGAGATATAAGTAGCAGGATTTAAAAAGCAAATTGAATTATATATGTGCGTAATAGTTTAGAATTGTACTGGCCGGTGACATCACTAGCTACATGTTGCTATTTAAACCACTGAAATTAAGTAACATTTAAAGTTCAGTTTTTCAGTCTTATTGGTCACTTTAAAGGCTAGATAGCAACCTGTAGTACCTAGTGGCTACCACATCAGACAATGCAGATGTAGAACATTTCTATCATTGTTGAAAGTTGCATTGGACTGTGCTATTGTGTAACTGGATAAATTCAGCAATTCAATTGTCTTTTGAAGAAAATAACCAGTGTTCCACATAGCTAATGCAATTTTACAGGCATATTCCATCTGAGTTAACCAACATTCCCGCCAACTCCAAAATTTTCCCCTAGCCCGCTTCCTTTTCCTCAGCTCCATGCTTTACCACCTTTACCCTACAGATCCATTTTGCTTCTCTCTGAATCAGTGGGATAGAACATCTCCTGGCAGCCAAACCACTTGGGAGTCTCCATCTGTTCTAACTGTCCTGGAGAACGTAACTAATGATGGCACACATCTTAGTCTCTCTAATGTCAGAGAAGCATGGTGTTTGAGAATTCGAAGCCACAAAAGGGCAATTCCACTCCCCCACCCCCCTGACTTCCTTTTCTTCACCATCAAACTTTTGTTTTGTTTTGTTTTGTTTTGTTTTTTTAAGATGGAGTCTTGTTCTGTCACCCAGGCTGGAATGAAGTGGTGCAATCTTAGTTCACCACAACCTCTGCCTCCCAAGTTAAAGCGATTCTCCTGTTTCAGCCTCCTGAGTAGCTGGGATTACAAGTGTGTGCCATCGTGCCTGGCTCAGTTTTTGTATTTTTAGTGTAGAGGAGGTTTCACCATGTTGGCCAGACTGGTCTCGAACTTCTGACCTCAAGTGATCCGCCCACCTCAGCCTCCCAAAATGCTGAGGTTACAGGTGTGAGCCACCACACCCAACTGCAAACTTTTTGAGAGAATAATCTATACATATAATCTCCATCAATCACTCTTTAACCCCTTTCTGTCTGGCACTTCTTAAACACTATGCTGGGTATGGGGCTGCAAAAGTAGATATTTAGGAAACTGAGGCCCAGAGAGATTCAGTAACTAGATGACTTATCTAGTGAGTAATGGACCCAGAATTCAAACTCAGATTTGTCAGCCTTGAAATTTTGTAGTTGTCATCCTTGCAGATCATTATGTTGCTGCCCATGGATCACAAGTCACCAATACATCTTACATACTGACTTTCTAGGTCCAGGCTCAGTCATCCCTGCCCCCAGCCTCCCTGTGCCAGGTCACCTATCAAGGTAGAGAAAGCATGAACAATGTTGAGTTAATAAGTAATATTTCCCCATTGTGAAGACCACTTGGATATTCTAAAAAGCTATAGAAATTTTCTTACAGATTATTCTAATAGTTATTGATTCGCTACCTACAAAGTCATTACTTGGAAGTCCTTTGTACCCTAAGATAACTTGCCTAACTATTCAGGAAGCATTTTGAGTTGCACGTATTAAATTGTGGTATGGGGAAATTCTCTAACTTTAACAGCCTTTTATGTGTATAAACATTTTTAAACTGGCAATTGCCTTCAGAAGGTCACATTGACGCAACATAATTGGTAATCATTAAAAAGTCAACACTGTCCCTTTTTTAACTTATTTTTTCTTTACATTTGAATATTTGACTTTTGTGTAGACAAAGACAAAGGAAAGGAAGCTTGTCCCTATTAAATTATCCTTAGAAGAACATTGAATTTGTAGAACATTAGCAAATTGCAATTAATGTGAACTATTGTTATTACTCGGAACTATCTTTCAGGGGTTAGAGATGTTTTTATTATACTCACTTGGAATATAAATTTGACTTGTAGATTTCTTTCAAGAATGTACTTCATCATTGCTAACTCATAGCAATGTAACCTAAAGATTGAGTGGCAGGACCAGATTAAAAATGAAAAACCAACCGTCTTCAGCAAGGAGCCAAATGTGGCAAATCACACACCATAGTGCATTAACTACCAGACTCAATTCTGACTAGAAAAGATGTACTCAGTCTCAGGTAGGCTCACACTATGGGAGATTTGAGAATAACCATCTATTTTCTAAACTAGTCTTGTATTTTGCCAGGCCAAATATCCCAGGCACATGTAGAAGCTTTTATGGGCATGGACCGTTATGGGATACGAGATTCTCACCACCACCACCCTTTTCTTCTGAGCTAACCACTGGGAAACTTGAAATATTAAAAGTATTTCAGTGGTCCTTCTGGAGTGACATAGAAAGAAATGACCCAAAGTCAGCTTCAGAGATGCCCTGGAGCCCTTCTCATTACCTCACCCAACCCTACCCTAAGCCCTTCATCATCTGGATGGCCTGAATCTAAGCGTAGAGAGAGTCTCCCAGCTGACAGATGACTCATCATGTCATTTAAGTTTGTCAGTCAATGGAAACCAGAGCTCCAAAGTCTCTGTCCAGGACTCTCCCCAGGGAAGCTATTAAGGAAAAAGCTGCCTTGCCAGACATTTCTGTCCAGCTGGCCTAACTGGTATGTGCAAGGGCATCTGCTTATACTCAGGGCCTGGCATGAGGAGAGGGCCCTGGAAGGGTGCTCAAGAAGGTTTGCCCTCAGTTTTCCTACCATTTGCTATGTACAACAGGCAGGAGAGAAAATAGGCTTAGCTACTAAGAAAGCCATAAGGAAAGCAATGAGCACCTTGAAACATAAACCGGTAAAAAGACATTAAACTTTCCCACTGCAAATGGATCTGGGTTCACTCTTGGGCCTAGCAGGCTGAACACTGTGCAGTAGAAAAGATTACATTTGAGGACAGAGATCTTGGATTCCCACCCCAACCTGCACTTAGATATGTGAACTTAAATTTTCCTATAACCTCACAGACACTCAGTTTCTTCATCTGTAAAATGAAAAGAAACAAAACAAAACTGTCCTTGCTCTGCCTAACCTGTGGGTAGCCATAAATCATATGAAAGCACTTTGTAAACCATAAAGAAAATGCTTTTTTTCTCTCTCAAATGTTTATTTCTAACCACAAACCTGTCTCCCAAGTCCAAGCTCACATTTCCAACTGTCCATTCCACAGTTCTTTCCAAATGGCTCATAGGTGTGCTGAGATATCTGCCCAGCCCTTCCAGTAGCCAGGTGGTGACTGGTGTGGCCAGAAAACTCTGCAAACCGGCCCCAACTGCAGAAGCCTCCTCTAGGGTTCTGAACACTGCTTTAGATGGCATTTCCTATCTGGCCCTCAACCCAAGTTTATTGAAAGAGCAAATGAATACTCTTTCTTTAAAAGCCTGCTCCTGCCAGCTTCCCTCTTCTGTTAGGGCTGATAAGCTTTCAGATTGTGTATTTAATGCAGAGGCATCATCCCTTGACATTTCTTTTCACCTCTCTCCATCCTATTAATCACCATTTTTCTTTTCCTTCTAACATCTTGGTGTCCCACAGAACCAGGTTAACTCCCTTCATATGACCTTGAAGAACTTTCTTTACCAGACTGTGGCTTAGCGTTCTTATTTGTGAAGTGAGAATATGCTATTTGCAGATCTGTTGTAAGAATTAAGTAAGATTCTGTATTTACCAAATGTATGGTACATGCTAGCTTAGTTCTATCTTCCAGCTAAGCTGGATGCCTCACTGATGTTCCATAATGCACAGCCTATCCCATTCCTACTTCCACAGCTTCAACTATGTTGTTTACCTTGCCTGGACTCTCCTCTCCCAACCCCCATTTCTGCCTGTCAGATCATATGCATCCTTCCCAACCATTTTCCAAATGCTGCCTACCTTTGGCATCCAGGAATAAACCCTACTTCCTCTGAACTGTAAGTAATTCTTACACTTTATTTAAAAACTCATGAGATATTTGACATTCCTACCTCACATTCTACTTTCATATATGCCATGTCTTCTTATGAACTTTCATATTCATCTTCCTTACACATCCTATTTACTTAACAAATGGTTTTTAAGTGGCTAAAAGAAATGACCAATCAATCAAATAAATAATGACTGTTGCCTGGACCTGGCACAAGACAATGGAAAGTGATTAGAAAGTGATGAAATGATTTAAACAAAGAGTCAAACACCAAAGACACTTCATATTTTGTGTGCTGATTTTTTAATGAACAACTTATAATCTTACAAAATAACTGGCTGTAGCTGTTTTACATTACAATACAGTAGATCAGCTCCTTTCACTACATTCCCAATCAAGCCATCCCCTTGGGTGTTAACTAATGCACTCAATAGTGATCACAAAGAATACAGGAAGTGCCAAGTTCAATGCCTTGTAATAGAAAAAAGAGAAGATGAGAATCAGGAAGAGCTCTTTACTTTCACAATCCCTTTACTTTAATTTCTGTCAGTATCTGCCCATTCTCCTCACCCTGTCCCCTTACCTGCCTTTCTGATTGGAGGCTGTCATGCTAGTTGTTAGAGCCAGCTAGCCCTGGGCCACCTGGGCACAATCAAACACACAGAAGAGTCTCTGAGAAAGGCTCTCAATGACCACATGGGTGGATAAGAGTAGCAGAATGTGGACCACCACATGGATTGAGTGTGAGTTGATGTTGCTGGGATCTGTGACCACAGTGTCTTAGTCCTTCCACTTTATCAGTGACCTGAGTTGCTCAAAACATCAGGTCCCAGGAACAAAGACTGGAAGAACCTGCTGTCTCTGAATAGCTATAGCTGACTATGGCTGGGAAGCCTTATAGCCTAAGAGGCTCTTCACACACAACAGGAACTTTCCTTTTGCTTTCCCAGAGCAGTGGTGAATTGCAGATAATAAAATATTTTAAAATGAAATTTAAAACAGAAATGTTCTTACTGTTGCTCTTGTGGAGAGACTGCATGAAGACACACACTGGCATGAACCACAGGCTCCATGTTCCTGAGCTGAGTAATGCCCAGGATAACAATTCCTCTGCCTCAATCTCAGACAAAGTAGGATTCTCCAAGGCAGAACTTAGAATGTGTCTAGCAATTTGGACATTTTCCCCAATAAAACAAGTTTATAAAATTTTGAAAATAGAGTGTCTAAACTTTTCCATTGTCCTTTGCATATTGAAGCCTATCAGAATCCCAAGAATAAATATGTTTGTCTTCTTGGGGGCACTAAGCATGACCCAAGACAATGAATGGTATCTGAACTACATTTTCTTTACACTAGAGATTAGTAGACAAAAGGTTTTTTTTGAATGGGTGAACTCTGCTCTTTCCTTTTCCCAATAACTTTGCAACCCTCATTCCACAAACCCACAGATTAATGTGGGTACATCACCTTATTCGTGTTTTATTCTCTTTCAGGATATTGTTCTTCCCTACGTGATAGTGTGGATAATATTTCTATCATTGTGGTAGTATTTCCTATTCCTATTTGCACAGCCATTGCTCTAGTGTTGATGGGAAGAGTAGAAAAACTGTGGTCAAAGCAAAAGAGCAGAAGATGAGAAGAGACCACAGCTGAGCTCTAAATTTTGTCTGTTCTTGGTTTCCATTGGAGAAGAAACTTTAAAGGAGACAAGCCTCACTCACAGCCTTCCTAAAATGAGTAAAACTAGAATGTTAAACAGAAACTGGCTCCTTACTCACTTTCCCTAGGGTCTAATCCAGAAACCGTTACAAGAAAATGTAACTGCAGTAGATCACATCCCAGTGAGCCTGGGATGTAAATAGAGAGAGGCTTAATATGGTCATTTCATGTGCATTCCATCTATTGGATAAGAAAGGGTAAAAACAACAAAATGGACATTAAATAGTTGAAATTCTTCTGTCTCCCCACAGAGTGTCACCCTTGCTCCATGCATTTCCATGGCTTGCTCAAGTCAAAATCTCTGGCTCACAGATTTTGTACATGATACTTGAAGAGAATTTATCTCAGATTCTTCATTGCTCAAGGGACCCACTTTGGTCTTCTTTGGAGACTTGGAACAAGGACCGAGTCTCCCTGATCACTTCCATTCTCATGCCCGGGCCTGGATTTAACCCTGACAGCTCTTGCCTGTTCTTTCATCTCCTCCCACCTTTCCCCTATATCATTTCCATAAAATTTTTCCTCCAGAAAAATCAACACTTGGTCATGTGACTGGCCAGACTTGGAGACTTCTAACAAGAAGTAGGACTACAGGCCAAGTATGAGGAGTGTGTGAGTTCCTGTAATCCTGGTGATCAGAGAATGGGCCATAGTACAAACTTGTTGACTGGCTGACAGCCACACTTGGAACAGGCATGTGTGGAAGTGCAGAAAATCCTAGGTCTCACCGACTCCAGTTGGGAGTTCTGAGAAGTTGACAAAAGTTAGTATATTCTTTGTGGACAGATATTCAAGAACCATAGTCTAGTTCTCCTGGACCCATCACCAATGGTATTCACACTCAACTTCCTATGCCTCTTAGTACCACCATTCCAACTCCCCATCTCCTTGGTCATAAAATGGGCCCAGCTCCCAGGTCATAAAAAAAAAGATGATTAGCTTTACATGCTAGCATCCAGAATTCCATCTAATTACTCTCTCTCCTTCTGTACTTCCCATTCAACCTGCCAATCCGCATCCATAGAAAGATGGGAAAATAAGTTGCCTTTCTGTCCTCAAAGTCTCAACATTCATCTTGAATGTGAACTTCACAGCAGCATGTGTGGAACAATGAATAATTTTTAGCTTAGTAAACAGCAAAAAATATAATATATATAATATATTTATATAATTATGTTTAAATACTTATAAAGAATTAATAACTAACTTCATTATTTAAGGGAAACTACACAAAAAGAAAAAGAGCCAGTTGAGAGCAGACAAGCTCTGAAAGATGGCAATCCATTCAAAATGGGTATTAACAGTATCCCTGCCAACTTCTCCTCTAGTATTTTGGTATTGGTTTACAAGTTGGGTGGGACTGAGTAGTTGGCAGGGGGTGGAGCGGAGAGCAGGGCAAGAGTTGAGGATAGGATTTAATAGAATATAAGTGAGGGAGGAGGGTCCTTATATATCTATCATATTTCCCCTTCCATGTTAATCAACTGCCACTTTAAAGAAACTTTTGCCTATGATTCTCTCCTACTTGGGCTACTTGATGAACTAGTTCACACCTATCAATATCCTCTTGCATTTCTTATAAGATCCTTCATGCTCTTCCTCCTTCTTCCATTTCATGATTGTTCTTCTTCATTCACCCTTTGTTTCCTCCTGGGTCGGCCTCTCTTTCTTACTGCCTCTGAGGCAGTGGAGGGAGGGGCTTGTTCCCACAGTTACTGATTTTCTTCTGCCTTGGGGTCCCGGCAGGTGCACTCATCCAGGTCACAGTCAGCAGCAAATGGAATGACCTAGGGGAATGAAAGGGAAGTAGAAATAGCTCATTTCTGTGATAGCTTCACACTTTTAAACGAGCTTTCACTTTCCTCACTTGGTCCCAGAGGAACTGTAGAATTATGTGCCAATATCACAAACTGGAAATTAACACGCAGTTTTCCCACTCACACATCATGTCACCATGTAGCCTTAGGCAAGGTAATTGTTCCTTGCTTCACTTTCCTCATATATAAACTAGGGAGGACAACAGAAACTACCCCAGAGGGTGTTTGTGTGATTTAAATAATGAGTATAAAGTTCTTATATATTGCCAAGCATCTATAACTACTATTCTATCAGTTCTAATATTACCACTCATATCTAAAAATACTGCTCTTACTGTTACTGTCACTTTCCCTGTAAAGTAGGAAAGATGAATGGTAGCATTAGCATTTTCTCTTTACAGGGAAGGGCAAGAGATGTGGGGTGACTTAATTCAAGGTAATGAGACTACTATATGGGAAGCCGAGACTAGCTACAGACTAGCACTCTGACTCCAACTCCTCAGTGCTCTTGGAACAATAGGAACATCTTTGCCATCCTCATAAAGCATGAGATTTTGCTCTTCTTGAGCCCAGGATATACTTTGACTTGGTGGAATAATGCATCTACCCACCCATTGTTTGTGGCTGTATTGCCTTCCTTCTATGTAACTATCTCTTCCTCATGCCAGAGATAGTCCGGAAAAAGTTACTCACTTCTGCTTGCACTGCTACAAACAGATAAATGCTACATCCATAACTAGCATCAGAAAAAATCAGGTATTTGGGAGAGGTGATATAAAAGTGGCAATGATTTTTCCTTTTGGGGCATTAATAATCTAATGAGATAAAAATAAATAGGCATATCACACACAATACTAGTCCAAGTACACTAAAGAGATGGGCTTGGTGATTGGGCAAGTGGGTAGGAGAATGGGTGGGGTTGTGTGGGGAAATTTTCCAGCATATTTGCACATTACTCTAAAATGTGATTTAGGAGTCAACAGAGGGGTGAAGTGCCTTTTCGATCCTAATTCCTGTGTATGCTGGCCACAGGCACTGAAATTTATTACAGACGATTACTAGATTTTCAGAGTGTGAGATGGGGAGAGAACTGCTTTATTTTTTCCTAAGTTATCTTGTCTTCCTACACAGAGATAGCTGGCCTGATTTCTGACCTTTGTTCCAAGCTCTTGATCTGTTTCTTAGTTTAGGATTTATTGGTTTTTAGAGCAAAAGACAGCCAAATTAAATAGTGATATGATGAGCCCCTGAGCACTCTGCATTAAATAAGTTAATTCACATAAGTGGTGAGAACAGTGTCTGCCACATATTGAGTAAGGATTAAACATTAGCGAGTGAGAGATGTAGTATTCAAGCCTGCATGTAGGTTATCATGGTAGGTATGGTTTTATTGTGGAGACATATACAAGGAAGGAAATAACATCTCTTGCTTATTTCAGATTTATCATATTGACCCAACTAGCTTCAAGTATCTTTGGAGCACTTAGATTTTTACCCATATTATTGCAAAGTTTCAGCTTATTCTATTTTATAAGGCTTAGCTTGAGCCTATCTGCTAATTTAACAGAGCCAAGAATAACAGGGATAAAGGGCATTAGAAAGGATAATTGCTCACGAGACAATCCAGAGAGTGCTCAGGTGGCTGGTGGCAGCCATTTAACATGTGCCTGCGAGATGCTTGTAACACACTATATAAAATTATTAATGTAATTATGGAGATGGTTAGTAACTGAATAGCAGTTTGTTGATAATCCCACCTCCCCCAGGGGTAAGGACAATTACTTTCCCTGCCTACAGAGATGTTTCTTGGACAATGATAAGCAGGTATGAGTCTTTCTGTAGCAAAAACCATGGCTTTTCTGAAAGAATCACTGAACTGACAAAGAACTAGTGTTGTCTAAGAACCTATGCTACCCTTAACCCTGTCACTTTAGAAGCTCCAATGTTTGTTCATTATAATTCCCTCCTAATTGTTGAATACAAACCCATTATTACACACCATGAATGAGAGCTAGCTGAAGACCCTGCCTTTATTCCTGAAGCCACTGCCTCCCCCATCCCCAGGTTCTCTCACTCACCTTCTTGGAGGAGAGTGTGGAAGAGCAGCAGTCTCCCCCGTCATAGTGGCAGTAGGCTCGGTTGTTGATAGTGTCACACCAACCATCTGCTTGGAAGGGCTGTAGGGAGGTTAGAAGGCAACATCTCAGTATAGCCTTATTATGTCTTGTTTGACTCTGCCACTCCTCCCATCCCAGCGTAATCCATACAGCTCCAGAGATATTACAGAAAAGCACCCAAGGTGCAGGACACAAATTGACCTAATATTTGCAAGAAGTTGAAAAAATCTCAAGACCACTAGGTCCAAGGAATTGTCACATTTCACTGGCAGCACTGCTCCTGGCCTACTCTAAGGTCTGAGATACGTCATTTAAACTCTTTGATCAACTTTTTTGCCTTCTTGTAACAAGAGGTCTTTATATTATATAGGTTACAAAACAGTTCAACATATTTTTAACTCTGTTGAGCATGGGAGAAAGCCTGTGCAGTAGGCAGGATTGGCCTCAAAAGTCCCACTTTTTTGGAAATGAGGATGCATAGAGATGATAAGAATTGCCCAGGTCACATAGCAAGTGTCAGATAAAGCTTAGTATTAGATGTCATGTAACTTGGTTTTGTACTGCTTCTCACATATTAACCTCCACCCCTCTCCTGGTGCACTGAAGACTGACACTTAGAGACCTGAGTAGTCCTTGGGTGCTATGAAGACTCAGATGGTGTCTGTCCAGCCCGCAGTGGTGCTCGGGTTGAGGACACCAGTGCTGTAACACAAATATTCCCACAGGTACAGCCAACTCATGCACAGAAACTAGATACAGGGTTAGAGCAGAGAAAGCTGTACTGTTTCCATCCACCACTGCTACTGCAGTAAATCAGCACGAACTAAAATGGGAAAGGCGTCCAGGCCAAACCAGAGTTAATGGAGTGTTTCACCCCAAAAGAGAATGTACAATAAGAACAGCAACAAGTTGTTAAAAAATAGCTCAGCAGCCCAATGCATTATTTCTCCAGAAAACTACCTCTGGAGGGAAATGTTGTCCTGCTGTATCCTGGAGGGTAAATCAGCCAGCCCACCTACTCAATAACCTGGCTGCTCCTCATCCTGAGAGATGCCCAACCATAAAGTCGTAGGAAACATCTTGTGGTCAAATTCTTTGGGCCACAGAACTCTTGAGTTCTGAAGCCACCTTCCAGTTTATGTGTTCAAATCACTTTCTCTTCCCCCGACCCTCCTTAAATGTCAAATAGAAGGACAGTTTTGTATTTTACCATGTTTTGATGAGATAGATCACTCAACTCAAAAATGGCCATTAAATAATTCTCAGCAATTGAGTTACATCAGAACGAGTTTATCCAAGTTATTACTTCCATGTTTTGATTTATTCTATGGGATCCTGATGTCATTTGAACATCATTCCAGATGTATACCAGTTTGCCAACGGCTGAGAAGCTGCTACTTGTGGGGTGGAACTCAACAGCTGCCACACAGCTGCATAGCAATGTCAGTTGTGAGCAAGAAGTGAAAATGAATTCTGCTTTCAGCACAGGCCTCACTGGGATAAAAGACAAAGATTCTGTAATGAGCATTTGTCTTTAATGCTGGAACCAGTTATTCTGGCTCTAGAGAACTTGGAATAACTGTAGAATCAAGACTCAGGTCCCGAACTGCAGCCAAATAATCAAAGTCAAAGATAACTAGTGCATCCTTAACACCTATAGATGCTCTTGGGTTCTTGCAGGATGACTGGATACATCTACGGAGTTTCCCCAGAGTTTCATTTTTCTCTTTCAAGTGTTTGGAGTGTATCTTATTCATCTAGCACTACATCTGTTACTTTTGCTCCAACCCTGACTGACTCATTGGCAAAACCTAGTAAGTTCCTTCTTTTTTTTCCATGTAATTGTCTATAAAAATCGAAGGAGCACCCAAAATACTTTTCTTACATGTATAAGTCTGGTCTTCATAATGGAAATTAAAGGTATATCTAAAGATATCTTTCTTTTCATAAGAACAATCTAAATATTTGAATGGGTTAGTAAAGGATCCCAAGGAATTTTTCTTTCTAAAGTCTTCAACAAGGGTCGCTTCTAATCTCAAGAACATTAGAGAACATATGTTGAAAAGAGCAATAATGATCTAAGTGACCTCCAGGCCCCACTGGACTTCCTTTGCTATAGCCTGGGAATTATTTCTAAAAGCTCCTTCTTTTCTGCTCTTAAAGAGTCATCTGGAAAGAGAACGAAGTTTATAGAAAAGAGAAGAAATACAGAAAAAAGGCTGGAAAGACCCAAGTGTTTAATTTACTATATACCTATTAGAATTAATTGCTCCTCCCTCAACCTGCCAAAATCAACCACTCCACCCTCAACAAACAGAGTCTCCTATGGCAACCTGTGCCTGGGAAGCTCGACAGTTTGAGTCCAAGGTTACAATGAAAAAATAGGAAAGGAAAAATGACTAATTGATCCCAAATTTAAAAATATCTGAAGACTGGATATAGACTAGAAAATTTTAATTTCAATAACTGAAAGATGTCAGTCTTAGGATATCACTCTAACCCACAGGCATCTTTTCCAAGAAAAGGTACTGGGCTTGGTTTCTCTGCACAATGTGTACATAGGTGAACGTCACCACCCATATGTATACCTTGCTTATTCTGTAACATCAGAAAATAAAGCGTTTCACATAAGTGCACTTTTCAAATATCTGAAGCTTATCCTGGTAAGGGTCACTTTTTAAATTTTTATTTTAACCATCTTGGTAAAACAAAAATATCTTTATAAAACACCCGTTTTTTTTTTTTTTTTTTTTTGCCTTTTAACAACATATAGAACCCAAAGTCATTAACATAGCTGTATGTTATTTTCACTGTATAGGAAAACTCTCCCCTTTGCTAAATGTGCCTCCTTTAAAACACACACACGCACACACACACCCCTCAGAGATGATTTATGTTTGAGCCAGAAAGTCAAGCCCTTAGCGTTATACCTACAGTGAATACTTAAATCTGAGAGAGCGCTTGGACTACTCTTCTTATGACGTATGAGCCTAATGATACCTATTTTCATTGTTATAGGAAGCCTTTTCTTGCCACGGCTTTTCTAGCTGGGTTCCAGGCAGATGAAATGGACAAATAATGACTGTGTGCAAGTGGTGGAATACGAAAAGGAAAGACTGTCAGTCTGCCCTACGAATACCGCTTCGGAAACTTCTCAAAAGTAAACGTAATTTCTTCTGCCTGTTATATAATCTGGCGATGTTTCCCATTTTGAAGTTGCTGTGGGGAGTTAGCCATAGAGATAGTGTGGCCCTGTCTGCTGTCTATGGGTATAGTCAGTCATTCAATCACTCCATATGCTTTATTCCACACCTATATGTGCCAGGCATTGTTATGGGGTCACAAAGATAAATGAAACATAGTTCCAGCCCTTGGGGAGGCCCATCATAAGCAATTTTTTTTTCATTTATTTTTTATTTTTATTTTTTTTAGCTCATGTGATAGTTCAGTGTAGCATCAAGATGTGAACAGGAGTTAAATACCTAATCCAGATTTTGGGGGTGAGGGAAATCTGCTTTTAGGAGCTGGCTCCACAACATCTAGGCCCCATGGAGAAGAGCTTAGGACTGGATGGTTCTGAGGAATCTGAAAGATGTGTCTAAGAAGAAGAAGAAATAGAAGGGTGAGTGGTCTCAGGCTGCCTATTACAGAGCCCAGGCTCGGGAGTAGTTCCATAAACATTGACTGATTGGCTGATAAGATCTCTCTTTCTTGAACCAGATTAAGAACACTGTTCTTCTACAGCTTGCAACAGAACTCAAGACCATGCTGATGTTTTAGAAAGGTTAGTTTGGACTTTAGAACTTCTGCATTACTAACCTACAGGTTGGAATCTTAGCCAAAAGGGACTGTATCTCTAAAGGTAAGGCATGGGACTGAATCCTATTTTATTATCTTGATGAGTGTTTCAGACCAAGAGAAGATGCTAATCAAATTTTTGCTTGAGGCCAAGCACTATTTTCTGTTTTCCACATCGTTTTCATAAAAAAAACTTCTCGTTATGTGAATGACAAATCAGAGCCACTTCAATTTCTTCATATTAATTCAGTTCTATCAGGCCCCAAAGAAGCTCCTTTCCAAATCAGGCATGGTGCAGCGCCTGATGAAGTTCTTGCAGCAAATAGAAGTTCTCTGTAAATCTACACAAATCTGTGCACTAATTTTCTTTTTCTCTGGCTCTTCAATGAATGGTGACCTCTGGCCTGATCTTCATTCTCCTTCACATCTCATGATTTACCTTATTGTGCCCACATATCCTGGGCTTCATATCCAAACAATGCAAAGAACATCAAGACTAGAGCCCTAGCACAAGGTCTCTCTTAGAATCTTGGGGGCAGAACCTGGGGGGGCCTGTAGGGCCCCTCAGGGACCTCTGATAATGAGACCACTAGTTGCTTATCAAAAAGATGAAAGACTGCCAGGCACAGTGGCTCACACCTGTAATCTCAGCACTTTGGGAGGCCGAGGCGGGTGGATCACCTGAAGTCAGGAATTCGAGACCAACCTGACAAACATGGAGAAATCCCTCTCTACTAAAAATACAAAACTAGCCGGGCGTGGTGGTGCCTGCCTGTAATCCCAGCTACTTGGGAGGCTGAGGCAGGAGAATCGCTTGAACCCGGGAGGCAGAGGTTGCAGTGAGTCAGGATTGTGCCATTGCACTCCAGTCTGGGTGACAAGAGTGAAACTCCGTCTCAAAAACAACAACAACAACAACAAAAGATGAAAGGCAAGTGCTTGTGAGAATGTGGAGGAAAGGGAACCCTTTCACACTGTTGTTGGGAATGTAAATTATGTGATCCAGCAATCCCACCACTGGGTATATATCCAAAGGAAATCAAATCAGTATGTTGAAGAGATTTTTTTGAACACCATAGATATATGAAATGCTAAGGCTAGATGACACCTTGAAGATTATTTAGTAGAAACTTCTTATTTTACAAATGATGAAATGAAGCCTTAAAAAGGTGAACTGTCTTGTTTTCAAGGATAGTTAGTAGCAATCCTGGGAACAGATTCCAAATCTCTAGATATTGGGTCTTCTGTTCTTTCTACGATGCCACACCACCACTATTTGATGATTTCATTAGTCTTTTAATTTACTGAGAAAGAAGGGTAACTTAAGTTCTTTTGGCACCTTTACAGAAGGGGCTTGGTACGGGTGTATTAAGTAAACCTAGCAATCTAACACAGAGACAAAGAAATGGTCATGCATAATCTCAATTCCTCTGGACCCCCATAGCTTCACTTTTTTTGTTTTTGAGATGAATTTTCACTTTTGTGGCCCAGGCTGGAGTGCAGTGGCATGATCTCAGCTCACTGCAACCTCCGTCTCTTAGGTTCAAGCGATTCTCCTGCTTCAACCTCCCGAGCAGCTGGGATTACAACATTGAGCCACCACAACTGGCTAATTTTTTGTATTTCTAGTAGAGACGGGGTTTCACCATGTTGGTCAGGCTGGTCTCGAACTCCTGACCTCAGGTGTTCCACCCGTCTCAGCCTCCCAAAGTGCTGGGATTACAGGCGTGAGCCACCACACCCAGCCCACAACTTCACTCCTGTTTTTCTCAGCTGTGGGTCAAGGTTTATCCCAAATAGGCTGCCTGGCACTGTTGCTCCTTCGGAGACTTGGGGCTTGGTGTATTCCCCTGGAGGCTGATATCCCCAGGAGGAAGCAACACTATGCTCCAATCACATCAACATATGCCTACAGCCCAGAAACACTTATTTCCAAGACTCAGAATGCTAAAACCAGACGTTTTGCTGCTCATTGCTGTCATGTGCGGAAAAAAGGAAATGTCGTTGTTCAACTCTTCCACTCTTCATTCCTCGGGATGGAGGGTCCCAATGATGACACATTTGTGGGTCTGCAAGTCTTCTTGGAATATGTAAAATTCAAATAGATAGATATCAAGATGGCTTATGCAGGAATAGTTTCTTAGGAACAATCTTCTCTGGAAAATTTCATCTGGCTTCCTGGACTCAGAAAGCTGTCCCTTCTCTGAGTTATGGTATATTTGATCCACATATTTATTATAGAGCTTAACCTCTGGAATGTATTTTCAAAGGCTTGGGATCTAATCAACTTTGTAGTCTCAGCTACTAGTTTAGTGACTGATGTAGGTTGTCAACAAATAAATAAATATGATTGTCCTATTTTGAAGTGGGAGGCAAACTACATTTCCTTAGCATACTTTATGACCAGATCCTTCCTTTTCATTATTCCTGTACTGCTAGAAAATTTGCTAGGTATGTTACCTTATGAGAATCACATAACTTAGACACAGGTCCAGATTTTATGGGCATCTACTCTATTTCTTACTATAAATGCATATACTGTAGACACTGGAGTTGAAATAAATCATATATATATATATATACACACACAGACACATATACACATATATATACACATATATATGTAGGTCATGTGTATGTATATAATATATATGTAGATCATCTTCTAAGTGAAGAACATGGTACACATCCATACATTTGGAGGTGTATCATACTTACGTTTCAGCCAGAAAGTAGGACAAGGCAGTAGAATATACTATGTAAGAATTACCCCTCTATAAACCATCTAAAATGTTAGATAAAACCTAACAATATTCTCTCAGTTTCACATCTGGCATCATAAGAAGAAAAAGAACATTTCCCAAAGGCCAAAAACAAAGAAACTGTAAACCAGAGCAGAAAGAAAGCAGTAAACCATGGCTGTCCTAGGAATGTTTGCAAATATCTGTGATCAAGTGGTTGGGTTTTAACAGGTGATCTGGAATAAGGGCCTAGGTCTTGGCCCTTTGTAAGGTAGGGAGTTTTTATGTAATCCTGTTAGAACTTTAATAAAAAGACAATGTTTATGAGGACTGATACAGAATGACACAATCACATTATGATGCTCCGCAGGTAGCTTGGCTCACTTGGGAGCCAAGAGATTTGCTCCTGCCTACCAGCTCTGAAGTCTACATGATTCAAATCCAGCCCTTGGCTAAGTCACTAACAGTAAGACGTTAAGGATCTTCTGTGTTTTCGGCTAACAGTTGAAGTTGTACAGAGTATCTCCTGGAAGGGCAAGGGTGGAATCTACAAACAAGAGATGAGAAGATGTAATTGAAAGAAAGACAATGAAGATACACATCCTGCTGGATGATCAGAGGAATGCCGACTGCGCGTCTACTTGTGTGGCCTCTCATGCATCACTGGTCCATGTGTGGTAGTACATCTTCTGTGTAGGACCTCAAACCACGGCCTGTGTAACCCAGCAGACCCTCTAAAAAGGCAAATGTGTACCTCTGCAGAGCCTGAAAGAGAAGGCTGATTATAATCAGCTTATCTACATTTGACACCAAGACCAAAGCAAAGTCTTAGAAATAATCAAATAGGACAAAAATCAATCTCCTCTGAGAGAAATAGTTGAGAAAAATTAGATGAGAAAAGAAAAGCAAGCAAACGTTAAGATAAAAAAGACATCTTTCATCTGTATTGACTTCACTTACTCCAAGGTACCCAGGGCGTAATAGTTCCTGCCCCAGAAACTATCAAGGCTATAGAGTATGGTGATTAAAAGCACAGAATATGGCCGGGTGCAGTGACTCACGCCTGTAATCCCAGCACTTTGGGAGGCCGAGGTGGGTGGATCACCTGAGGCCAGGAGTTTGAGACCAGCCTAGCCAACATGAAGAAACCCTGTCTCTACTAAAAATACAAAAATTAGCCAGGTGCAGTGGCACACGCCTGTAATCCCATCTACTTGGGAGGCTGAGGCAGGAGAATCGCTTGAGCCTGGGAAGAGATTGCAGTGAGCCGAGATCGCGCCACTGCACTCCTCCTGGGTGAGAGTGAGACTCTGTCTCAAAAAAAAGAAGAGCACAGCGTATGGTTTTACATAAACCTATGCTCAGATCCCAGCTCTGCTCCTTACCAACAATCAGAATCTGAGAAAATTTCTTAACAATGAGCAGCAGTGTTCTTGTTAGTGAATGAGAAAAATAGCACCTACCTCACAGAATTGCTGCAAGGAATAAATGAGCAAATGGAGGTAAAACACATAGCACAATGCCTGACCTATAGCAAGCATTCAATAATTCATAATTTTATGAAAGCAGCAAGAAAACTACCATTGCTTTTACCATTGCAGGTTGGTGCCTGAATTGTCTCCCTAGAGACTCTGGTCAGAAAACTTCAAGATTCTGCCACCAACACTTTAGTCAAAACCAGGCATGCTCCATCCCTGAGAGCCTCCTTCCCCATTCACTTTTACCACCAATGCATGTACCTGAGTCATGAAAGACAGAGTCAGGTGACAAGGGAAACAGTTTTGAAACTTATAAAAACAGAAAAGAAATGGTCTAATTGGCTCCTGGAAACCAGGGCTCTCTTCAAAAACCATAATGGTGACTTGGGTGTCTTAGCCTCTGAAAAAAACCCCAAACCATCACACAGATATTTCTTCTCTGATATGTGCTGCAGGAAAACAGGAAGGTGAGGAGACTCTCTGGGACTTACTTTTCAGCCAAAACTAACCTCACGGCCCTTTTCAAATAGTTGCAAATAAAGACTCAAAGTCACACAAACTCTCTACCTCACTGCAAGCACACACTGACCTGCTTCCCCATGCAGTCTCTCCTCTGGGAGAGACAGTTCTATATGAGTGGTCTTGCCCACCTCAAGGCCAGGAGGAGGGCAGTGCTGGTGGATGGAGTTATAGTCCCAAAGGGTGAAAATGGGAAAGACAGTGTTCAGGTGATATCCATGCACATTTGTGCAAGAAAAACACCAACTCGAAGTTGAAGCCTGGCTCCTTAAGGACAGAACATCCCTGCACAGGGCCCTACTGAAAACAACAGCACTTCTGTGAAGTTTTTATTGGCCCTCCTGTTGAGAGCTGCAGCCTGAGCCATTCCTGACGGGAATGTGTCCTGGCCCTCCTCTGACTCAGAGGCCTTGCTGATGGTAAGGTGTTGGGTACCTTTTGCCCTATCTCTTCCCTCACCTGTTACCAAAACTACACAAGATACACTTTGAAGGCTGTGAAGGCACCCAGTGCTCCACTTCCCCAACCACCTTTATTCCTTCTGCACTGAATCACTCCTTGACCCTTCTGCACCAAACCCAACTCCATGTCCTAAAACAAACAAACAAAAACCGAAAAAACTTTTGTCTACCCCTCCATCAGTGTTTGCTGTCCTCCATGTGACCCCCTTTTCTCCAGTGAAGCTGATCCTGTACAATTCATTTGTCAAGATTTTATTCCAGTGATTCCCAATCCTTTGCTGTCAAAAACTGTTTTCATGACACTGTCATCCTTCCTCCTCTTCTAAGTACACAGCAATGCTTCTTAAAATGCTGCCCAGGAACAGCAGCAGTCCATCAGGTGGACTCATTGCCAGGCTTCCATAGTACCAATGTTTGTGACACAGCAAAGTCTGTGCCGTGGGCTCCTACAAGAATTAATAATGACATACCATCAGACCTCACTGTCCCCATTGCAGGGCTGATAGGCCCATGAGTTCTTGTAATTTCCTTTTTCTTGCTTTCATGTTGGGAGTGGTGTAGATGGTCTGCAAGGTCTTCAGATACAGTCTTACTGCATGACATTTGGCTCTCTTCTTTAAACAATCAATGGATTAACAATCATTTGTTTAGGGAATATCCTGCTTCCCTTTTCAGCTAATTGGAGCCAACCAACTGTGTATTAAGGTCAGACATAGAAACCTTGAACAAAAGAGGTCCGCAACTCTGCAAGGACTGTGGGGGCAGGAACACTTCCATTTTTGTCTCTTTTCTGTTCCCTTTTCCTCCATCAGCAATAAACCCTGTGCATCAGCGCAGTATCCAATACATTACAATATGTGCTTAATGAATATTTGATGGATTAAACTAGTGAATTCTCTCCAGAATTAACTCTATAAAACTAAAAATTCAAAACAGTTCTTGTATTTCACTCCTCTTACCTTTCCTCCAAGATAAGGTAAACATTCCCCCTGTCATCTATTTGTTTGTCTGTTTTTAAAAATTTATTTTTTAAGAGATGGGGTCTGGCTATGTTGTCCAGGCTGGTCTCAAACCCTTGGGCTCAAGCAATCCTCCTGCCTCAGTCTCCCAAGTAGCTGGGACTACAGGTATAAACCACCATGCCCAATTATTTCCCCTATCTTGTCCCTTTGCCTCCCAGGTATTTGTTTTCACTATCAATTACTCACCCCAAAATATCACCTGAAAACAGCTTGGTGTGGCCTTCCAGTCATAGGCTCATTCACAGTAGACTCTTCCAGACATCAAACTTAAGACTACAGATGAATGAAATTGAGAGCAGAATTTCAGACCACTGCAGGCATCCTGCCCAGTAAGGTGGGACCTTCCAGTGCCTTTCTCTGGTCACCTCTCTAGGTGGCCACTCACTGTGCCCCTCCTCTCTGGGCCCTTGGCCAGCTGCTGCACAAGGCCACATCCCACATAATTGAAACATGAGGCGGTACATGCTCTGTCTGGATGGAGCTTACATAGCTGTGGGAGATGAAAGGATGAGGAGACAGGTACAAGTCAGAGACAGATTACATGCAGCTGAGGGAAGAAAGGAAAAGCATGTGACCCCACAAGAAGGCCCGGGACAGACTGTTAGGTCCTGTTTGGACTTTGATCCTTAACTTCCCTTCGTCTCTGTCTCCTGGTTCCTCGGCCAGCATTCAGTTCATGGGAGGCTGAGGCAGGCCTGAGCTGGTGACCAGAATGTTCCACCACAGCCCCAGCATGCGTGCTCATCCCTGCCTGTTCACCGCATGCAGGCACATGCCAGGCAGGCCAGCATTTCTTGGCTCCCTGAGCCCGCCTGTGGAAGGTGACTGGGAATGCAGACTGTGGGAGGAAACGACCGTATGCCTTGTTTGGATTAAATATTTTTCTTGGCCCTCCTGCTGTTTGCTGAGCATCTTTTTTTTTTTCCCCATTCTCTCTCATTCTCTCCCTCCTTCCCCCTTCCATCCTTCCCTCTCTTTCTCAGCAATCAAGTACATTGAGAGGAATTTTGAGGATTAAGCAGAGACTGCTAAGGTGAGAACTGTTTAAAGAAAGCACAGCAGTTGACAAGCCTTTTCCCATTCTGATACCACATCCAGCTCTTTACAAAGATGAAAGTGTTTCACTTTGGGGTAAACTTTAATCTACGTTTCTTTGAGTTTTTGTTAGTGTTCTTTTTCTTTCCTTTATTTATTTATTTATTTATTTTTTTGAGATGGAGTCTTGCGTTGTTGCCCAGACTGGAGTGCAGTGGCATGATCTCGGCTCACTGCAACCTCCATCTCCTGGGTTCAAAAGATTCTCCTGCCTCAGCCTCCCAAGTAGTTGGGAATACAGCTGCCCACCACCACGCCCAGCTAATTTTTTGTATTTTTAGTAGAGACGGGGTTTCACCATGTTGGCCAGGCTGGTCTCGAACTCCTGACCTCGTGATTCACCCACCTCAGCCTCCTAAAGTGCTGGGATTACGGGCATGAGCCACCACGCCCGGCCTTTTGTTAGTGTTCATAGCACTTGTTTTCTCTCTTTTATTCTCTTTCATATCTATGCAATGCATGTGCATATGTATGTATATGCAATTGTATACATATATCCGTATGTATATATTTGTATGTACTTATATACACATATGCATAGATGTGGTAAATATATATGATACATATATATGCTTCTCCCTTTCTCATATGTATTATACTATGTGTATAATAATTAATAATATATAATCTATATTATAGATCTGTAACATAAAGTATATTTTTATTTTATACGCACGTATAGATGCACACAAATTATCTGAAACCTTCCGGTATAAGGAACAAACCTAAACGTAAAACTGTTTTTACAAACTACAAACCATTATATAGAAGCAAAATGCTATTTTTGTTTTATATAGGTGTGTGGTGTGTACTACAAGGTTTGTACATGTGGTTTTATGAACCCTTGCAATAGCTCTGTTATTGGGCCCATTATTATGACCATTTTACAGGTGAAAAAAAATAAAAACTGGCGCTGTTAAGGAATATGTCTGATGATAATGTGTCTGATCACGATGATAGGGAATGTGTCTGACGATAGAGCCATTGTCTGGTGTTCAGGCCTGTGCCCTGACCATCCTGATATGCTCATGCTGCCTCCAGCATTGTTATCATGTATTAATGATATGCCTCACTCTACTGCTTGGTACTGTACACCTGGTCTAACCTCTCACTGAAACTATGAGAATGAGGCAGCCACCTTCTGCCTAAGGAAAAGTCAATGTCACAGATAGCCATGAGAAATGTATTATATAGTATTTTTTAAAGGAAAAATAGAAAACTTTCTTTTATAATTATCCAGAAAAAATCCTTTACATTTTGCCAAAATTACTCTATACAGTAAATTAACATCTATTTTACTATAAGCCAGGCATAGGGTTAGTTGCTAGAATCCTGGGATATTTGATCAATACGTGTTTAGTGTGTCTGCTATGCACAAGGCACCACAGAAGGTTCCTGGGTGACAAAGTATTTGCCTCAAAGAAGTCATTGTGGCATGAGTGCTGCATAATACAGAATCTGAACTGCACCTAAGACCATAGGAAAGAAATCATAGGTAAATGGAAGGTCAGTTCCCAGAGTAATTAATGGTACCACTAATAAGAATGATAGCAGTGCAGAAAGAGGACCTGCCTGGAGCATTTTAGAAAGGCTTTATGGGGTACATGGGATTAAACCTAATCTTTGAAGAATGGATAGGATTTTGGCAGAGAAATGGGGAGAATAACCCCAGCAGGAAGGCCAAATATAAGCTGACATTTCAGATGGTAAAAGAAAAGATATATCTGTGGTTTTCTCTTTCAAATATTAATGATGCAAGTTTGGAACTAACTCAAAATCTCCATCCAGAAGAATTTAATCTGTATTCTGAAGACAATAGGGAAAAGCTAAAGTGTTTTTTTTCCAGAAGAAGAAATGATAAAAGCTGTGTTTTGAAGGTTAGATCTGGAGATAATACAGGGAACGTTCAGAAGACAACTGGAAGGGCCAGGACCAAGTAGGAGTTGAGTTCAAGCAATATGAACGAAGAAGAACAGAACTGGCTGTCCATAATATGGAATAGAAAAAGGCAGATAGGAGGGGTTTTGTGAAGGAAAGTCATCAGGACCACTTGAAAGGTCATATATGGGCAGAAGACCAGTGGAGATGAAGGCTTATCTATGACATTGACTGTTCAAATCATGATGCACTTTTCTAAAATAATTTGATCACTGAAAATCTATCTAGAAGGTATCCTTACCACAATCAAAGGTCTGAGTCATGGGACATAGATCTTGATTAAGTAGCAAGACCTGTCCCAGCTCACAGTGAGAAGCTCTACAAATTTTCCTTTTTCCTGTATATGTAAACACAGGTCTAGAGGGGCCCCGCACATTTTCTATTCTGCCCAATTTCTGCAGACTTTTTCCACAATTTAGACATAACTATTTTATCATCCCCAGTAATATCCAGGTCCAGTTGACCTGAAAAATGGCAAGAGGGAGGTATCATGTTTATTCCAGAATGTTTTCTTGCCAATAGTCTTGTTTCTTTTAGCTTCAGTCTAATATTTAGTTCCCATGTCTATGGACAGTTCAGTTTGTGTGGCTGATCATTGTGCTTCTGATCCTCAACCTGCCACACATCCTGATTTGTTGGACCAGCTGTTCCTTTCTCCCCCAACTGGTTGGTCCATCCAGTCTCACTTTCACCCATATGGAACCTATTCTCTGTGCGAGTGTCTTGTTTACATTCCCTTTATCTCCAGGATGCTTGTCTGTGTATCTAATCCACTCATCACTGATTGACTGCATCTGTTTCACAACATGTTCTCTGCTCTCATTTTCTTGGTCTCTGATCCTTGCTAAGCAGAGTTCATTGGCATATCTCCTTTTCCATTTATTCTGGTTTAAATCTTGCAAGCCCAGAAAGGGTTCCTAACAGGTTGTCAGCACTCCATCTTCATCTCTCAGTTGTATTTTCTAAAAGTCATTTCTAGTTTATACATCATTTATTTGTTCCTTTGCTTTTAATCTTCCTACCAGTCTAAGAACATGGACTCTAGAATCACACTACCGAGGTTCATTAACTGGTCCCATATTTACTAGCTCAGGAGATTTGGGAAGTTAATTAAATTCTCAGCCCCTCAGTTTCCTCATCAGTAAAACAAGGATGGTAGCAATGGTAATAATTCCTCATAGCGTGACGTGGAATGCTAAAAACACTCAATAATGTTATTCAATATACTGAACAATCCCCAGTTGTCTTTTTTGTTTGTTTGTTTCCTGAGCTAAATGTGCCTGGATACTCTTCGTATCAATGGTTCTCTGTCTGTGAGGGTGGAGCGCAGCCCTGCCAAAGTGGCTACTTAGTGACTTTGACATTTTTCCTCTTTCTTAACGGTGTTCTCTAATCTCAGGGATCTTACCATTTACCTTGCTCAACTATGGGGATATAATACGTAACATGGTTTCAAAGCAAACAAAATATACAATAATCAAAGTTATCTGCAGTACCTAATTACCTTAGATTCTATTGATAGCTGAGGTATAGCAGCAATGCTCTATCTAAGTTTGTCTTGAGTCTCCTAGTCTCTCCTTTCTTTTCTCATCGTCCCCACCTTCATGCTGAACTCTTTGCACCTTCTAACGACCCCCATAACCAATGTCTCCATCCCTGCCACAGTATCTGCATATTTTCCTATTCCTCTGGAAAGCCGCTGACATACTAGAGGGTCAAGGACTAATATGTATCTGCAATTAAATAAAAGATAAAAGAATAAGGCAAGATATGAAATTAATTACAAGAAGTTTGCTACTTTATGAACCACATTTGGAAGACAACTACTCGGGGGATAAATGAGACCATGCATAACACCCCTAAAATTACCTAGTAGAGGTAGGTACCTATAAAACACAATCGGAAAAGCCGGCTCTGTGCATCAGGGCATTGTCTGCCTGGGTGAAGTAAGTATGAGCAAAACACGTAAGTTATTTGGTAAATTTATCAATTTAACTATTTTAGTGATGGATCAATCCAAAGAACTTCCAGAGATCCTGTCAGGAAAAGGAGGTAAGAGGAGGAAAGGCAGGAAGTAAGTCTCCGAGGAAGCACTAAGAAGTGAACAGATCATTAGCTTACCAGTTACCAGTCAATTCCACACAGGGTTGGCGCTCAGGCTGGGCCCACAGGACATGGAACCAGGTCAGAGGCAATCTGGCCAATGAGCAAGATGGGCAGCCTGCAGGCACTCCAGTCTTAGCTGTAGTGCCATCAGGGTCACAAGCAGTTCTAAAGCCAGAGACCATTCCCAGACCCTAACAGCATTTCAGACATGCATCACCAAGTTTAATATTTTTCACATTAGAAAGACTTCAGTTGAATCTAATCTCATTTTTAATTAGTCCTCACATCGCCTGGTGAGGCAGATTAATATGATTATCCATATTCCACTGATGGGGAAAAATGGGACAAAGGGTCGTGCCCCAAGGTCACTTGGGGAATGAGCGATAGAGGTGCAAATTAAACTTAACTATTTTAAACTTCCAAACCGGCAGGCAAACATGAGGACATTGGGGAGTCAATTTCATCTCTGTTTGTTCAAAGGTTTTCACATCTGGATAATGCATATTCAATTTACTACTTGGTTTCTCTAATTAAAAAATAAATTAGAAATAAAGTACTAATTCTAGCTCTGAACTGCAATATTCTATATTTAATGCATAAGAAATTTCCCAAGGAATATATGACAAGAACAGCCAAAGAAGAGAATAAAATGAGCATCACTTAGCCAAATGTGAATATTTATTAACTACTTGTAGGATGTTTACTATTAAATTTGATTGTGTGTGTGGCAGTATAAACACAGAAAAATTCAACATGGCCCCTGCCAACTAGAAGCTGGTTAACCAGACATTCAAAATAGATACAGCAACAAAAACACATACAAATAGCACACACCTCCAACTATGCAGGCAGCAACCAGGTCTTTTTGTTCCCCACAGCAGATGTTCAAGCAATGTGTGTTGATAAACTGTTGACTGAGCTTATTTCAGAGCAAACTGAGACAGTGTAAGAGGCAAGCCCACGGTACTGTCATCCACCACTGCCATCTTTCCAATCCTGTTTACTTTATCTTTAACTCCTCTCTCATCATTACACCCAGCAAACAAATACTATCCTATTGCAGACATAATTTTGTATTCAGACTCTTTTCTCCTTTCTTTGCACTTCCTCAGTTTGGTGAGGGGGCTGTTACATTAGTTCAGGTGAGAGATGGTAACACCCTGACCTCCATGGTTCAATTTTGCCACCATGATTTCTTCTTAGACTATACATCCTACCTTCTTTTCTCTCTTACAGAGATTCTTAATGCTCACAGATATCTCTGTGGTCCCTCAGATTGTTCTGCCTCACTTATTATGGGCTGAGGGAATGTGACCATATCTGGTGAATGGGAGGACCAACAGAAATGATGCATTACTTTTAGTCCAAGGGAATCAAGAGTTACCGGCCTCACTTTGTATTCCTCCTCTGTCTTCAAGGAGGCAACCATGGAGATCACATTTTGAAAGGACAGAGTAATAAGATGGAAGAAATGAATAGCTGCTCTAGAGAGTTATACCAGACTTAATGTAAGTGAGAAAAGTAATGGTAAATCACTGCAATTTTAGGGTTAATTTATGACCACAGCCTACCTTGATTAATTCATATTCTTCTATTTATAAGCCCTCATTGGATCAACACTGGCTGCAGAATAAAGCCCAAATTGCTTAGATTGGCATACCAGAGATCTAATGATCTACCTTTTATTTACCTCTTTAACCTTGAGTCATTCCATACTTCCTTATCTCCCTCAAGATCAGCTTCACTGAGCAGACTAATAATACTTTATGTTATATGCCATTGACATTTGGGGATTGTTTGTTATGTGACCTTATTGCAGGAACACTTGACTAATACAGACAGTAGTATCAGAAGTAAAATGTTACCATAACAAACAAACAAAAAACCTAAAATGTATGAGATTGGCTCTGGAATGGAGGGGCAGGAAGCAAAATAAATGTTTCAGGAGGCTGGAAAAATTATGTTCTTCATTTATGTGGTAGCAAAGTATTTCATAAAATGTTTCCTATAGTTACTTGAAAGAGAAATTATATTGTTAATTGTTATTACTTGCAGGCCAAAAATTTAGTAATGCCCTATTGGCTTTGAATAAAGAAGTTTTGAAGAAGAATATTACTAGGATTAGTTGGTGGTTATTACCTTAATTTGATAAGGTACTGCGAGAAGAGATGAGTGCAGAAAAGGTTATTGCTTTGCCAGTAGAATTGACCGGGAATATAAATTATTAGAAATTCTAAAACTTGTAGTACTGAAAAATAAAACCGTTTCTTATCTCTGGCCAGTAAAAGATCAAATTTCATAATAATCTGCATTAGAAAGGCCTTCTAAGACTGAAGTTAAGACAATGTTAGGCAAAGAAACAAATTAAGGAGTGAACCATTACATCATTTGTTAGGACCTTCAATTGGATTAAATCAACACGTAGGAGATCCTTGCAGTTTACAAAAGGACTCTGAGGAAACAGCCTAAGAACTTTGTCCAAGAGAAGCCTCATAAGCTCAGAATACCTATATTTATTAAGAGAGGCATTTCTTGAAAAGACTTGTGAGTATAGCTCTTGCCTTATGAATTTTACTGGAATTAAATATATACAAAAATCAATCAAATTTGTGGGAGTTGAGGTGCCAAAATCACTATCAACCTGGATTGTAAGAGACCTACTGTTAGTGACCTTTGGGCCCCCTATATTCTACAAGGAGGAAGGAAGTTAAGAAAGATACTCAGCTTCCAAAAGTGGATGTTCCTCACTGCTTTTAATATATGACCAAATGAGATGGTGGAAAATGAAGACTCCTTAGAGATCAGAGCCAAGAGTCATGAAGAACAATCAACTAGGAGGTGACACCCAGGGAGTAATCGAAAGTTTCTAAACAAGAAGTGCTCCCTACTCTCCCAGTAGTGGTTTTACAACTTTTGCTCAAAGAATGAGAGGTGGGCTTTATGCACCTCCCACTCTTTCTCCTTGAAAGGGAATGTTTATTGTAGTTATTTATTTCTGCTCCACTTTGCATGTGGGGTGAGTGGGAGGCAGGGAGCTTGTGATTTTAGTACATAAGGCTCCAGATTAAGAGAAGCTACATTGCAATCTGGTATCAATCATGAGATTCTAGATTTCAAACCTGATGCTAGGACTGGATAAGACTGTTGGAGTGTCTTGGCATAGGGTGGAGTGAATGTGTTTAACGAATGCTTGCGACTGCAAAGGCTGACTAGTAGATATTATTCTTTGTCTATATTCTTTTTACTCACCCTTCCTTTGCCATGAGTCCACTGTCAGCAGAGCATAATTTCACTTCCTACTAACTTTGGATGCAGCCATGTGGTTTGCCTTAACTAGTGGAACATAAATGTATGTGACACATGCTACACTTGACAAAAAGTTGGAAATGCATGAGCATGCCTTAACTCACCCTTTTGTGCCCAGCTATCTACCATGAAAAGAACATGCCCTGTGTAGCTGCTAACCGTGAAACTCTAAAGCCTAGGTCCCTGAGGGAGAGACATATAAAGTAAACTTGAACCCAGACCACAAACTAAGAGAGTCACTTTAGCCAACTTGTAGATGCATGAGTGAGAAGTTGCTATTTAAGACATTTATATTTGTGGATTATTTTGTTATGCAGCTTTATTACAGAAAGACTTGATGACAGCTTCATGCCATTTCCTTTCACATCTTTGCCTTTCATGCCTATTTATGCTTCAAATCTACTTCAAATAATTACCCCTCTATAAAACTTTCTCCATGGAATTAGGATAAGTTATTTGCTTTATTCCCTGTGCTCCCATATGCCCTTATTCATATGATTGTATTATCGGCTTATACTCATTGGATAGTAATTTGATATTTTTTATCTCTATTGTGTACACTGTGATGGGAATTTCTGATTCATTTTTGTAATCTCAACACATCGTAGGTACTCAGAAAATATAATTTTCACTGAAGAAATACATAAATGGACCTGAAGCAGTGATCATAATTTTGTAACCATGGTGTAAGTTGAGAAGAAGGCTATGACATTCCTGCAAATCCTAGCCATTGGGGGGAGCAGCAGACTTTTAGACTGAAAAATGGTATGAGGCACATACAAAAAAGCTGGATTAATTCTTTTTTCATGTGTTGGAAT